>NC_000003.12:134917695-135220725 GCF_000001405.40 Homo sapiens
AGTCAGTCATTCAGCAGATGGGTTGGGTTGGCACTTTCAGTTTCCTCAGGCTTGTTTCTTCTCTTCCTCACTGGCCATGACCACACATCAACCAGTGGAGACTTACACAATAAGAGCTTCCATTTGCCTAGCATTTTATACTGGCAAAGACAATAAATAAATGTGAGTCAAATGAGTGTTCTTAAGAAAACACAGAGCATCTTTATGGGCATGTCTCTGTTGACTCAGGGCAGGAAGCAAGAGGGAAAGCCTCTACCTTTGTTGTACATTAGTGTTTTGGCATTCAGCCTGAGTTGATTTGCTCATCAGTTGTGGAGCTGGGGTTTGAACCCAGATCTTCAGGGTTTATTGAACATTTATATTGTATGAGGGCATCTGACCAAGCTCTGTGGGACAGAAGTCACAGCTCTGTGCTCTGAAGTTACTTCGAATAAACTCAGATATATAAAGTGATAACGAAAACCAACCATTCAAACAGTACGAGTTCTGTAGAGGAAGGAAGACCTCCATGAGTAGGACTAGGTCGAGTCTTTCAGGTGTGTAGAGGGGAGGAGGAAGACAGTCCAGGCAAGAGGAACAGCATGAGCAGAAATGGGGTGCTGGAAGAAGGGCTTCATTTAGGGAACTGAAGATCAATTTGGAAGAGGTGGGTTTAGATCAGAAAGCTCTTAAAGGCCAGGCATTTGTGGCATATCTTGGAGTTAGTGGAGAGACTTTGAAAATCATAAAGTAGAGGAATGAGAAGTGATGAAAGAGTAATTTTCTGAAAATTAGTTACATTTTTATTTCTGAATTTGTGTCATGTAAAGCAGCATAGTAATAATTAGGAAGCCCATCTGTAAACCAACATCCCCTACCCAGCAGCTGTTCCATCTTGCTTCCTAGTTTTTGTAGGTAGTTGCTGTTTCACTCAGTTGAAACACTGTCTCCTGAGTTGCATCTGTTGGCTCACACAGTTCTGCTTCCTGCTTTCTCTTTCACTGCTCACATTCTGCTCACTGCTACATTGTCTTCATAACACTCCAGGCGTGTGAATGTGCTATCCTGCACCTCTTCTGGGCTGGTTCCAGTTTTTCTCATAGTTCAGATAATGATGCAATGAATACCTTCATGATATAGGGCTTTTTGTTTACTTCTGAAATTATTTTCTTTGGACAAATTCTTCGGAGTGAAGTTATTAGGTGGTCAGAGGGCCTGAGACTCTATAAGCCTTTCTTTAGTGTGGCCATATTACTCTTTAAAAAGCTGAACTATTTACATTATCAGACAATGAAGTCTCCAGCTGCATGAAGAGCAACCGAGATGAGGCCTCCTGGATGAAACACCAGTTACGAGGTGGTTGCTGTGGTCCTCATGTGCAGGAATGAAGCCCTGGAGTCAGATAGGGTGCTGATAATGAAAAGGAATACGCATCTGAAAAAGATGCTGTAAAGGAAGAAAGAACCATTGGAATATGGTTAATGATTGAGTAAAAGACTGAAGTAGAGGAAGGAATCAAAACTAAATGCTGCTGAAGTTTCACAGCTGGGCCCCAGGGAAGTTTGGAAGGGTTTGGTGTGAAGAAGAAGAGAATTGCTGGAGGGAGAAGATTTAGATGGGGGAGACACATGGGAGATGGGTTGTGGAAAGTTTGCTTGGAACATGTTCTCTTTGAACTTCTGTGGCTGTGCTGGGCCCAGGCACTGGTCATGATAGAACACAGGCTGGTGCCCTTAACAGTTTACAGTCAACCAATCCCATTCCAAAATCCAAAGCCAGCAGGCAACCTGAGGCCAATTCAGACGGGTAGGGATGAGATTACAGGGAGACCAGCCTGTACAGGCAGCAGGAGGTCCGGACATGGTGTGAAGTTGGCGCTTAAACACCTTTAGTGCTGGGCTCCTGTTGCAAGGGCTGAGGGTCAAGGGCAGTAGACACCCTGAGGAGCCATGTGGGCATCATACAGGAGTTCCATGCCAATAGGGCTGGCCTGCCCAGCCAGCAGAGCATGTGCAGATCAGGTTCGGAGGACAGCTCAGAGACCCCTAGGGAAGGCAGACGACCCAGCCACGCACACCCTTGGCACCTAATGCAGTCTGGATTTGGGACTGGGGGGTATTATTTAATATATCCCACTCTTGCCAGTATGGACTGTCTTAGGGCAGGGGTGTGTGTGTGTGTGTGTGTGTGTATGCATGCGCCTGTGTGTGTGCTCATACACAAATATGTGAAGGGGACGGGGGTGGTCTCTGCGCTTTCAACAGCCAGGGGCTGGGGAAAAGAAGGAGGAAGTTCCAGCTGCCTACCAGGCTCCATACATCTGCCATTTTATTCCATGCTCACATTGTACCTATGAGTCCATCTCCTACCATTCACTGAGGCTGCCATTGCAGATCTAGTTGCATGGTTATTGGAAAAATTTCTGTGTTCTGTGTGGCTGCAAGCTCCCTGAGGGCTGGGATGTCTGTCTATTCCCTGTTCGTCTCTGCTTGCACAGCACTCCCTTCCCCCAGTCTCCATGGGAGTTACTAAAAATTCTTTGTTGAATGCATACCTGAACCCCTTTTTACCACCTTGCAGCTCTCTTGCAAGGATCCTCTGCGGAGGTAGAGGGAAGGAGTTGGGGCTGCCGTGTGTCCTTTGTGCAGTGGGACCAACTCTCGGCTGCTTGCATTTACGTAATAGCAGCTTTGTTCTTGAGCTATTTCATAGTGTGGCTTTCAGGCTTAAAGAGTTCTGTGGGCTGTGGAGAATAACACAGGGAAATGACTGTACGGTGGCGCTAGCCCTGTCCTGCTTGAAAGGTCTGTGGACTTGCCTTATCAAATACACATAAGGCACTGCTCAGAAAAGGCCTGGAAGCTGCTATTCCATCTGTTAGTATATGTTGTATTTTGTTACCATGATGGAAGGACACTGTAAATATTTCAACTGAATATCTGATTAATGTCTCTCCAAAAAGCATGGAGGAGCTGTAAAAAGAGGGTTTATTTCCTTTTCAACATGATGGGTGTCTAATTTTTCCCAAATGTCAGTATATCCAAAGGTGCCAATCCAGACAGAAACAGAAACTGCCTGCAGGGCCAGGCAGTACCTGCCTCTTCTTCCTCACAGGAGGCTCAGACCTGGCCCCACCATCCGGACCCCCAGGAGGTGGCCCCACTGGTTGGTGGGAATGCCCTGAGGGTTTCCATACTGAAGCCTCTACAGGGAAGTGTTCCCTGGGAATATGGGATCTCTCTGTCAGGTTTTTTTTTTGAGACGGGGTCTTGTTATGTTGCTCAGGTTGGTCTCAAACTCTGGGTTCAAGAGATGTCCCACCTCAGTCTCCCCTGAGTAGCTGGGATTACAGGTGCACGCCACAGTACCTGGCTCTATGCTAGGTTTCTTATGCATCTCATCCTTCCCAGGTTCCTGCAAGTCAAGCCAGCCCTTGCCAGAAATCCCTTCTATCTGCCTTCTTAGCCTCCCTTCTCCTTTTGCTCACTGTTTTTCTTACTCTCCCATCTGCTTGGGATGACTCCTACTTCATTCCCATCAGCTGGTTCTTGCCCCTCCCACTGTTGCTTTTAGGAGTCACTCTCCCGTCTCTGTCCCAAGAGGCAGGGGGAGATACTCCATTCTTCCCTCCTCACCACTGCCCACCCCTTTCCAGGAAACCTCAAGCATTTCCCTTTGCCTACACACAGGGCGAATCTCCCTGATGCTCCTTGTTGGGACAGGCACACCTGTTCCCCGCATACAGAAAAATTTTTCCAGTTCGTTTTTCCAGTCTTTTTCTCATAGGCTCAGCCAGAATAGGGTGCCAGTTATGACTTTGCTTCTTGTCCTTTCCTCAACTAAACCATGAATTTCTCTGAGGCACACATCAATTTATATGCATTGTTGTATCCCCAACATGTGTTATTCCCTTGGTCTTTACAACAATGCAAAGAAGAAAGCAGATGAAATATCATTAGATGTGTAACATAATTAGATTCTTAAAGATACTTTATCGATATCATATAGAATATACCATATCAGATTTTGACATAGCTAAAGAGACTAAAACTTGGAGTGATTTAAGTTATAGTAATAGCAATACCTCATGTTTCACAGTGTTTTATTTCACTCAGCCTCACCTTCTCCCCTCATAATCCTGCCTACTAGTTAGCTCTAGGCCCATCCTGCAGATGAGGAGCACAGGTGGAGAGAGAGATGGAGAGAGACAGAGGGAGGGCAGAGGGACGGGGGAGGTTGTATGACACGAGCAAGGTCATATCTCTTCTAGGTAGTGAAGATGGGACTTGGGACCTGGTCTGCCCACACCAGCACTCTCTCCACCATGCGTGTGCCCTTCCCGGCGATCTCCCCTTGGGCACTGAGTACGTGCTCCCAGAGGGTGGTGGGCATGGGTCCCAGAGTCGTGTCCTCTGCAGGAATCCCCAGATCTCACAGCACCACACGCACTTCCAGCTGGGTTGGTCCCCGTGCCACTGTCTGAGAGCAGAAGTGATGGTAAATATTTAATTGTGCTTCCACCATAACTTTCTGCCAGAACTCTCAATATGCTTTATAAATGCAAATGAGTGCGCTCTTCCTCTCCAGGGAGATGTAAACCTGCTCAAATCACTTTTATTCAGCCCCCACTAGAGTGTAATGCCATCATCAGGAGCTCTCTGTGCCAGAAAAGAAACTGCCCTTCATCATATGGAGTGGATGGTTTATGGTTTTGTGGTCTTCTGTCTCCACAATGGGCAGATGTAAAGAAATGGATTTCTCTTGCTGCAAATTCTGTCCAACAGAGTGTGTGGAAAACATTATTTAGAAGCAGATTTAATTACAGCACTAGAGCAGGTGATCATGACTAATATGAAGTCTTGGGCTGTATTTATGGGGTTAATAAAACAAATGAGTCCTTGGACGACAAAGAAGTAAGGTTGATTCTTTTATTTGATTCTGGACTCTGTTTTCCTCGCCACCATCCTCTGCCCGCTCCCTGCTCCTCCAACATGATCTTGCTGTTGGGGTGGGGGATGCATTATTCTGGGAGCTTTTGTGGCTTCTTGGCTTTATGAGTGAGGATCCCACTCCTGCCAGACCCCAGAGCTTCAGCAGAGCCCCTCAAAAGCCCAAGTCGGCCTTGTGGTCCATGTGCTGAGATTTGAGGCTGTTGGTGTCAGGGTGGGAAACTGTGTGACTTGAGAGAAAGCACTGCACCTTCCTGTACCCCGATTCCCAACTCCGCCACAAGGATTCAGTTGCCCCTGTTTCAGGCCCACCTGGCGGAGACATTTTAATAATCATGGAGATGAGTTTCTACAGAGCCTCATGGAGTGTCTTCTGAGAAGTGTATTATGTAAATTTGGTGTGTCATGATGATCATTATTAGTGCTGTGAAGTGGAGATGGGGGGAGGGAGGGAGAGCTGCTCTAAGCAGGGACCAGCCTCCCCAGCTGTCAGAAGAATTGGAGACGAAAACAAACTTAAGAAGCCTGCTCCAATGCTTATGTTCCTTCAAATATGCATGGGGCACGACTCAATCCGAACACAAACTCACATGGGTAGGAAAATGCAGCTTTCTTTATTTGCTTTTACTCCTGTTCATTCCCAGTTTGAGCCCCTGTTTCGCTGGGGTAGCAGAAGTGCTATCTGGGTTACAGGTAGGCCCATCATGTTAAGCTGTGGAGGAAGGCACTCCCTGGCTCTGTTGGCTCCTGTCCACACAGGCACCTGCTGAGATACCCTGTACCCCACCTGAACCCTGCTTATATCCCATGCAGGTCACCACTGGGTGCTCCCAGGTCCCCCTCATTAGACCCACTCAGGCCCTTTGGCCCCCCTGCGGTTCCTGAGTGCCATGTTAGTCTGGTGGGGCCATTGGCCACTCCCTCACCTCCCTAGGATGCTGAATATCCAAGCCCCTGTGTCCTGGACAGGCTCTCAGCATTTCTCTTGTGGAGTGGGTAGCTCTTTGGGATTGAGTGAGCAATGAGAGCATAGGAAGACCCTTTCTTCCACATAGCTCCCCATTTATCACTTCTGTTTTAATTCCCTTAGTCCTGCTCCTAGGATGGGTTTCTCCCCAAACCTTTGGTTTATGACAGGGTTCTTCTATTTCATAGTGGGCCCAAGATTTTGTGACTCTGCATTCACATCTCCTCCCTGACATGGTAAACAAGGAGTGGCTGTTCTCATGGTTATGGGAAGGGGAGGCAGTGGGAAGGACAAGGGGAGAAAAAAACCCAAACAATGCATCATTTATATTGTACCCTTCCCTGTTTGTTGAGTAGCTATGCAGCTGGGAGATGCTGTGTCTGTTCCCTTGATACATATCCTGGGAATGCAGGGGACTAGGACACCATCACCTGCCCATATAGCACCATTGTGTAAATTTTTAAAAGTGTCCCTCTGCAACAATTGGATATCCACATCAAGAAAAAAGCACATTGATCCAATACCTTCCACCTTATGCAGAAATTAACTTGAACCATAGACCTAGGTAGGAGAAAAAAATCTTTGTGACCTTGGGTTAGGCAAAGATTTTTCAGACACAGCACTAAACTGTAAAAGAAAACCAAATAATAAATTGGACTTCATCAAAATTAAAAACTTCTGATTTTTGAAAGACACTGTTATGAAAATGAAAACATAAGACACAGACTGGGAGAAAATATTTGCAAAGCATATATCTGAAAAAGGAGTTGTATTCAGAATATATAAAGACCTCTCAAACTCAATAATAAGAAAATAATCCATTTAAAAAGGAGAAAAAGATTTGAATAGACACTTCAAAGAAGATTTATGGATGACAAATAAGTATGTGACAAGATGTTTAACACCATTTGCCAGCAAGGAAATGAAAATTAGGACCATAATGATATATCACTACACACTGATTAAAATGGCTAAAGTTAAAAACAAATGACCATGCCAAGTGTCAATGAAAATATGGAGGAACTGGAACTCCCATAGACTCTCACAATAATAGCCCCAAACTGGAAACAACAGGTGAATGAATAAACAAATGGTGGCACATCACACAAAAGAGTATTACTCAGCAATAAAAAGAAATTAGCTATTGGTATACACAACAACATGAATAATTCTTAATATAATTATGCTGAGTGAGAGAAGCAAGATTTTTTAAAAATGGCATATACTATATGGTTCCATTTATACGAAATGTGAGAAAATGCCATTTATTCTACAGTGACAGAAAGCAGATGAGTCATTACCTGGGACAGGGACATGGTGGGTTAGGAGCAGGAGGAAGAAAAGGATTACAAAGGGACTAAATAAACTTTTGGGTATGATGAATATGTTTATTATGTTAATTTGTGGTGATGGTTTCACTGGTGTACATATATATCAAAATGTATCAAATCATACATTTTAAATATGTGCAGTTTATCCCTGACGGCTCCTAGGAGCTCACAGCAGCATCCAGGTGTCTGTCTTTCCTTTTCTGTGGCCAGAGGAAGGATGGTAACCAGCTGGCTGCTGTGGCCACCCTTGCCACTTCATCACCTGCATGGTAGGCTGCTGGGATGTGGGATGTGTGTTTGTGTTCTATGTGAAACCTTTGACAAAGCTATGTGAGCCCTTTGGAGTTGATGGGAAGTTACCCAAGGGTGTCAATATAGATGCCTGATGGGGAGGCAGAGGAGAATGTGTGGAGAGGAAGGAGGGCAGACAGATGAGGCCAGAGAAGCTGCATAATGGGGAGGAAGAAGGCAAAAAGAGGTGGCCTAGAAAGGCTTGAGGAAGGAATTAACTTTGGCTACTTGTTCAACACGGCCCTGGCAGAATCTCTGGGAAGAATAATCTGGGAAGAAGCTGGGTCTTGGCGGTAAAGTAGTGGGTGCACAGATGACTTCATCCTACACAGGAGCCTTGGGGTCACCGGGGAGAGAGCACTGGACTTAGCATCAGACGTGAAGTCTGTATCCAACTTTGCCATAAGCTGCATAATCTTGGCGGGCTTCTTTTGCTATCTGAGCCTTGGGCTTCACAGAGAGACCTGGGCTTGAAGATGCACAAACCTCCTTGTAGTACTGTCATTTACTATCACAAACAACTTCGTGACCTTGAGGGCCACTGTATAGCAATCCTTCTGACTCATTGTTTTTGTTTATTCGTTTTTTCTTTTTAATCTACAGAAACGTTAATGGACACCAGAACGGCTACTGCAGAGCTGGGCTGGACGGCCAATCCTGCGTCCGGGGTGAGTATCAAACCATTCGTCTTTCAGTCCTGCTATGAGGTCCTGGATCCATATGATATCTAGGGGAGTAGAGACTACCCAGAGCAGTACCTGTGGGGAATGGAATACAGGTGTGAATGGCTGTGTCCACTGCCCATCCATGCAAAGACAGCACCAGGGGTCTCAGACCTGAGCTGCTGCCTCGTGTGCTGATGTAGACCATCTCTTGACACAGTCCTTTCTGAAAGCTGACACCTAGACAACTAGGGCCATCGCTGTGTGGGGATGGGGGCACGCAGGCTAGTGGCACTGAGGCAGATCAGAGATCTGTGATGCCCAAAGGGCTGCAGCAAAGGCAAAGACATGAGGGAGGAGGTAGAGTTCAGAATGGCTAAGCTCTCTTTCACCTAGACCTTGCCTTGGAGAGACATTAATGATTTATTTGTCTAGTGTTCATGTAACTGGCCAGCTACAAAAATAGATTATCCTTGAGGAGCTCGTGGCCTCCTGTGGGAACCAGTGTGTGGCACTGGAGATCAACAGGTAGGTGTGGGCACAGAGTTGGGAATGAGAAACCATGAGGTTAGACAAGAAGCCTTTACAGACAAGGTGTGAGCAAGCTGGGTTTTAGAGCATGAGTAGGAGATTGACAGATGTTGTAAAGAGAGCCTGGAAAGACGTTCTAAGTAGGAGGAATGCCGGTTGAAAGGGATGATGAGATTATGAAAACACATAAGAGGGAAGAGTCTGTGTGTATGGAAGAGAGCATGGTGTGAATGCTGCTGAGATGGGGCTGGAGGGTAAGTTGGAACCTGGAAGGGTGGCGATGGACTGTGACTGCCATGCTGAGCAGGGAACTTGGATTTTATCCTATAGGAAATGGAGAGATCCTGAGCAGGAGAAGGAAATGGTCACACTTGTTGACAGGATTGTCGAGAACAGTTGAGAGAAAGGCATTTAAGAGGCTCTTTCAGCTGTCTTGGGTGTGACAAAAGAATCAAGTTAAAATAGGATATGCAGAGGCTAGTTTGAGAGAAGTTAAGGAGGACAAATTGGCAATGGATGGACTATGGCAGGAATGAGAGAAAGAGAGAGGAGGTGGAGATGATGTTCATGTCCCTGGCTTGGGCAGTTGGCTAATTTCAGGGGTTAATCATGAAGGGAGAAGGCAAGAGGAGGTGGGAGTGCTCTCTTCATCCCAGCCAGTGGGTGATGTCTGGCTAGGACAGGGTGGCCCTGGGCCTCCTCCTCTGTCCCAGACCTTCTCTCTGCGTCCCATCCCTGTAACCTCTATGCCCCATGAAGGATCTCCAGCATAGCACATCATCACCATGCCCTGGTTCTGCTGCAGGGGTGGTTCTAATCGGGACATTTGGGTCACAGGGCAGACAGTTATCTCACCTGTGCATTCTCCACTGGTTTCTCACTGTTACTTTATCCCAGCATTTGAAGAACTGCACTGCTCGAGGCATAAGCATGATGCCTTGAAACAGGGAAGCAAGGTCCAAAATGAGCTGGCATTCCCTAAAGCAGGGAGCAGGGACAGGGGCAGAGCCAGACCACACTGAACAAGGCCAAGTCATGCCAGTAACACTGTGGGCAACCAGGAAAACCTTCCCACTTTTACTTGGGACTTTATGTAAAGCTGATGAGGCAGCAGTTCTTCCATATCACCTGGATATTAAGAATTTGCCATCTTTTACAAATTATGTTATTGTTTGAAGGCTTGTGTGTTTTTACAAGGCCCCAACATAATTTATGGTTAATTTTTCCCTTGGTTTTTGTACACAACACCTGTTTTCTTTATACTTCTGATATCCTTTCCCAAGGAAGATTCTCCTTGAGGGAAACATTCAAAGTCAAGGCATGCCCTTTAGAGACAGCAGCTGCCTGGGCTCTGCCTGTTTGCCCTCCCCACCTGCTACCAGCATGCTCAGCTGCCTTTCCCCAACACTCATTGTGAGGCAAGACACAGCCAGATCATTCTCCTGGTGCCTGGAGTAGCTTCTGAGTCTGTCTAGTTTACAGTGACGAGTGGGAGGGTCAACATGGCCTTTGGTCTGGGTGGAAAAGGAGGATCAAGGACTATGCTTCCATCCCAGGCCTGCTTGTCTGTTTCCTCTGTGCTCTTCCAGGACAGTACCCTCCAATTCTGTGAACACACCAGTGACTCCCAAGTTAGTATATCTGGCTCAGACTCACATGTCTAGCTGCCACCTCTTTCACTGGATGCTCATGGGCATATCGGTCTCAACATGGCCAAGCAGATCTCACCCCTTTTCCTTTCCCCACGCACACACGTGCATTCTCTGTCCAAATCTTAGCACATTTATAAAGGCCAGAAACTGATTCTTGACTTCTCCTTTTATTATCTTCAGATCTCTGCTCGTGTCCATCCTCAGGGATACGCTCTCTGCATCCCAGCCATGTTGGATACCCCATCACAGGTCTTCTCAGTGCCAGGGAGCTTTACCAATAGCACAATACACAGTCCCAAAGTTTATACCTCTCTGTGTTAGAATTGGATTCATTTCTAGCCCCCCTTCAGCCATATTATAACCTCCGGGGTGGCCAGGACTCTATGCATTTGTTCATCATTGGCAGCTTACACCTAGTTCACTACCTGACTCAATGTTTCACTATTGAAAGTTTCTGACTTGAGCAAGTGGGTGGATGATGGTGCCATCCTTGGAGTCAGAGGACACAGGAGGAGGAGTATGCTTGGGTGGGAAGAGGATGAGTCAATCTGGGACCTGTCAAGCTTGAAGCGTCTCTGAGGCACCCACGGGAAGGTGTGCCATCAGTATTCGACTTAGGGGCAATGGAATCAGAAGGCGGCCGCATGTCAGTGAGATGGGAGCCTGGGGCATGGCTGCAGTTTCCCAGGGGAGTGTCCAGAGAGGAAAGAGGTGAGAGCTTTGGATGGATAACCTGCACTGAAGTGCCAAATAGAACCTGACCAGGAGACTGGGAAAGAGTGGGCTGGGAGCAGGAGAAAACCAAGAGGAGGTCCAGTTTTAGAAGCCAGGGGAAGAGTGTGTCAGGGAGGAGGGCACAAAAGTGGCAAATGCTTCTGCGTGTTAAACATTTCCACTGGGTTTAGCTGCAAGAACCCTATGGTTAAGTATACAGATGGTTTCAGAGGGGCCCAGCACAGGAAGCCAGAAAGCAGAGAGGTGAAGAGTCAGTAGGAGGTGGGCAGTAGAGACAGCAGTTGGTAAGAGAAGGAGGACAGAGCTTGGTAGACGGAGGGAACAAGGGGCTGTGGGCACATTTGCCTTTCCCGGGGAAATGGCTCCTTTCCTGTTGAAATAGCAAGACAGAGATAAAGGCACCTACAGAGAGCTGAGAGTGCTCAGTTTTGACGTGACAGAGCCATGAAATAGAAAAATTCCTCTCAGCTGCATATCTTCTCTATGAGGTTGGAAGTGAGGTTTGGAGGGTGAGGCATGTGGAGTCCAGGTAGCAGGTGTTGAGAGGGCACAAAAGGAACTGCTACTGAGAGCTGCAGAGAGGCTGGGCATATTTCAGAGGAATATGGCAAGGAGTAAGAGCTGAATTGTGGCTGACAACTGTGCACGGGTGAGGATCCTGATCTACAGGCCTCCTTCAGCTGCCTGACTGCCTGGAAGAGCTGTGGCATTGGGATCATCCAGAGTTCTGGTTGCACAGGAAAAAATGGCAGGACTGAAGGGGCCAGGGGCTGAGGATGCTGGCACCTTATTTCATGACATATACCCCACAGGAAAGAGTGAGGCGAGGAGGGACTGGTGTGACCAGCCCAGGGGCCCCAGATGTAGGTCTCAGTGAGGCTAAAGAACAGATGTGATGGCATGGCTGGGACTGGAGGAAGACCTGGCACCTTGACTTCAGATTTAAGACACACAGAGGTCTTCCGGGTGAAGAGGCTCTGAGTGGTTCATGGTGTGAGCTGCTGGAGCAGAGGAGGATGAACTTCATGGCACTGAGGAGCTCAGGTGTTTGAGAAGCCAGGAGGCTTGGGAGAGCAGGGGTCCTCCTTTTTCTGAGACCTAGTATGGAGAAGATTTTGGAGAGAGAGATGGACTGTCAGCCCAAAAAGGAGGGAAAGTCCTCAGATTGTTTCTCTGCAGTCAGGATACCATGCATGGATGTTTAAGGCAGAGATTGTTCTGGAGGCCTCAAAGGAACTGGGTTTGCCCCATCCAGAGGAGGCACACAGTGCTGCCAGGGGCCCAGCTGGCATTGCAATGGGCCCCATCCACAGTGCATAGCCTGTGTGGCAGGCTTTCAGACCCAGAGAGAGGCCAAGGGACTCTTCCTTTTATGGGGCTAAGTGTGTGCCTTTGATGCTGTACTTGAGAACTACCAGATATAGGAAGGGGTTGGACCACTCACCTACACAAAGCCCACAAATCATTCTCAGTTTTATTGTTGAAAAGCAATATTACGTGTCAAAACCAGAAAGTACGCCCAGATTAAAAATGCTGCTTTATAATCTATTGCAGCACCCTGCCTTTCATTGAAGGCCTTTAGGTTTAATCTAAATCAGGGGCTACCTGGTGAACAGAGGAAAAAGGTAACAAACACATTTACAAAGTAACAAATGCCAGGGAGAGGCTGAGCTCCCACTAACGGGCTATCCCAGGGACCCTCACCACAGGCCCTGGTGACCCTTTCTTTGGGCTGGCTTCTAGCCCTGGCCTGAAAGACTCCCTAACCTTTACATTTCTGGACCTCTAGGCAGTGGGGAGTTCAGAGAGGTCCTGTGGATAAACAGTCAGCGCTGTGCCCAACCATGGGCAGTGCTCTGTAAGTAGCAGTCTTTCTGGTTGCACCTCCAGGTCTGCTCCAGTTCCTAGATGCTCCCTGGCCTCCCTACTCTGTTCCTTCTTCCCGACACTCTGTCTCTCAGGTGTCAGTTTTGTTCTCAGCCCCACTGGGACGCTCCTGGATGCTCCTCCCACCATGGCTGGGGTGGGTGCCCCATTTTTTTAAGCCTGTGGGGCTTTGTACCAACCTCTAACATACTGTCCTTCACTCTGTAAGTTAAATAACTGTTGATGTGTCAGTCTCTTGCACTGGTCAGAGAATGAGCCAGCTCCCTCTTTGTGTCCCTGGTGCCCAGCACCAGCCTGGCATAGGACAGGATCAGATTAATGTTTTGTTGACTGAGTAAATGAATAACGATCATTCTTGATACCTGTCTGCATCTCCATCACAGGCCCCTGAACTTAGGAGACACTTAATTTAGGTTTACTGTAACCCAAATGCACTGTAACATGTTTGTTGTAGACCTCTTAACACCCAATTGGTTGTCAATATCTTTTTAAAGAGCATAATTAGTGATGCACATGGAGCCACTTCTCCTGAGATAAGCATAATAAAGGGGACCAGGACAGGCAGAAGAAAGTCCCTGTTGCTTTCAGCCCCTGGCTGTGATGGATTAGAAAGGCAAACCTAGTCCCTCTGATCAAGAGGCTTATTTAACTTGCTTGTTGGAAATCTCAGTCCACAGTTCTTTTACTTTTGAAGTGGTTGGCCAGGGCTCATGGCCATTTGTACTTGGGCCACCATTGGCCTCTGTGTGTGTAAGTTTCTGTGTTTGTGAGATGTGTGGCTTATGTGTAAACATCTACCTGAGTTCTTACTTTCAAAAAAGTGCTGCGAGGGCTTCCAGTCTCCTCCTCCTGTGCTGTCCTCTGGAACCACCTTCAGGGCCTGTGATACGCTCTGTTGACTACTGTAACACTGGCAGATCTTCACCATAGGAAAGGGGATGCGATAGAGGAAAAACAGGAAGGAAGTCCGAAGCCAAGCCTCATGAACCTTCAGGATGAGTGAGCTGGGCTCATGTGTACTCCGTGTGTATGTATGTGTGCATATATGTCTCTTTAGAAATATAAGTATGTGTGTGCATGTATATATGAGTGTATGTATATTTGTGTATGTACATATACATGTGTATATATGTCTGTATATATGTATATATGTGTGTCTATGTTTGTACATATGTATATATGTGCTATGTGTCTGTATATATGCATACATGTACATATGTATATAGTGTATATATGTATATGTGTGTATATGTGTATCTGTATATATGTGTATGAATATATATGAATGTATATATGTATGTGTATATATATGTGTGTGTCTGCACACATATGCTTGTATGTGTGTGTGTTTGTGTGTGTGTGTGTGTGTGTATGTATGAAGTTAAATTAGCTGATCTCACCCTGTGCTTCAGTAAGCAGTTCTAGAGTTCTGGAAACACTTTCAATAACGGGAGGATTATTAGACTGAATGGAGAGCTTCCAGAGCAGGCTTCTGTGAAGGGAACAACACGTATCTGAATGTCCATGTTTGGTAAACTAACTCCTGATACGAGCTACATGCCCATGAGTGCCGGTGCGCAGGCTGAATGCACAGCTGCTGCTTGGTTGTTTATGTGTGCGCTGTCTAGGCCACTTGGCAGCCCCTGGCTGTCTCCTCAGTCCCTGTCAGATCCCCCACCAGCTGCCCACCTCAAGTGACTCAGGAAAGCACACTCAGGAGAGAAACCCACTCTAATAACACCTCATCCATTCCAAAGCCGAACAAAATCAATTACGATTTATCTGGTCTGATGGGTAAGACCTTTATGGAGAAGCAGTTAAGGCCTCAGGTCCTGGCATCAAATAAACTGGCTATTTTTCTGGATCTGCACTCCCTGCCTGTGTGATCTTGGGTCTGTTATTTAGACTTCTTCAGTCTCAGTTTTCATTTCTGCTCAATGGGGTAAGGATAATAACTCTGTCATATATGAAACAATATCAGTAAAAAGTTTTCCTTGGTAAACACTTAGGAAATGTTAGCACATCACTAACCCTCTGGAGGGCTGAATTTTCTGTTTTCTCCCTTTAATGATTCAATCATGCTTATTAAGACAGAAAAGCCTGAGCTAGATTAGAAAAATCCAAGAGAAATTTAGCTCTGGGCAAAATGGTTTTGTGAATGGAATTTCACCACATTTGAATTTCAGGACATGCCAGAGGCAGGAGGGCAGAAGAAGGTGGGGTTGGCCATGATTTCTCAGACAGGCACCACTGAATGGGGACTTGGGAGCTTTGGACCTGATCGCGGATTGCTGGAAGCTATTCTCATTCTATGCTTTAGTATCTGTCATGACTTTTTGGTGGCCAGTGACAGAAAAGCAAAACCCACTCTTGAAGGATAGCTTGGCTCATGAAACTGAATGGTCCAGGGGCTGGTGTGGCTTCAAGTTTGGGTGGTTATCAATCGATCCCTCCTCCCCACTCTCTTGTTTTATCTCTTTTCTCTCTGTCTTCCCATCCTTTTTTCTCCTCTCTCTACTCCCACAGTGTAGGTTTCATGCTGGAGTTCTTCTTGGTCCTAAGACGTCTGTCTGCAGCAGCCCCAGCCCCTATAGCCTTTTTCATCTGTATGCCCTGGAGAAGATCAGACATCTCCTCCTGGGTCCCCCAGTAAAAGCCCTGGAATTAGCTCTGAGTGGGCCTGGCTGGCTTGGCTTGAATCCCTCTCATGCTCACTCTGGACCATCCCCTGGGGAGGAAATTGACACTGAGGTACCGTGTCCATTCCTGTGTTGTGGAGAGCCTACTGGAAGGCCAGGGAGAAAGGCAGGAGAGAGTAACAGAGGGAATCAGGATATAGGGAACGGAAAGATGACTAGATGCTAGGTAGGAAAAAAAAAATCTATCACTGTATGACAGACCCTAAGTGCCTTATAGCCAGGCACACATGAATCCTCACAGTAGCCCCATTTTACAGATGAGGAAACTAAAGCACGGAGCAGCTGGTAAATTGCCTAAGGTCTCATGGTGAAAAAGTGCCAATGCTGACCTTTAACCTCCTGGATGCTGGCTCTCTTGCCAACAATTATGCTCCACTGTCTTCCCCAGTGAAATGCTACCCATCGTGGTATCTTCAGAGAGTGGGTTCCAGAAGGAACTCCCAGACCAAGCCTCCTTGAATTCAGGCTCAGTCTGCAAAAGGTTTTCTTTTTTCTCACGGTAAGAGACATGGGTGGTGTCCTTTCTCTGAGCTGTTTCCTAGGAATTAGTACCACTTTCTCAACCGAGAGGCCCAGCCTCCCTGCTGTTGGGCCTCTGACCTCCCTGTTCCCTCCCTCATACCCTCCCCTCCTATTCCCTCTTCAGGTAAACCACTGAGATAAGTCAGAGCTCCCCACCCTAGGCCTCCCACCCACTCTTTATCTTTTTCTCTCTCTACCAAAAGGCCTGTAATTAGGAAACATTAGCAGGCTCAAAACAGCTTTCATACCTGAAACATCCTCCATAATTGCACTCAGCAGAGCTCTTCCCTGGCTATTAATGTCACTTCTATGAAGCAATGAGGAACAAAACACCCGAGGCACTTAAAACATTTTTTATATAATACGCGTCTTTTAGGAATGGAAGTTTAAAATCACCTGCCTGACAGAGACAGTGATAGACAAAGGCTTGAGGGCCTTGGGTGAGAGCCAGGAAGCAGGCCCTCCTCCAAGTGATGGAAGGCAGTGGCCACGAGATTCAGATGCTGCTCTGGGAAGAGACTCCAGGGCCGTGCGTGGGTGGACCTACCTCAATGGATCCCCAGGGGAGGAGAATTGGGCCAGATGAGCAGCAAGGCCACTGCTCTGCCTGGCTCCATTGCTTGTGGTTGCCTTCATGGTGCTTTCCTATGAGACTGTTTTTATGGGCATGTGTATGCATTTAACAGAAAGGTGAATAGAATGCCACAGATGACCCGTGTTGTGCAGTAGAATGTCAATCATTACACTGATTGCAGAAATATATTGGATATGACTTTGTGTGTGTGCGGTATGGGTGGGGGAGGGGAGTGGGAGAGAGAAAGAGAGAGAGAGAGAAGCTTTCCTAGCTTGCTGTATTAAACAACTTTGGGAGTTGTGGTGGTTCACCAGATCCTTACTGTCTGGCATATTTATTTTCTTGCTCTTGGAAATGGCTCATAGACTCATTCATCAACAGAGCAGAGACATTTCTGTCCACAGACTCTGGGAGGGAATTCCAGAGGTTACCTAAGCCCACCTTCTCCCTATTGGAGGAATGCTTAACCCTTGTTGGCCCAGACAGGTGTAGTTCCATGTCTCTAAAACCTTCCCCAAGAGGACAGTAGCCCCACTACACCCCTTGTCCCAGTCTTGGAAACCTTTATGCAACTGGCATGTGAGCCTGAGGACTGACTCATTGATGACAGCACTTATCAAATTGAAGGACAAGTGGCTCTCCAGGGCAGGAGAGGACACAGGGCTCCTGACAAAGGCACTGGGATGGAGCTGAGGAGGGTCAGCATTGCCCTGACAGCCTGAACTCACAGCACTCCCACTGGTGACCTTGGTGAAGGAAAGAAACATATTATTGGCAAAGACAAAGCATTAGAAGGAGAGTGAGGATAAGACGAACAGGAGGAAAACAGGCGAAGAAGGGAGGGTCAGGGTTGTCAGAAGAAAGATGAGCCTGGTTCCAGGAAGGAGGAACTGAGCCTCTGGGATGTTGGCTTTGGCCTTACTTCCAGTTATGGGCAAAAGCTATAGAATAAGTTGGCCAAAATCCCACTATACTTTCAATAGTATGAAGGATCATGCCCAGGATTTGGGATCTGATGTCCTGGGCTTATTTCCATTTTCTGCTAAGTTCTTTAGCCTCTTTAAGTCCATATGCTGCCTTTATAACATAGGTAATATAAGATCTTATATATAGAGTGATTGGGATTACATTGTGTTTACCTTTGTAAACTGTAAGACTCAGTGCAGTACCACTTGCCCTGATTAGTACTAGTGGTAACAACGACTCTTGTTCGAAAGACCTAACTTGTATGGGATGAGGGTGGCAACTGATGAAGGAGGGCCCCTGGAGACACAAGATCAACATGATAGGTTGTGATTCTTACATGAACAATGTCAGAGAGCACACCCTGTTATTAATAGCAGTGCTATTATTAATAATGATAACTATTACACTAATCATCACGATTAATTACATACCAACTGTGTGCCAGGCATCAAGCTTTACTTGTATGACCTCACTTCTCACTGGGACCCTGCAAGGAAGGAAGGTGGCATCTCTCCCATTTCCAAAGTTCCATTTCCAAAGAGCTATTATCCAAAGTTCCAGGACTAGGTGGGGGTGCCGCTGAGACTGACCCCAGGCTTGTCTAACCACAAAGCTCGCTTTTGTATCTTTGCCCCTGAAGGAGTGTGAGGAGAGGAACACAGACTCACAGACTGTTGAGAAACCAGAGAATGGAGCTGGGGTGGGGAGGAGTGGGAATGAGGAGGGGCAAATGTTCAAAAAGAAAAAGGGTAGCTTTTTAAAGTAACAAACCAGTGAGTTGTGCACGTGATAAGCACCTGATAAATCATTGTTTAAAGCAAGCTGTATGGGGGAGGTAGAGGAGGTGGTTTGGGGAAGTGTGGGGTTGGGGGACCAAAGAGCAGCAAGTCAAAGAGGAGCCTGGAGCAGGTGAGCCCTGGCCAGAGATCCTCAAGAGAATACAGGTGGTCCCTGTGTATGTCCGGCTCCGGGCAGTGATGGAGGAGCCCAAGAGGATTCCTTCCCACCCCCTAGGTCCTGACAAGTGTTCAGGAAGTGAAAATTGCTGGGAAGGGCAGGGAGAGCTGTGAGGGTTTCCAGGGAGCTCCTTTGTCCCATCCATTGTCCTCAGTGTCAGTGGGGCTGAACGCGCCCCCCCCTCCATTTGAGATGCTGCTCTGACAATAGAATGAGGCTGGGGTCCCATCGTGGCACATCCTTATCTCCATGCATGCTTGCATGCTGTCCCACTTGTTGCTCTTTCTGGTGGAGACAGGCATGTCCAATACATTTCCCAGTGTCACGAAGGACAGCCTACATGACAAATGTAGGAGTCAAGATTCTGACTTATCTGCTGATCAAGAGCTTTGCCTTTAAACAAATGTGGCAAATGTTAATGGTCTGTGTTTGCCTTTAGGTGCAAACAGTTCATTATGTAACAAGGCAGGGGTAGGCAGTGCTTCAAGTGATGGGGACCTGTGTATGACTGGCCATATCTTCACGGGGCTGACCGTGGGATGCAAATGCAGGGAAGGCCAGACTGATGTCTGCCATTTGGAGCAGTCCTGGTGCCAGTTGAAGGTAATGGTAGCCCCACTGTGTGCATTGCTGGCCTGAGCATAGCTGTCATAAGAGGCTTAATGTGGGAGCTGAATTTTAAAGGGGACATTGGAAAAATTAGAGTGTGTCTATTGGGGTTAACCAGGGACCTTGTCATTCAAAGAATATTCTTGCACCTGGGAAGCCAAGTCCAGGAGGCAAAGGAATGGAATACTTTTTCTCAATGGAGGCAGAGTTTTCTGCAGGGCTTCCTAGGACCAAGCTCCAGCATCCAAAGTCCCAGGAAAAAGCAGTCCCTGAAGTGGATCACACATGGTGGCCACATTCCCACCCAATTGGGAGAACACACAGAATGTGGTGGGGGTGTCCTCTCTTGAGGCCAGATGTGGCTTTTTTTCACCCAGAGACTGGGAATTTCCTCCATTGTAAGAATGGGAACGAAGCCAAGAGCTCCTGCCAGAGGCCCCACCCCTTCCTTCTCCCATGGCTGGCTCTCTTGTTTCCAAGACAGCTTTGGCTGGCCCCAGCCAGCATGGCTTACGCTCAGTCAAAACTTCCCAAGCTCATGGAATGAGGAGCCCATTTCCTTAGCCTGTAACCCAGCATGATGGGCCAGCTTGAGGCTGGCCTCTGCTATACATTCTGAGCAGAAATCCCGCCAAGCTGAAGGGAAATGCCATCAGTCTCTCCCAGGGGTGACTCTCTGCTCCTCTGTCAATGGAGTCCAGGCCTGGGCTTAGCAGTATCAAGCAGCTGGGGCCTGGGGCCTGCAGCTCCCACCCCTGCCTTGTTCTACAAGGCCGTGTTGGGCAGCAGTGAGAGCCACATTCAATCGACAGCTTAAGATAATCACATGTGTGAGGCACTGCAATAATGGCAGCTGAATACCCTGCCGCCGTTGCCATAGTGACCAGCCAAGCACTGGTTCCCTCCTTTTTTTTTTTTTTTTTTTTCCTCCTTTCTTGTTTTCTGGACCTCCTTGTTATAGGGCTGGCTGGTGGGGTGGGCGATGAGTTGGGGAAATGGGAAAGGAGGAAAGGGGGAGGAGAGACCCAGGAGGGGCAGCCCATTATACCCTCTTTAAATACCCCAGCTGGAGGTGTTTTAAATCTCAACAGAGACAGAGAGAAACAGTGTCTTAATCCCTAACTCCCTGTGAATTATTTAAAGAGATCTTGTCAGAAGGATGAATTTGTCACTGTTGCAGTGTCAACAGCAGCAGCAGCTGTCATAATGGCTGAGGACCCCACTCCAGGCAGGGCCTGGTACGCAATGCTGCTGCCTGGTGGAGGTTACAGTGCCCCAGGGGTGTATAGATAGGGAGCCCCCTGCCCAGACCCAAGCCTGCAGTATTTTCCCTAACATGCTGGTAGAAACCTGGGTGTGAAATATGCCGGAGTATAAAGAGGTGTGTGCCCTTCAGAGCTCGTGCCCTGCTGGCCTTGCCCTCTAGTAGTGTGGCTGGACCTGAGCTAACCAGCGCTCACAGGGCCTTCCGATGGTAGGCATACCCAAGGGAGGGCCATGGCCAACACCTCAGCTGCCTGCACTTACACACACACGCCCAAGCACGCATATATCAATGATAGATGCACAGGTGCTGACAGACAGACAGAAGAGTCATAGAGCATACACATCATGGAGGGAGAGTGGAATTCCAAGAAAAAAATAACTGATGTGCACTCAGAGAGAGGCTAAGTGTGTGTCCCCAGAGGGTAGCTATTCATGATAACTGGCTCACAAGGGGCTCTTACTGGGGTTTAATTACCTTGCAAGCTTAAGTCATGTTTAATCCTCACAATTGCCTCACGAGATAGGTACTATTAGGTACTATCCCTGTATTGCAGAGGAGGAAGTCGAGGCTCAGAGAAGTTTAAAGACTTGCCCATGGTCACACAGCTGGGTCTGGCGGACTCCAGAGCCTATGAACTTACCCCGGGCTAAGCTGGGGATCCGCATGATTATGGGTTGGGCAAGGTTAGAGCAGTGCTGTTCTTAAACCCCCACCCCTTTTTTGATCATCACAAAAACCTCCTTCCTAGCAATCTGAATATACTCTGCTTGAAGCCACTTTCTCCACCTTGACCTTGTTACAGTATTATCTGCATTTCTCTACCATCCAAGATTTTGTGGAGCTCTGCTCTTAAATATTGCATTGGGAAACAATATGTATATGTTTGTGATATTCCAGTTATGTCCCTCACCCCCATCCCCTTGCTGTGATGCATTTCCAGGAAGGCATCTTTGCTGTGAGTTCACAGTTTAGGGAATTCATTGCTTTGTACTGCTACAATATGGAAGCCCTTCCAAGGCACTGGGCTTTCAGAAGCAGTCTCCAACCCTGAGTCGGTCACCTTTCTCAAATGGAATACCACATCAGGCCATGGTAATGAATGGGGGGTGGGGGGGTGGCATTCCTGTCCTCTCAGCCCAGCACATCTGGGACGTAAATCAAGCATATTGGAAGGTAAGCTGGTGCTCACAGCCCTCAGGGGAGCCTTTGAGTAAATCCCTGCCTTGGTTGGTTGGTGTAGTAAATGGTAGATCCCTCTGGGCTTGTAGGAATTTATGCCCCACGGACTGCATTTTACATTTTAATTAGCCCTCTAGCTTGTCTAATATCCAAGCTTTTTCAGGCTTAGTCTACTGTCTACACGGGAGCTTTGTCCTTGGGGTCCAGGCTGATTGGTGGGGAAGGCTTGGTAGTGGTGGCTCCAGCCCAGCCCTGAGCATCTGCTGCCCTGAAGAATCTTTGGCCTCCTGTGGGCTCTGTGAAGTTGTGTGCTGCCCAGGCTCCAGTGGGCTTCTTGTTCACAGGGGCAGCCATCTCCCCGGATTGGGCAATGCCAAGAAAGCTCCATTATGGTCCCACAGGACATGGTGGCAGCAACTGTTTGCAAAATAGCAGCCTCCCTCAACAGCAGTTTGTGCCCAAAAACAGACTGCTGAATGGGACCAGAGCCTGTAAGATGTGTCCAATTTTGTCTCCTTGTGGTCTGAGCTGGTGGCTGACAGTGGTCCAGGGATTGCTGGCTCAAGAGAAGAGAGCCTATGATGAAACAGCTCAGAGGAAGCCCTGGAGATTCCCAGAGGGAAAGGGAAGGGGACTGCTGGTTGTTTCTCTGTGTCTGTAAGGAGAGGGAGTTTAGCCTTTTAGTTCCTGCATTCTGCTGACCAAAGGGTAGGATTATTTATATAGGATCTAGATGATTTCCACACCCTGGTGACTCAGCTGGAGGTGGATCCTGAGGTTAACATAATCACGATGATGATGATCATAATAATAATGTTAATAATTGGTACTCAGTGAATGGTAGTTATGTGCAGGCACAGCACTAGATGAGCTCCTTCCACATCCATGATCTTTCAGTCTTCGTATTACCCTGCAAAGTAAATAGTATTTTGCGAGTGAGGAAACTGAAGCTCAGAAAGTTGTCTGTGATCACAGAGCTGTAACTGGCAGAGGTGGGGTCTGCCTGCCCTGGCAACCTCTCCAGCTTCATATCTTTCAGTGTTTCTCTTGCTGTTTAAACTTCTGTAGCCACACTGGCATCTTGGCTTTCTCAGCAATGGGCCAGGCACCTTCTTGCCCTGGGGAACTTGTTCTGGTTGCCCTCTGTGCCTGGGATGCTCCTCCTTCGTGTACCCTCCAGGCTAGCTCCTGTGTTTCATTCAGATCTCAGCTCAAAGGGAGATCTTCCCTGATTACCCCACTGCCAGCTGTCACTCTATTTCCTTTCCTGCTTCTTAGTAGTTGTTAATGCTACCTGACTTTATATTATTCATTTGTTTGTTTGTTCATGCTTTGGTTAACTCTAGTGGAATATAAGGTCCATGCGGACAGGGATTTTGTCTCTCATTTACTGCTGTTTCACCAACTCCTAGAATGTTGCTTGGGGCTGCTGTAGTAGATGTTTGACTCTTTATTAAATAAATGAGATAAATGAGCTGGGTTTGAAACAAATCAGAATAGCTGGGATCGTATTAGGTCAACAGAGGCCAAAAAGCCTATTTCAATTATTTCTATTCCTGTCTTAAATAAAGGTGTCCAGAGGAAGTGCCCCTTTCCAGCCAGGCCCTGTAGAAATGGTTTATTCATGGAGGTTATAATGATGCAGCATCATGATAGTCATTGGGCATTCTTAGAGGAGCGGGCCTGGTGTGGGGTGGGGGACATTGCATCAGTCCAGGGAGGGGCCAACTATCAAACATCTTTCCAGAATTCTGTGCTTGGAATTGTCTTCAGAGGCACAGAGTGGAATCAGCTCAAATCTCTCACCTTCATTTTATAGTGGCTCTTCATTTTGACCAGTAATATTATTTCTTAGTTTGCTCAACCATCTCACTAATCAGACTTGGTTCCAAATGATCTTTGCCTGTGTGGGGTGGGGGACATTGCATCAGTCCAGGGAGGGGCCAACTATCAAACATCTTTCCAGAATTCTGTGCTTGGAACTGTCTTTAGAGGCACAGAGTGGAATCAGCTCAAATCTCTCACCTTCATTTTATAGTGGCTCTTCATTTTGACCAGTAATATTATTTCTTAGTTTGCTCATCCATCTCACTAATCAGACTTGGTTCCAAATGACTTTTGCCTGTTTCTGAAATTCAAATCCACTCTTGGGGCATAAAGAATGTGTCAGAGTTTCTGAAGGTTTTTCTAGAAGGTAGTGTAGATGGACCAATGAGTAGAGCCCATGACAATGATTTTGAAAGGGGAACAGTTTTTACAGATAAATGAGTTTTGATAGCATGCTTTACATATGCACACAGACACACACACACACACACACACACACACACACACACACACACACACAATCAGCCAGACTGCAGAGAGTCAATATGCACTGTCCAAATGTCAACAGGCACTCTAGCAATAGAACTGCAAGCTCTGACTTCCAATAAGCAAGCCTAACAAACCTAGATCTTGGAGAGACCTGAAAGTGTCTTTCTCATACATCAAAGTCATGATCTGAAAGCCTGAACAAGTACTTTCTAATGGATGTCACTGTTTCCTTTATTATGCTTATCTCAAGGACAGGTGATCCATTTGTGTCAAAATAGTGCTCTTTCAAAGGCAGTTAATAATCTGTTGGTTGTGCAAGGTTGATTTGTTTCTTCTTTCACAAAGACAGGTTAGCCTGGTGGCACCTGCAGTAAAGAAGGGAGAGAAGTTAAAGAATAGGCCGGGGCTCTGCTCATTGCCTCAGTCTTCCAGGATATTTTGAGGGCTTGGCACTGGGAATATGGAGCAATACCCAACACAGTCCCAGCCTGTAGGATTGGGTTCATATGGGAGATGGATTTGTATTTTAGAAAACTCATACGAGCAGGGGAATTAAGGAGAATGACTGGGAGAGTTACTTGGAGGGTAAAGAGAATTCAATGACGAAACAGAAGGGGAGGGCTGAATAGAAGAGCTATGGAGATAGGAGACATAGAATTTGGGGGTTAACCTCCTATGATGAGGAGCAAAACAAAACAAAATGGAGAGGGCAGAGTCTAGAGTGCTTCCTAGTCATCTGGTACTGGGTGGTTGAGGTGTCATTCTCAGACAGAGGTGAGACTGCATCAGGGCTGCAAAGGGCAAGGTGGTGCATCCCGGTTATTTATCAGGAGGCATCCAGCAGGCAGCAGAATATACAAGTCTGGGGTATTGGGGAGAGGTCAAGTTGGTGATGCACTCCATGGTGGTCGAAGCCTTGTATATGGATGAGATCACCTAGGATAAAAAGTGAGATGAAAATGGAGTGGATTTCACTGGTCCCAGATGTTACTGAATAAAATGGTGTTCCATAATTCCAGTGTTGTGAAGCTAAATGCATGGAATTATTTTTCTTGTTGAAATGAACTAATAAATTAGTCAAAGTTTAATTTACTGTCCTGAAGGAGCTCACAGCCTGGTAGCAGAAACCAAAGTCACACAAGTGAAGCAATTAAATAATATTTCAAAACAGTATATTATCAAATGCTAAATTGCGTGGAATAAACTCAATCATGCTTTATGCATTCAGAAAAATGGCAGATAAATCTAAGCCAGGGAAAGGATTATGGAGGAAATAAGACTGGAGCCACCTCGAAGGAAGGATCTGCAAAGAGAATCCAGCCCTGCCATGGATCCACCACCTGACTTTGGGCCTGGTATTGAATGTCTCTGGGCCTCACTCTGCCCATTTGTCAACAAAACGTCATGACCAACATGGTCTAGAGTGGTTTCCAAGCCACATCTGCCTTTCTCTAGCTCAGTTCAGATGGGATGAGGGTGAGGTAAAAGAAGGGCATCAGGGTCAGTCAGAACATCAGCAACAACATCGAGGGGCAGAAATGGGCATGGGCTCTGTTGTCCAGTTATGAGAGGATATGGCCCTGCTTTGGGCCCTTGACATCTCTTGCCCTGTCTGTTGTCACTATATTCCGACCAGGGCATGAGGTGATGCCAGCCCTAGTGCACTGGTCATAGGAATGCAAGAGACAGGCCAGATGGGGGGATATGGATGGTTCTGGAAGAAATGGCACATTGTGGTGATGAAGTGGGTGTGTTGAACTTGGGGAGCATTTTTGGCCTTTTGAATACCCGACTGACCTCCAGGTTGGAAAATCTAGTGGTCCTGGAATGGGGTCCTGAGCCCAAGATTCTGATGCTGACTTTGGACCACACCCTGATACTCCCCAGGTCCTCAGTATCAGTGATAGGGATGCTTCCTTGGCCTCCTAGCCCCTCTAGATGCCACCTTTGCCTCAACTTAGGCATCATTCATAACATGTTTGATTGAATGAATGATTGGCACTTGGGATACAGGGATAAAGGGGTAAGAAGGTCATCCAAGGTACAGATGATAGAATGAGAAGGGGCATAAGTCACCATGAACAAGCTACGTGTGGATAATGGAGACCGTGCGAGCATTGTTGGGATACTGAGGTGTGGGCTGGACCAGATAACAGAGGGGTTTTATTTTAAAGCTATATTAAGGTATTATTTACCTGCAATAAATTCACTCATTTTAAGTGTATTAAAGTTTTAATCAATTCAGTAATTTTTTTGTAAACTTACAGAATTTGTAACCCATCACCACAATCTCATTTTAGAACATTTTTATCACTCCTAAAAAGATTCTTTATGCCAGTTTGTAGTCGCTCCCCATTTCCCTCTATGGCCCCAGGCAAATACTAACATACCTCTCTGTCTGTAGATTTGCCTCTTCTGAACATTTCATGTGTATAGAATCACAAAATATGTGGTCTTTTGAGACACACAGCTTTCCTCACTTAGCATAATGTTTTAGAGATTCATCATGTTGCCGTACGTACTAGTACTTCATTCTTTTTTATTTTGGAATAGTATTCCATTGTATGGGCACATCAGATTTTGTTTATGCACTCACCACTTGACAACAAAGGGTCTTAGGTGACATATTAAAGAGTCCAGCTGAGTCCAGTCCAAGAAAGGAGGACAACAGTCAGGTTAGCATGAGGCAAGTATGAAGCTTACTCCTCATATAAAGATGTATGAGAAATGTCCTATACCTTATTTTCTTTTAGTCTAATTATTTCAGATTCTTCTGAGTCCCCTATACCACTGGTTGGTGAGAAGTTCAATCTCAATTAATGGTTTCTCTTTCCACTAGGACTATGCTTCCAGAGGTCTTACTCAGCAAATTCTGAGAAGGCTACTGTATTGTCCAAAGGCCAGTGGTCCACCTGTAGGTTTTCTGGATATGAATAAAGCTCTGGAGGTGGTGGTGGCTGCAGTTGATAACTTTGTGTGTACCTAATTTCACGTAGATAAAAGTCAGAAATTATCCTTGAAGTGGAATTGCTGGGTCAAAGGGTGTATGTAGTCATAATTTTGATAAATAAAACCAAAATTTCCATAGAAGTTGTACAAATTTCCTTTTCTTCCATTTGTGTGTCAGAATTCTTATCTCCTATGTCCTGTCCAACACAGTGTGCTATCACACTTTTGTTCTTTGACATCCCCCAAAAAGTATCATAATGTGGCTAATTAACAACTCACACTTTATGAAGAGTGAGATTCAGCATCTTTTCATATATTTAAGAGTTATATCTATGTCTTTTTTAGTGAACAGTTTGTTGATACCCTTTGCCCAATTTTCTATCTTGTTATTGACTTATGGATTCTCTTTATATATTAGGGGATATTAACACTTTATCTGTGGTAAGTAACAAATACTTTTTTTCTATCAGGTTTTCTTTTTTCCTCCCTTTTAAATTTGCTCATGGCTATTTCTGTCATGCCAATTTTTAAAATTGTATAGAGATGAATTTATCAATATGTTTATTTATGGCTTCTGAGTTTCATATCACAATTAGTATACAAAAATTTTCTCCATGGTTTCTTTTAGTATCTTTGTAGTTTCATTTTTAATGTTTAAATCTTGGGTTCACCAGAAATTTATTCTGGAGTAAGGTATAAGTATGGAACAAAAGTTATGTTTTCTTTTTTTTCCAGATGGGCACCTAGTTATCACTACAATTTTTAAAATGATTTACCTTCTTCATATTGATTTCAGTTTTGGCCCACACTTGAAGTATTGGGAGAAGCTACTGAATTGATTTCTAGAAGATTTCACCAGTTTATACTTCCATCAATAGGCTTGGGCAGTGCTCTTTTTCCCACCTTCTTACCAAGACTTGACATTTTATCTTTTTAATTTTCTGCAAATCTGATAAGCAAATCATGGTGTTTTGCTGTTGTTTTAATGGGAGGAGATAATTACAGGAAGGAATACAAGAAGCAATATGTCAAATGCCTAGAAGTGGAGGCTAAGAAGCAGCCATTGAATGGAAGATCTTTAGGAAACTGACTTTCGGGCAGGCAGTGAGAACACATTGCCAGAACTAGAACCAGCACAGGCTTTGGGTAAAAGAAATTTGGCCCTGAATAGGAAATTGGGCATCTACAGTGTAGTGCATGCAAGACTGGTAAAATTCCCCCTTTTTTAAGAAAAGAGAGAGGGAAGAGGTGAGTAATCATCATTCCTAAGGATCTGGGAAGCCCAAAGCCTTGTTGGCGAGGCAGGACTGATACCTGAAAGAGTGTTCAGGGGACACATGGCCCCTTGAGTCTGTGGCTCAGTGAAGGTCTAGAGATTCTCCCCTAAAGCATCGTTCCAGTTTTTGCTGGTCTGTTCCAACCTACCATCTCTTGCCTGGGCACCCACAATGAACTCCAGTTGTCCTGCCCATACACTCAGGCTGCTCTCAAAACCTGTCTCTGTAGTGCGTCAGAGAGAGCTTTTAAAAGCTCGGCTCTGATCGCCTGTGTTTTTTTCTCCCTAACTCATCAGCGACTTCTAGTTACACTCAGGATGAAGTTCAAAATTCTCAACTGGATTCATCTTCCTCTCAGTCCTGTTCCTGCCACCCCCAGCTTCTTATGGCTGTCTGTCACACAGCCTTCATTCCTCAATGGCACCAGGCCACTTTTCCTATCATGAGGCCTTTGTACCTGCCTTTGTTTGGCCCAGAGGCTCTGCTCCTATTCTGCTCCCAGAAGGTGCATACTTCTCCTGGCTTACTTCTATCTACCTGTCCCCTCTCAGCTTGGAGGGTGATATTGTTTGGATGTTTGTCCCCTCCCAATCTCATATTAAAGCATGCTCTCCAATGTTGGAGGTGGCACCTAGCAGGAGGTGTTTGGGTCATGGCAGGGGATCCCTCATGAATGGCTTGATGGTCTCCTTATGGTAATGAGTGAGTCTCACTCTATTAGTTCACACAGGAGCTGGTGGTTTAAAAGAACCTGGCATCTCTCTTGCTCCCTCTCTCACCATGTGACATGCCTGCTCCTCCACCTTCCTCCATGATTGGAAACTTCCTGAGGCCTCACCAGAAGTAGATTGTGGTGCCATGCTTCTTGTACAGGCTGCAGAACTATAAACCAGATAAACCTCTTTTCTTTATAAATTACCCAGCCTCAGGTATTCCTTTATAGCAACACAAAATGGACTCATACAGAGGGTCTTTCCTGACAATCTTCATATATCCGTTGCACCCCCGTGCTTGGCTCCCTGTAATTTTCCCTCACAGCAGTTAACACAAATGTAATTATTTAGTTATTTTAGTAACCATTTTCTAATTTCTGTTTCTCTCACTAGATTATAAGCTTCATATTGTTATATCCCCAGTGGCTAATGGCGCCTGGCACAAACCTAACATTCAGTAGACATTTTTTTTTCATTGATGAATGAATGAGGTATAAATATAAAGCAATGAGACTGATTCCAAATATTGTAAATGAAGTATATGTTTGTCTCTCTCTGTTGGGAATGCCATTCTACCCTCATCTCGATTAACCAACATCTCCTCTTTCTTCGACCCCCCCAGTTCTAATTACCACTTGCTGTGGAAAGTATATGTGCCTCCTGAAGCCCACTCTGATCACTTATTTCTTCAACCCCTACAGAGCTTTCACTGACAGAAGAATGAAAGAGGGAAAGAAATTAATGGGAAGCTCTATGATGGCCTTTTCCCAACAACAGGGAGTTATTTTCCTTTCTCTCAATTTGCTTCTACTCTTTCCCTTTGAATATGCAGCTGAATTTCCTCTCATTTGCTTTGATCACTCCCTTAGGAGCTGTCATGGAATCAATTAGATCTGTAGAATTTTACAACTCAGGGTCACCCATTGTGATTTCTCATTTTACAGATGAGAAAACTGAGGCCCAGAGAGGTTAATGTTTGAAACAATTACTTCTGCTGGGTCTTATAATACCAATCAGTGTCATTTTCTAAGATAAATTTTCTCAATATCTCAGCTCCCATAGGAGAGTAGAAATCCTCATGCTGCTTATTTTATTTTATTTTTTTGAGACAGAGTCTTGCTCTGTCACCCAGGCTGGAGTACAGTGGTGCGAGCATGGCTTACTGCAGCCCCTCCTGGGCTCAAGCAATCCGCCCACTTCAGCCTCCTGAATAGCTGGTTCTACAGGCACAAGCCACCAATCTTGGTTAATTTATTATTTTTATTTTTGTAGAGATGGGGTCTCTCTGTGTCACCCATTCTGGTCTTGAGTCCTGGGCTCAAGCCATCCTCCCACCTCACCCTTCCAAAGTGCTAGAATTATAGGCATAAGCCATTGCACCTGGCCTCATTTTGCTTATTTAAATACCTCCTGGTGGTGACTGTCTCAGTGCTAAGGTGAAGCCCACATCAGAGCTCCTTTAGTCTTGGGTGTGTCAAGAACTCTGGCTGTGACCAGACCCCCACTCTAAATGGGGTCACATGCTTCACCTGTACATTGACAGAGGGGCCCCATGTGTGTACTGAGACCCAACTGGAATAATGGATCATGAGACTGTTGTGTTTCAACAATAGCAGAACAGTAAAAAAAAAAAAAAATTTCCTTTCCTCAAGTCATGTAGGGTCAACTGAGAAAATGCTGTTTTATAACAGCCATGGAAAGGGAGGGAGGTCTAAAAATTTGATCTGAAACATTGTCAGTGACTTCTCCATGGCTGAAAAAAAAAATAGGCAAGCAGAACGTAACTTTAATAAACACATTTGATAGAACAAAACACAGTGTTCAAGAAGGCAGAAAAAGTGGTTCTTTTACATCTAGAGAATCAATAAGGAATTAGGCAAAGTCCAGGTGAGGCTCGACAGTGTGAATTTATACTCCATGCAGGCCACAGAGGTGAGACATCTCTTCCGTGTTGGCCACATGGTGGGGCCTGGGCACAGGGATGTCCATGTGCTGGGCACAAGGCATGCTGTGAAGGAGCTGTGTGGACTGTGGATGCGCCACTCCAGCGATGTGCTGCAGCCCCCTCAGGGCTCACTGACTCCTTGGGGAGGTAGGTGCCCCAGGGCCAGTGTGCACAGGTTCTTACCTGTTGCGTGGAGGATGGACTAATATGCTATGATATGCTATCTAATTAAGTGAGGGGATTTTCCAGAGCTGGAGTAACTCAGGCAAAGAAGAACAAAAAGCCATCCTAGGTAGAAAGCACAGCATAAGAACAGGCCTGGAACTGGGAGACAGAGTTGTGAGTTTGGGGATGTTAGTCTTTGGCATTGCAGAAAGTAGAGTGGAGCAGGGAGAGATGCTGGTGGGTCATGAATGGTGTGGTTGGAGGTCAAGTGCTCCAACTTGAAAGGTGGAGCGCTGGGTGATATTTGGCCTGGTGCTGAGACTATCCAGGATAGTGAATCATGATGGCCTGTGTGTCCCGGAACTGCTGCAAGGATACTGGCAGGAGCTGATCTGTTGGTGAGGGACTGGCAGGACTTCAAGTTGGTGAGGGAACTGGCACTCTAGGAGTCCTGGGAGTCTGGGGTCCAGGAGGACCCTGGATTAACTGCAGTTTAGATGCCTTGGTGGCAGAGGCCCAGACAGAAGGAGTGACCATGAGTGACGTCACTTTACAGACCTGGGCATGCAGGGCCAGCTCTCAATGTGCCCATTTCCCCACCTCTCCACACTATGCCTGTTTTTTGGTTTCCTTCACTCAGGTTTAGAGGACAGCCTTGCTTCTATCCACTTGCCTCCACAGGGGGCTTTACTCCTTGCAAGGAGCAATTGCAGTATATTTTCCATGCACACATAATTGGCTTTTAGCTCTGTTAATGAAGAATTCTAGTCTATATATTTAAAGTCCACCACTGTAAATAATTAGCATAATATTCAAAGATACTGGTATGATTTGGTTACCTTGATCACCACTCCTAAATAGTCAAGGATCTTAATTCATTTTCACTTTAGGAAGTTTAATTTCTTTTCTCTATTTTTTTTAATTCTAGGCAAACAGAATATAAGTTTAAATTTATTCCTGGAAATATCCTCCGTTCTTGAGACCAGGATCTGGAGAGCTCCCAGCTGTGGGCAGCTTCTTCCTTAACTCCTTTTCTCCAAGCACAAGGAAGAAAGAATGACCCAGCAACTCTTCTTTGACCCCTGCCCTAGAGAGCTCAGTTAAGGGAACCATGCCTATAAAGACCCCTCCTGACTCCCCTCCAACCCTCATTGCCTGTTATTGAAATAATCTTCTAGAAGTTCTTAGGTGATTTTCTTTGACCATTCAAAGTATTTCTTACTAGCTTCTCTCATAATCTCTTTTAGCCATATAAGCATGGGTGAGTTGCATGATGTCTTTTCATCTGTAAATTGGGGATAATAATACCTGGTTCTGAAAGTTGCTGGGAATAGTGAAAGACATCACTTAATACATGTGTTGTTCTTCTCTTTTATTCCAATCTACAGGACTGCTATAAATGGGAGCTCACTTTTCTAATGTGAATCATGATTGTCTTTCCCTTAAGAAAGTTTCATTATTCACTAAAGTAACACCCTCCAGCATTTTCCTCCATCATAGCCTTGCTTGAAATTTGCACACAATAGAGCTTCATTTGCTTCATTAAGGGTTCTTCTTAGCAGCCTCCACTTTTACCAGTTTTATAGTCTAGGTCTTTGCATTAGTCCACTCTTGCATTGCTATAAAGAAACAACTGAGCTGAGTAATTTATAAAGAAAAGAGGTTTAACTTGTTCATAGTTCTGCAGGCTGAACATGAAGCATAGTGCCAGCATCTACTTCTGCTGAGGGCCTCAGGAAGCTTCCACTCATGGCAGGCCAGGGGAGCCAGCATGTCACATGGTGAGAGATGGAGCAAGAGAGAGAGAAGGGGGAGCTCCCAGATTCTTTTAAACAGTCAAATCTCACTCATCACCAAAGGGATGGTGCTAAACCGTTCATGAAGGATCTGCCCCCATAATCAAATCACCTCCCACCAGGCCCCACCTCCAACATTGGGAATCACATTTCAACATGAGATTCGGAAAGGAAAAACATCCAAACCATATCAGTCTTTCAAAGAGATTGATGTTATTGAAAAAAAGTTTATGAGAATCTAAGTTGGTTGAGAAACCCTGAAAAGCTTTAAATTCATGTGCTTTTCAGAGACATAAAGGAATTTCACCACAATAAAGAAATTAGGTTCAAAGATGGGGATTTCCAAGGTGTGGATGTCAAGTAATTGGACCCCCAATCCACAGATTGGCTTTTAGAGCAGGTACTGTGGAAGTGAGGAAGAAAGTCCCTGCCATCACATGGGCTGAAAGCTGCATGTTGTCCCCATGGATGTAATAAGCTAGTCACAGAATGAGCATTATGGGTTAGGCGAGGGACAGCTTTCTTGAATGAAGTGTGTTATATTTTGGGATGGGCTGCAAAAAAATCTGAAGTTTTCTTATAAGATCTTTAAAATCAAGTTGCGCTTAGATGTGTTCATTTCTCAAGTCAATCTGCTGGACTGGTGAGCTCTTAAGGCCCCTTAGCCCCAGGATTCTCCTCTGCTATGCCTATTTTTGTATTCTCACTCTCTATTTTGTGTTTTTGCATGTGTGTGCCTGTGGCCTGCTATGTACAGTGGGAAGAAGTCAGTGGCTACGATGAAAACCTGAACACCATCCGCACCTACCAGGTGTGCAATGTCTTCGAGCCCAACCAGAACAATTGGCTGCTCACCACCTTCATCAACCGGCGGGGGGCCCATCGCATCTACACAGAGATGCGCTTCACTGTGAGAGACTGCAGCAGCCTCCCTAATGTCCCAGGATCCTGCAAGGAGACCTTCAACTTGTATTACTATGAGACTGACTCTGTCATTGCCACCAAGAAGTCAGCCTTCTGGTCTGAGGCCCCCTACCTCAAAGTAGACACCATTGCTGCAGATGAGAGCTTCTCCCAGGTGGACTTTGGGGGAAGGCTGATGAAGGTAAACACAGAAGTCAGGAGCTTTGGGCCTCTTACTCGGAATGGTTTTTACCTCGCTTTTCAGGATTATGGAGCCTGTATGTCTCTTCTTTCTGTCCGTGTCTTCTTCAAAAAGTGTCCCAGCATTGTGCAAAATTTTGCAGTGTTTCCAGAGACTATGACAGGGGCAGAGAGCACATCTCTGGTGATTGCTCGGGGCACATGCATCCCCAACGCAGAGGAAGTGGACGTGCCCATCAAACTCTACTGCAACGGGGATGGGGAATGGATGGTGCCTATTGGGCGATGCACCTGCAAGCCTGGCTATGAGCCTGAGAACAGCGTGGCATGCAAGGGTAAGCTTTGGAGCCTCTGCTTCCTGCCCATCTATGGCAGGGCCAGATCTGCAAGGTTTCCCCACCAATAATTCTGGGTCATACAGGAACAGAAAATAGTCTAATGGCTTATTATAAAGCTCTGAGGACTCCCATTCCTAGTGCTAGGCCTGATGATTTTCCAATCATGTCCAACCAGGTTGTCCATATTTATTATTCATGGTGAGAGAAAGAGATGGGGAGAGTTTCAAACAGTGGAAAATAACTTAATAACCAGTCCATAATATTTAGTGTTGAAGTGTTGAATTTATCTCTCTCTCTTCTCTCTCTCTCTCTCTCTCACACACACACACACACACTCACACACACACACACCCCTATATCCTGCATCCAGCCCTAAGCTCTGGGGCTGGAGACTTTGGAATTTGGGTTGCCATGGACAATTCACTGAAGGGTAATTGAGAAGGGACTGAATTTGGAAAATATTTTAGTTCATTTCAGTCCAGCTCCCACAGCACTCAACTTGGTACTGAACCCGTGTAGCTCATTAACTCAAAGCCCTCTGGCTTGGCTGTCTTTCTCTAGGGGCTCATTGCCAGGCCCTGGAAGGAGATGAAACTATTGGAATGGGAGTGGGACTGTATCATGTGTTGTATTAACTTTTGCTTCTAAATGACACAGAGTAGTGCAAACTTTGCAGTTTGAAAATGTCAGGATACTGTGTGCTCATATTAGCCATCACTAGCACTAGCCCTAGAAAGCCCATATTCAACATGTGGCAATAAATGTGCTGAACTGGCTGCAGGCTCAGTCTGCTCTGGGAGTGAATAGAAGGATCTGGAGGCCCCTCAGCTTATGCATTGTCTAAGTGCATGGAAGCTGAACGTGGGGGAATCCAGGGTTGGGGAAGAGAAGACTGCTTTCCCTTATTAAATTTTGCTTGGAGCCTTCAAAGGTCCTGATTCTTTTACAAGGAAGCCTTCCTATATGGACCTCAGAAATGACCACCTTAACCTTAATGTACCCCTAGGGTTACCCTTAGTCCTTTGGGTCTTGGGGGCTGTATCAGCAACTTATTCTCCATTGTGAGCCTCCTGCCAGCTTCCCTCTCTGATGTCACCCCCACCCTGCCTGAGCACCAGACCAGCCTATGCCAGTTTACTTCCCCACTTACCTTGCTCCCCAGACACCTGCAGCTGAAGTGCCAAGCAGGCTTGTTAGTGCCATCAGCTCTGCAATCCTTTGGACTCAGCTAATTGCCTGGGCCAGAGCACTCACTCAGCCTTCCTGAGGCCTGCTGAGAACAGGGAGCTGCGCCTTTGTGTCTTTATTGGATTTCTTGGTCCTGGTACCCATGACGGATTGTGTGGAAACAAAGGAGAGAGAGTGCCAGATCTTAGATCCACTGATGCATCAACGTCAACAGTTTTAAAACCATCCCAGCCTGGTCCCACAGTCCTCCTCTTTGTCCCATTGGTTGGGATGGGTCACTATCTTTGCCATTTGGCAGGGTCTAAGTGGGGACCAAGGCACCAGGCTGAGTTCTTAAAGGCACAGGTGCAGCAGCTTCCCGGCATGCTTGCAGCAGCGCATGGTGGGTGATTTCTTTGGTTTTCAGAGGGCTGCCACACCACACTTGCTGGCTGGGGCACTCTCATTTTTCTCATTATATCCTGAGCAGAATGGCAGGAACCAGAGCAAGCATTGATTGGTTCTGATTTAATTGGGTCTCTGGGAACAGGCTTTCATTTCTTTGGGCTAATTGGAACTTTTCTTTTTTAGAGGGTTCTGCTGTCCGTGTAGCTTGTCAGTTACCTCCTGTGGCTGTCCTGAGAGGGCCTGTGAGGACAAATATGTAAATCCAAATTGTTTCTTTCCATTTCTCCTTCCCAGTCTCGATCCCCTCCTGAGTTTTGTTGGACATTTCTAATCTTGAGCTATTGTGAACATGGCTTGACTTTACAAACTACTTATTGCAAACTCATTGGAGGGTAAAGGAAATGGGGAACCCATGGCACCATCACTTTGCCTCTTCAGAGGCATGGGAAGCCACATTTTGGTAATATTTCTGAGCGTGGAGAGTGGCATCTTGGGTCTTGTGGCCCAGCATCCTGGCTGAACTCTGTGCCCTGAAAGGGAAGAGAAGGGCCCCTTGCCCTTGTCTCAAGAACTTTCAGCTGAATCCCCTGAAATCTTTGCCCTTAACTCTGCAGGTAACTGGACTCTGATGGCTGGCAAGGGGACCTTCGAGCAAAAGTGGTGATCTTGGGAAGACTCTGCACTCTTTGGTGGGGGGTGGGAAGTGCATTTGGAAGTACTTGTTACTGGTCTCCATGGTGTGTCTTCAGGGATAGGCTTTCCACTCATTTTTGGTGCTCACGGAGTGCTGCCAGATGGACATGGTGGCCATTCACAATGGTTTTGGTGTAGCCCACTTAGCACAATCATCATGAGGGCAGAAGCAGGGAGAATGGTGGATAACAGAGAATTGCAGGTGAGACACAGTGAGCCTTCAACAACGAACTCTCTCCCAACACAGCCCTGAGAATTGATGTCCTCTGAGCCTGGCTGGGTCAAATGCTGATGGCTCTATGATTCATAAAGTTGTGCTGATTTGATATATCTTTTCTGCATATGTGAAACTGGGACTTTGTAGGGTGGCAGAAAGAATAATCTCTCCGCTTCTGGTTCCATGCTATTTTTCCTGCATGGAAACAGAACAGACTTTCATTATGGCCAGGGAACTGTATTTTCTTGGCTTTCACTTTGCTTCTGTGAAACCGTCTCCTGTCAAAGTCGTGGTGACCAGTCGCTTGGCTGTGCAGAGGCACCTGGAGACCAATTAGACAGCACAGCCAGCAAAGAGTGGTCCTGGCCTAGAGCTGTTTCTGTTGTGAAGAGCGTGGGTGGTGAGAAGAGAACAGGTGAGAGGGGAGTAGAGGAAGCTATGGGGAGAACTTGCGCATTAGGATGTGTGGCAAGCGGCTCATGCATTTTCTAGAGGGCTCCTTGGCCTAAGGCCTGTTCCTGACATCCTTTCTTTTTTTTTTTTTTTTTTTTTTTTTTTTTTTTAATTTTTTTTTTTTTAATTATACTCTAAGTTTTAGGGTACATGTGCACATTGTGCAGGTTAGTTACATATGTATACATGTGCCATGCTGGTGCGCTGCACCCACTAACGTGTCATCTAGCATTAGGTATATCTCCCAATGCTATCCCTCCCCCCTCCCCCAACCCCACCACAGTCCCCAGAGTGTGATATTCCCCTTCCTGTGTCCATGTGATCTCATTGTTCAATTCCCACCTATGAGTGAGAATATGCGGTGTTTGGTTTTTTGTTCTTGCGATAGTTTACTGAGAATGATGGTTTCCAATTTCATCCATGTCCCTACAAAGGACATGAACTCATCATTTTTTATGGCTGCATAGTATTCCATGGTGTATATGTGCCACATTTTCTTAATCCAGTCTATCATTGTTGGACATTTGGTGGGACTGTAAACTAGTTCAACCATTGTGGAAGTCAGTGTGGCGATTCCTCAGGGATCTAGAACTAGAAATACCATTTGACCCAGCCATCCCATTACTGGGTATATACCCAAAGGACTATAAATCATGCTGCTATAAAGACACATGCACACGTATGTTTATTGCGGCACTATTCACAATAGCAAAGACTTGGGACATCCTTTCTTTACACACAGGCTGGTCCCATCAGGCAGAGTCACATTGGCCTGCTGACCTCATCTCACTAGTGACTCTGACCTCATCATGCATTTGTCTTTATAAAATTGTTAATTACTAGGAAAATGCCCCATCTACCCCAATTTCAAGTTATGCTCATAGTGTAGAGGATTAATGAGAAATCATAGCTTTGTCTTCCCTTCTCCCCTCTTCCCTGCTGAGGTTGGTGGCTAAGTCTATTCTCTGTGTAGGTCCCATGCAGCCTGGCTCTTCCTGTGCCAGGGAGGCCGAGTTGGCTCTCAGCAGACTCTCTCTCTCTCTCTACTGTGTAGCCTAAAATATTGCTTTAGCTGAAGTTGGACTGCAGGGAGGAAGGGGAGGAGGCTGGGGCTGTTAGAAGGAACCTGGCAGGGGCAGGCTCCTTATCTATGTGCTAGAAGCTCGAGGGCTGCAGTATCCCATAAGGGTGACCATGGGGGTGTCTCAGAAATAGGCAGAGAAGATATGACTGTCATATCTTCTGTGACAACCCCTGAGTGGCCAGATCCTAGCTGGAGCACTATGCATATGTGGATCTGTTCTTCCCCTGAGTGCTGCCTGAGGGCTTGGCTTTCCCTCCCAGGACATAGTCCTTGGAGTTTCCAGAAGAAGCTGCTTCATTAGGCTGCCTCTTTAGCTACACTGGGGACTCAGAAAATGACAATGCTATGCATAATTCTCCCTGCCATCCTCTCTTGCCTCTGCCCCTGCCCCAGGATGACCTTAGCTTGCTATTACAGAGGGCACGTGCCAACTTATGGTGCCTAGGCCTTCATTGTCTGGGGCTGTCATGCACAGGAGGTGCAGGTGGATGAAAGAGGAAGGGGGTATGCTTGGGTGCAAGAGACCTAACCTAAAGATAGGGGCTGGTTTTAGTCTTGGCTCTGCTGCAAACTTGCTACGTGGTTTTAGGTAAGTCCCTTTTCATTGACAGTCATATCTTCTCTGCCTACTTCTCAAAGTGTGTGAAAATGGATATGAGAATATTTTCTAAGCCATGCCATGCTACATATTGCTAGGTGTCATTGTCCTTAAGCTCTGAATCACCCTTATTAAGAAAATAAGATTCTGGAATGAAGATGGCATGGGACTCCCTCATCCAGAGACACAGGTCAGCAGGAATCCTGAATTCCCAGTCATCACCTTCCTGCATCTGCCCAGGCCCAGCTCCATGACCACCAAGCAGTGACAAGTGAAAACAGCAGAGAGGAATAAGCCACTGTTCCTCAACTGATCAAAGGGCAAGTTAACACATGTTTGAATGTTATGGCTCACATGGCCTGCCTTAAGCCAGGTGGTCTAGGCAGGTGGTCTTTGTGAAATGAAGGACCAAGTGGAGAGAGAAGACTCTCCAAGCCCAAGAGAGCCATGGTCTTCAGAACCAGCAATTTTTGACCCCAGGGAAGGCATGAGAGCCCTCAGAAAGGTTTTACAAAGTGACATCCCCAGTTGCCTCCTTCTGAGATGGTGATAAGTCTCGTATATGGCCCAAACATGGGGATTTTAAAAAATCCAAGAACCCCAGCTCTAAGCAGCAGACCAGGACCATGTATGTGACTGGTGTCCAGAAGAAAGGGACCCCAGGGTAGGTCACTGAAGATATTATAGGGTTACTGGGATTTGTAGACAGGATGAACCTGGGTGCCTGAGGGGATGAAGAAGGAGTCTGGGAGAGGGGACTGCAGGAGCAGGCTGGCAACTGGGTAGACCAAGAACAAAGCCTACAGGCCACCAGGAGGAAGGTATCCGAGCATCACTACCCCTTGAATAAAGACTGGAGGCTGGGGAAAGCCATACAGGGCAGCCCTGAACAACCCAGAGTATCAACATGATGGCACAGCTGATAAAGCCCGAAAAGGGCTCTTGGCAGGGAAAAGAGGGGCAGAAGCTGAAGACTGACTGTCTGGGTGTTATAGAAACAAACATCCCTGCAGCTAGCCAGCACCAGCTGGGTCCCTAGGTACTGTCTTAAGAATGCCAGGGGTACCACTACTGGTCCCAGCAGCATGATCAAACCTGCAGGACTCCTATTTTCTGCTCAGGCCTACAAATTGGGGCTGGGAATGAGGATGCATGACTTTAACTGGGAATCTGTGTAGGTTTTCCAGAAGGCTCTCAGATCACCTATGACCATTCTAACTCTGGACATTGGCAGGGCCTTTACAACTCTAACAGAAGAACAGAACAGCTCTCGATGTGCCTGTCTTCCCATTTGGTGTCTCTCTGCAAGTTATGGCTGGTGATCCCACCAGCACTGCCTTAGGCTCTCCTCTTGTCAGACGCTTGCTGTCCTCTCCTTCCTGGCTGCTTCTTCATTCCTCCGCCCTCTCCAAGTGGGGACTTTTTTCTTTAGTAAAGAAAACCTACATGTAAATTCCTTCATGCCTGGAAACCCAGGGGACATTTTGAACCTTTCAACAGTTTCTGCACCTTTGTCAGCTTGAGCAGCTGAGATGAGCCACTTTATAAGCCTGGGGGAGTTGAGATGAAAAATTTGCAGGATTTGAAAGTGGAAAAAATACATCTAATTTAGCTCTTCTTGGAAAAAGAGGTTTTCGGGGCCTGCTTCCATCTCCCTTAGGGTTGCTGGTCCCAGCTCTGGGTTCCCCCTGCCTCCTCATCCTGAGCTGCTGAAAGAGAAGGTGAGGAACACAAGGGAGTGTGTGTGTGTGTGTGTGTGTGTGTGTGTGTGTGTGAGGCCTCAGTGCTGGAAGCCACATTCAAGGGCACCAAGGAGCCCTCTCTGCTCTCTCAGTCCCATCAGCTATTGGCTGGTGAGAGGGAAACCACAGCCCAGATAGCCTCCTCTCAAGCTCCAGGGAGACCGGCTGTGTTCAGGGCCAGGGGAGGCCAGGGTCATTAACACCGCAGCCCTGTAACATGAGCTTCATAATAGGATTTCCCAACAGGCTACTTCATTTAGAAACCTCTCGGGCCTCCTCTGCTCCCCATGGCGGCCCTACCCAGCGACCCCCAGAGAGGAATCAGATGTAATTGGCTGTCTGTAATTGACTGTGACACCGGCATGAGCAACAGCACAGGGAGCTGGAAGGATGCCCCTCTGCAGCATGGACTCCAGGATGCTGGGCTCTGGAGGCGGCAGAGGATGGCAAGCGGGAGTTCTGGGTTCCAAACCCCCTTGTGCTCTGCATAATGATCCTTTCTGCCTTTGAGACACAGGGCTAGAAGCACCCAAATTCCACTAGTGTTGAGCAAATAATCCTGAGTCTTCCAGGCCAATGTTAGAGCTACTGATCATGATTTGGCAGCGTCCCATGCATGAGAGCTGCCCTAGGTGGATTTTGTTTGAACTTGGTCATCCATGACTTAATATATATGTATTATCAAAGATGATGACAGAGACATCATATGGTTATTACTGAGGTGGGGTGGGTAGTGGGAACATCACCACGTCAGGAGTCCAATAGGGGCCCTAATGCCATCGTTTTCTTCACCAACGTCTTCCCATGAAGACCTCTGGGGTCTGAAACTGCTGGAGTGAGTGGTATGGAGATGCTGAGAGACTGCCTCATTTATCCAGAGAGGGGTCCGCCAGGAGCATTTCTGGGCACCAGTCTAGAGAGCCATGGCTAGTTAATGTTAGCACTGGGATTAGAACTCAGGTCTAGGGAGGCCACTATCTGCCTCCACTTCTGAGACTGGCTTTTGCTAAAAATAACCATCCTTTAAAGCACACCATGTGTTTTCAGGAATATCGAACTTCTGTCAACTGTCTCTCACAAATGACCCTCTCTCTTGTGTTTTTATACCTTATTTCTTCTTGGGGTTCTGGTGGCTCTGTGGTTACACATTTCTGCACTGTCCCTCTGCACAGGACTCCATGTCCACTATCACCACCTCCTTTTTAATCCCTCTAGGGGCAGCTCCATCTCTCCAGAGAGCTCTGACATGTTAAGCTGCTTATGAACCAGCAGATAATACACAGCCCCTCAGAGGGCAATCTGAGGCTCACCAGGGAAGAAAAGGCTCTGAGGCTTTGTGCTTACAGGAAAGGGCAGAGGGAAGGAAGGGAGCTGTGGACTGGGGGATTGTGTTTCTCTTATTTGTATCAAGGACCCTGCATGGGCCTGTGAGGGCTGTATCCCAGCTCAGTCAGGGCTGTTGTCAGACTTATCCTTTGCTTTTGGTCCCCATCTCTTGCTGTGGCTGGACAGTCCCTTCCTGCAGAATTTGAGCACAAACATCTGCACCTTTTTTTTTTTTTTTTTTTTTTTTTTTTTTTTTTTTTTTTTTGCATGGACGGAGACTCACCACTTTTCAGTTTGAAAGATGGAGATGAAAAATTATACTGAATCCAAGCCTGCCTGCAGTGGAGTCTTTTGGTTCTGGGCCCTTAGGAGCCCTGAGAGATCTGAGTTCTGTTTCCACTGCTTTGGGCCATTGATGAGTTGAATTGATAGGGCCTTAAGACCTGGGTCTCAGGTCTCCCTCAGTGCAGTAGGGTGAAGAAGACTGGAAAGAGTAACTTGAGGGCTGTTGCAAATGGAGAAGGAATGCACCTCAAACACTGGCAAACCACCCAGGAACAAGCCTTATTTTGCCAACAGGTCTTTGACAGGCATGTTGAGAGAGGTGCAACCTTGCCTTTCCCTACAGGCTGTAAATGTTCAGGCTAAACAAAGAGCTTGAGTGCTAGTTACCTGGCAAGGCAGTTGAGCCCCCATTTTTGTTTCAAGGGCCTGTTAATAATACTGAGAAGGCAAAGTCTGGGGAGATGTGGTTTAGTCCAGAAGAGTATGGCTGGGTATGTTTTGGGTCCCAGAAGCTATCCATAAGACAGAGAGTATCTCATCTTCCTTTGTACCCACCTAGCCTGCTGCAGGATGAGTCTGTGAAGCTGCAAGTGTGTTCGACTCATCCTCTTGTGTATGTATGACCAGGGAGGTCAGGAAGAAATGAGCTTAGCTACAATAGGCCCCTGGAGAGGCTGGTGAGAAGGAGGCGTTGTTGAGAGCCTCAGGAAGCCTCTTGAAATCACTGGGCATAAATTTGGGCCAGCAAGGCCAAACCCAGCCCTGATGAATCTTTTCATTGAGGATAGGACCTAGTTCATTAGAAAGGCTGCAGAATGAAATAGGCATTTTGGTTTCTGGCTTTTCCCTGGCCTCTGTCTGGAGTAGACTACTCAGCTTCAGGGTCTCTACATCAGCACACCACACATTCCTGGTCAGAGCTGGAGTCACTGGGTCTTAGGGTATGGTCCTTGGAGGCCCACTCTGATCATTTCTTTGCAGGCCTCAGCAGTTATGGCCTTCTCCTTCCTCATTCAAATTGGATTCCACTCTTTAGGTCATGCGGGTTGGATGGTCCCATGTCTTTTCTTTCTTCAGCTACTTATTGGGCACCAACTGGTACTGGGCCCTGTATGCTTATATATGAGATTCAGCATTTTTCTTCCAGGAATATGCTGCATTCTTAGCTCTTAGAAAGTGTTCACAATGTCCAGAGGATGCTGTGGCTGCAAGTGGTGCTGTTGCTCTGGAGAACCTGATGGAGCATGGCCACATCCGGCTAGATAAAGCCTCGAAGGACAGCGAGTCAAGCACACCCCATGACCCCACTTTGCTCTTCCACAGTGGTCCTCAGCCTAATTTTAGACACTTCCAGGGATGGAACACCGTTACTTCCGAAGGAAGCCTGGTTAATTTCTGAACCTTTCTTCCTTGGGGTGGAACTTTTATACAAATCTCCACTCATGCAATTTACCTTTTTTTGTTGTTACTAAAAACATTTTGAACAGGTAATATATGTGAAAGGTCAGTTTCCCTCCACTCTGGTTGTCATCAGTCTCTCTCATTGTCAGTTTCTAATATTCTCTTGCAGAGAGTCGATGGATTTGTACACTCTTCCCCCTTGCATAGGGGCACACTACAGAGGACTTTGCACCTAGTTTCCCCACATCTCTTCTCAGTTAACACTGAAGTTTAACAGTAGTTTGGTTATATTACATATAGATCTGCCTCATTCTTTCCAATGAGTGTTATTATTTCATTGCATGGATATATTTTACTTAATTGGTCATTTATATACATTTAGATTGTTTTCTCTCTTTTGCTGTTTCTGAACAATGTTGCAACAGATATCCTTGTGCATCAGTCTTTGCACCTATATGTGAGTATATCTGTGAGAAAAATTAATTTATTTATTCAATGAATACTTATTGAGGATTTTCTATATGCCAAGCACTTTTCTAAGCACTAAGAATGCAGTAAATTCTCAGAAGTAAAATTGCTGAATAAGAATATATAAATTTTTAATTTTGGTAGATATTCCCAAATTGTCCTCCCCAAAAAGGCATTTTCTACCAATTTTTGTTCCCACCAGCAGTGTTTGAGAGTTCCTGTTCCCTATACCTTTGCCAAGATAATAAAATATCAATCATTTTTATCTTTGCCGATCTGAGAGGTGAAAAATGGCATCCCATTGTTGTTACCATTTGCATTTGACTTTGCAAAGTTCCATAAACTGCCCTGTTCAGGAACTGAGACTCAAGCATTCCAGTAGAATGCATTAAGTTGGGTGTGTTTGTGTGCTGCAGGTGGTTCGGGTATGGTCTGTCCTTCACTCTCTTCTGTCCCATTCCCTCCAACCCTGCATCATCCTCTGTATGTACTCTTTGCCCATCTCTAGTATCAGGACATTTTGACACGTGCCTCCCACCGATTTTGGCACTTCCCAAGCTGTGGTAGGTGAAATGTCTGTAGATGGGACAGGACAAGTGCAGGTGCTTGACGCTGGAAGACCACCCCATTCTCACAGTCCAGTCTCAGGAAGGCCGAATCTGCCTGGTTTGCTAAGAAACACACTTTGCTTCTCCCATCTGTCTCCTTCTGCCCCTGGGCCTGTGTCAGGGCTTCCTGCCCTGCCGCATGCATCTCTCAGCTCTCACCCTTTGGCCCTTCACCCCACATCCTTTCCTTTAATTTTCCCAGCTTACCTCTGGGGCCTCTAGCCTCAGCTCACCATGTTGACACCTCCATAGCCCCGCCTTCCTAGATCGCCAGCCCTCTGCCCTCCCCTCCTCCTGCCCCCTCTTCATTTCTTCAGCCTTCACCAGACCTGCCACCCCTTCCCCAGCAGCCCCAAATCAGTCTCATCCCCTTCCCTGACCAGGTGTCTACCCTCTACTGGAGCATACACCTTCCACTCTGCTGAAGCCCAGGTCTTGTCTCTGCCAGGGGTGTTGGCTCAGCTCTGGGCTGTTGCTTGCTGCAGCTATGCATATGTCTGTTTGGTTTTTGTCCCCCTGCTCTGTGGCAGCTCTTTCTATCTGGGGCCATGCACTCCCTACTTCTCTTACTTACCTCAGTTTCCCTTTCCCCTCCCTTCCCCTCCTCTCCCTTCTTATACCTTCTCTTGCTCCTTCCTTCCTTCCTTCCTTCCTTCCTTCCTTCCTTCCTTCCTTCCTTCTTCCTTCTTCTTCTGTACTTTTGTTTTAAAGTGAAAATATTCATGTTAAAAAGTGAGTTAATTTAAAGAAAAATAATGAATAATAATAATACATTTAAAACCTGCCACATATAAGTATGGCAAAAAGGAATAAAGATAATAGGCAAACAGCTGATATTTGAAAAGAATGCTGATGCTCTGTTTACCTGGGCTAGGAGAGCAGCTTATGCACTCTTCAGTGTAGCCCCACATTCCACTGCCACTGATGGTTGTATGATGGTTATAACCTGGGTATGGAGCACACTTCTGGATTGGCTTCCATCTTGTGTCGAAATGCTAATACAGTGTGGCTGTCATTTATAAAGCAGTGACGGTGTGCTAGATGCTCTGCCAAATTCTTTTTCTGCATTAACTCTTAAATCCTCACAGAGCTTTATGAGGTACATGTGATTATTAGCCTCATTTTTCCATTGAAGATACCGAGGCACCGAGAAGGTAAGTAATTTTCTCAAGATCATACAACACAGGACTTGGAGGTTCTGCTGGTAACCACTATTCTCTATGCCTCCCAAGCTAAAGAAGAGCCAAGATTTGTAATTTTTGATGGGAGTTGGCATCAGCATTCCGTTTGGACTAAGATGTAAGCCTTCACTAACATGCACAAAGAAAAGTCATCAGAATTTGATCTACATTTGGGGACTTCACGGATAGTGTTCATTTCCCATTGGTAAGGGATGAACCAGGAAATTCATGGAGTGATCATATTCACCAGTGAGAGTGAACTGAAGTCACTGTCACTGCACCTGTCACCTGCATCATCATGCCCAGCTCACATTCCCGTTCCTCTACTCCCTAAGCTCCTCAGGGGCAGTGGCCATGCCTGATGCATCTCTGAATCCCTACTTGCTCTGTGCCATCTGTTAAATGAAAACAGAACAAAACACACTGAAAACAAAATTTGTGGAAGGAGAATATGAGCTGAGAAGGGAGAGTCTTTGCATTAGGATGTATAAGAAAATATCCCAGCAGCATTGAGTAGAGGGACCTCCGAAGAAACTGGGGAGGAATCGGGCACAAGGCATGCACTTGTGGAAGTGATGATGGCAGAACCAGATGGAGGCAGTAACCAGTGATGGCAGAGGCCTTGTCTGTCTGTTGTCCAATATAGTGACACATTGTGCACAAACATACAGAACAAAAACAACAGAATGGTCGCAAGCCCATACGTTATGAAACTCACTAAAAGTTGGTGATAATGTCTCAGTTTGACAGAGGACATAAGGTCAGTGCAACGTGTGTATTTCAAGTGGGAAATGACAATCTGCTCTTTGCACAAGATGGATAGAGCTTCTCATTGAAATTGTATGGAATATGCAAGAACTCTGCCAAATCATGAACTTGGCAAAAATGTGCCTGTTCTGGGAATTAGGCGATTTCAGGGCTTCCATTTGGTTTCTGGGTCTGTCACACACATGCCCACATGGATCTGAATGTGGAGGCCCTTGTGACTTCAGGCTTTGCTTTGCTTTTCTCACTGGCTCTGTTTGTCTTTTCCCTCTGCATCTTTGGTCAAATTTGTCTACTCTATTTTCTCTTCTTTTCCTCCATTTATTCCGTTCTCTTGTCTGTCTTCTCTCTAGACTTGTTTCGAAAAGAGGGAAAAGAAACATACATTTCATTGATAGAATTTTAATGAGTGAATGGCTATTTCCATTCATTGTTTTTATTTTGTCTCTAGGAGTCTGTCTTGATGCGAATTGCAATTTTAAAAATGAACTCTTTTAATAGTAAAATACAGGAAATCAATGATTATCATTGAATCAATAGCAAATATTACAAGTGATTTTGTCATCAAAATGATTAATAATCACACATTTTGATAAAAGATCATTAATTAAAAAGAACAGTAGCTTTTAAAAATTTTAAACTGTCTTTGTAGGATGCCTTCCTTCTTCAGTCTCATTATTTTTCTGGAGCATTCTTTGCTTCCTTCACCTTCTTCAGCCCCATTCTTGATTACTCTTGGCTTATGAGAATTATTTCAAGCCTCCCTTTTCTTCTAACATATTTTGAATCTTTCATTCCAGATACTCATTAAGAACCAGTAGCCAAAGCTGTTCATTGTTGAATTTTACATACCTGATGAGAGTGACTGCTTCCACCTTGCAGGATGACATGTTCCTTCCCCTGCTCTACCTACCCTGCCTATCTCTGCCTACCTACCCTGCCCACTTCTCTAAGAGTTTCCTCTAGGGCCAGGCGAGGTGGCTCATGCCTGTAGTCCCAGCACTTTGAGAGGCCATGGTAGGAGGACTGCTTCAGCCCCGGAGTTCGAGGCTGAAGTGAGCTATGATAGTGCCACTGTACTCCTCCCGCCTGGGTGACAGAGTGAGACCCTGTCTCTAAAAAGAAAGAGAATTTCCTCTAATAAAAACAATTATTTTGGAGAGTGTTTTATCTGTGGAGATTGATTTTTTCAGTCATTTTCTCTCTGACCCACATCAAAGGGTCGACTACCCTTCTGCCCGCTTGTAGAGAGAGCCTAAATTCGAGTTAACCATGTCTAAGCAGTGCAGCAGCCCTCCCGCCCCCACCTCCACCTTGAGGACCTTCTGCAGCCCTGGAGGCTACCGATTGACTACTCAGAGAGCTCATAGCCTCAGTGCACAAATCACACTGACTTGGACATCCACACAACCACTTCTTTGGGAGGCAGAAGTGCCTGCATCTGCGCATCCCAGGGGTTGGTGGCCTTGACTCTCTGATCTGCTTCCCCAGTGGCCAGGCCTCTTCAGATCTTTTCCCATCTCCTGCCTTCCCTGCCTGTAGCTGTGCACTGGCCCTTCCTTTCAGGCCACAAAGAGCTCTGTAGACAGAAGCTGTGTGCTGTTTGCCAACACTGCACTGGGTACACAGAGGGGCAAGGGAGAGGCCATCTGCTCGCTCCTTTCACACAGACCTTTGCTTTCTCCCTTTCACTCTCCTCCTTCTCTCTGTCTTTGAATGAGAATACAAAAATTTTTTAAAAGCAGTTGCTAATTAGAGCAAGAGAATGAGAGTGAGCCTGGAAGAGAGACACAACAGAGAGGCCAGCCCCCGTGCAAATCAGCTGGCTTTTAAGAGCCAGTGAGGAAAGGGACAAGGAGGGGGCCTTGAAGGGGCTTGGGAAGGATATTATGACAAAATAAGCAACAAAGCTTCTTCAGAATGGCAAAGAGGGCTTTGTCTTAACCTCCTATCATAAAAGGGGAGGAAACAAGAAATGACAGAGAGTTTCTTGTGAACTCCCTCTGCAAGCCTCCACCTACCCTGGCTCTTCTTGTCTTTTTTACTCACTCAATAGCCCAGTAAACAATAGTCTCTATTTAGGGACATTTAAGTGTATCCTTTTATTGATAATTTTTGTTCTGGCTGATAGAGAGTGAGCAATTGGTGGCTTCTCTTCCCAGGCAGGGCTGGCTTCCCCAGGCAGGGAGCTTGCCCATGCAGGAGCAGCTAAGTCACCAGGAAGCCCCAGCTTGGAAAATATGTCCCGACAAGTCAAGACTTTCTTTCAGGATTTTGCCCCCATCACTCTATCCTATTCTTGGTTCACCTAGTGATTTCTTTTCCCATCTGCATTCCTGCCATTCTGTTTGCCCAGAGCAACCCTGATGTACGGTGCTGAAGTGCTTGCCCAGTGCATGGCCAGGGGAATGGCAGTCAGTGTTAGAACAGGGCCCCGCTCTGGCCCTGAGTTCTGAAAACCCACTCATGCTCAAGAAGGTTCTGGCCACCACAGCAACCAGGGATGGGGGCACCTGCATGGCAGCTGTGCCATGGCTTAGAATAGAGCTGCCTTGTCCTTTATTCAACCAGCCTCACTCTAAAGGCTGGGAGGTCCCAGAAAGACCAACTTTGGAGAGCTGTGAGGCAGAGGGAGGGACACATGGTGAAAAGACTCCTCTAGAGATGCATTTTCTTCAGGCATGAGATGAATGGACTGATGGCCCAGATATATAAAGACTTTTAAGTAAGTGCTATGCACATTGAAAAACTTGGGTCATTTTCTGATTTCATGGAGTGTAAAAAAATGAAAATGGAGTGGTGGAAGCCTCATCACAACACACATTGGTACTAACTAGTCAGGGAGGAAGAAAGGAAAAGGAAATAGAACCTGGGAAGACACATGCTATGGTCTGAATGTGTCCCCCAAAAGTTCATGGGTTTGAAACTTGGTCCTCAATGCAGCAGTGTTGAGAGATAGGACCTTTGCTAGGTGATTGGATCATGAGAGCTCTGCACTCATGAATGAATTAATCCATTCATGGATTAATGAGTTATCAAGGGAGTGGGTTAGCTGTTACTAGAGTGGATCTTATAATAGTTATATTACAATGGTTGTATTGTTACCATTTGGCCATCTCTCTTGAGTCCCTCACCATGTGATGCCCTGCACCACTTCAGGGCTCTGCAGAGTCCCCACCAGCAAGAAGGCCCTCACCAGATGTAGCACCTTGACCTTGGAACTCCCAGCCTTCAGAACTGTAAGAAATAAATTGCTTTTTCTTTATTAATTACCTAGTCTCAGGTTTTTAGTTATAACAACAGAAAATGGACTAAGACAAAAGGATGATAATTGATTTATCCTCTTTCACTGGTGACTTTTTAAGGTGATGGATGCACATGAGAAGAATATCCCACTGGAGTCTGTTGGAAAACATCTGCTCATTCTAAGATGAGGTCTCAAAGTGGACTTTTCAGGAGTCCACACTCAGTGGACCTGTCTCTAACACACAGGTGTGTTTCCCTGAACCCTCAGTGCAGTCTATCTTGGCCCTGTCCAAGGACCTCTCTAGAAAACAAGGACATGAGTCCATTTGCCATGCAACTAGCCAGGGTGGAAAAAGCTGTAGAGAAAACAGCCATAGAAGTATAGTTTTAAGAGCTGGCAGCTTGAGTTGTTGAATCCTGGCTCTGTGTTTATTAATGGAGTGACTTGTCTGGGCCTCAGTATGTTAAATGATGACATAACAGCACTGAGCTCATGTTTGCTGTGAAGAGTTTATGAGAATCTGCATGTGTAGAGCTGAGCAAAAGTCTTGACACCTTGCAAAGGTTTAAAAATGGATGTTGATGTCAACATTTTTATTATTAAACAAGCCAGGAGGTAATTTTCTATCTTTGGGTGAACCATATATGAATTGTGGGAAGAATGTAGAAAATTTAAAGAGATCCAGTAAATATCAAGAAGGCTTAGACAACATGATCTGGTTCATACGTATATAAAATATTTTAAAGTAAATTCCCTGAAGATAGTGGAAACCATCCATCTAGTCATAAATAGCTATGGGTTTGTCCAGTTTATTACTGCAAGATTAAATTGGTTTTTGTTAGTTAACATTTTTTAATTTTTGTGACTTCTTAATTCTATTTTTAAAAATTATAATACAGAAAATTTGACTTCTTAACTTATTTAAGTGGACAGTTTTATGAATTTTGATACATGCATAGATTTGTGTAACCACTATCATAATTGGGGTACCAAGAGCTCCTTTCTGCTACCCCTCTATAGTCTCCTGTTTCTCCATCCCCCACCCCCAGGGCAACCAGTGATTTGTTTTTCATCATGATCCTGTTGTCTTTTTAAATGAAATGATGTATTATGGCAACCTTTTGAGACTGGCTTCTTTCACTCAGCATAATGCCTGCGAGATTCATCTCAATTGTATCATGTAGTAATAGTTTGTTGCTTTTAATTGCTGAGTAGTATTTCATTGTATGGATGTACCATAATTTGTGTATCCATTCGCTTGTTGAGGAGAGTGTGGATTGTTTCCAATTTTTGATTATAAATAGAGGACATACATTTTCATTTCTCTAGGGCAAATACCCAGGCAAGCTCTTATTGAGTCATATGGAAATTGTATGTTTAACTGCTAGATCAGTTTTCAGGGTGCCTGTACCATTTTCCATTACCATCAGCATCAGTGTGAGTTTCAGTTGTTCTGCCTTTTTGGCAGCACTTGGTATTATCAGTATTTTTTATCTTAGCCATTCTACTATGTGTGTCATGGTATCTCATGGTGATATTAATTTGCATTTCTCTAGTAAATCATGATGTTGATGATCTTTCATGTGCTTGTTTGCCATCTGTTTATGTTTATCCTCTTTTGTGAAGTGTCTCTTCTAGGTTTTTGCCCAAGTTTCAATTAGGTTGTTTGTTGTCTTTCTTGAAAGAAAGGAAAAGAAGGGGAAGGAAGGGAAAAGGACAGGTGAGGAGAGGCTGCCTCTTCTCTTAGAGGAGCCCTGGGAGGCAGGTGTGGCCATGAGGACTGGTCCACACAGGGGAGAGCCAATTCTTAGACACGCTAGTTTCTGTTTCTGATCTGTGATGAAGGCCTTCATTTAAGGAAGACATCTCAGCCAGCTCTGCTTGGGCTTCTTTTCTGTGAATTATTATAAGTGTTAATGGGAGTCTTCATCAAAGCATCATTTAAGAAATATTACAAGTTAAGTTCCTCTCACCCTCACAGGTCTGATGACTAAAAATCAGACTTGAAATCAAATTTTTATCCTCTTTAATTGGTGACGTTTTAAGGTGTTGGATGCACATGAGAAGAATATCCCACTGGAGTCTGCTGGAAAAAATCTGCTCATTCTGAGATGAGGTCTTAAAGTGGACTTTTCAGGAGTCCACACTCAGTGGACCTGTCTCTAACACACAGGTATGTTTCCCTGAACCCTCAGTGCAGTCTATCTTGGCCCTGTCCAAGGACCTCTCTAGAAAGAAAGGGCATGATTTTGATTTTAAAAATCAAAACTTGAAAGTTTTGAGAGTTCCTTATATATTTTGGATATAAGTCCTTTTGTCGAATATGTGATTTGCAAATATTTTCTTTCAGTCTGTAACTGATCTCTTTATTCTCTTAATAATGTCTTTCACAAAGCAAACATTTTAAAGTTTGATGAAGTCCAGTTAATCCATATGTTCAAGTTTATCTAACCAATTATTTTTCACTTCAGCCAGGTCAAGTTCAATAATTCTTTGCCTAACCTTGGCACAAAGATTTTCTTCTCTGCTGTCTTCTAAAGTTTTATGTTTTACACTTAGGTCTATAATCAATTTGAGTTAATTTTTGTTTAAGGCATGCAGCTCATTTTATCATCATTTTGCCTGTGATGTCCAATTATTTCAACATGGAGAGAGCTGTATGAGTGGCTCTTTCACTTTTTCCAAGCCTTTACTTGAATATTATGTTCTCAGGAACCCTACCCTGTCCACTGCTCCCAGTGTGAATCACCTTCAACAGCCTCCCATCTCCCTCCATGGCTTTGTCTTACTTCATGGCACTTATTATAGTGTGAGCTTTACTGATTTATGATGTGTATTGTCTGTCTCTCCTCACTAGTATGTAGGCTATATGAGGACAGCGGTATTTGAGTGTGTATGTGTGTGTGTATGTAGGGAAAGGATCTGCTTGTTAACTGATGTATCCTGAGTGATTAGCACGTATTTGAAGAATGAAGAGGCTGGAGTCCCCTAGGCCACACGGCTGCAGAGGTCCACAGTGCAGGGACAGTTGCTGGGGCTCCAAGGCCAGCAGCAGCTATCAGATGCGAGCTGGACTCTGTCTCACACGTTCATCAGGCAAAACAGGTTTGTCACAGTTAATGCTCCGAAGCTCTTCTCTCACTCACCCGCCTACCATATTGAATGAGGCTAATAAGAACATAAGCAATTAAACCATTTTCCCCATCAGTCTTAAATTATTTGTTCCTTGAAATATAAGCTTTATCCTTTTCTCACCCCGATACCTCTTGAAAGAAAGGAAGTGCTCTAATGCCCTGGGAAAATAATCTTAAATTCTAATCAGCCCTCAATCCTGGGTGTTAGAAGTGACTCATAGATGAGGTGGTGGGCAGGATGGAGGGGAAAGCTGTTTAGGAGGCAAAGTCGGCTAGAATGGAAGCTTTCAACTGACTAACAGTGCTTCAACTCCAACAATGAGGCTTAACTTATCAAGTGTGGGGCCCAGGGAATCTGAGATGCAAGCAGCACAAAGATACAGAGAGACCAGAAGAAAATAAAGCAGATTAAATAAACTGGGAGTGGGTTTAGTGGATTCTTGTTCTCTGCAAATGGAGCTCCTCCTCTTCATTCTGACCCTACCCTGAGTTCCAACTTACTTTCCTCACCAGTGGCATCATTCTGCCCTTGGTCTTTCCAGTAGCAGGTAGAGTCGATGCGTGACATTCAGTCTCCCTGGGTTCTGCTCTGGAATTTATAGGAGGAGCTTAGGGACAACAGTCTGGATGGATGGGTGGATGGAGCGAGGGCAGCTGGGCTGCATTTGCACAGCAAGCACACTGTTCTTAATGTGAATGTTTATTTGTAGTGCAGGGAGCACTGATGGGAATAGGATGAGAGGCAGGCCCTGGCTGGTGAGGGCTGGTGTGAAGCATCTGCAGAGGTTGCTGGTCCTTCTCCTTCCTCAATGCAGGGACACTAGTCCCTTTAGGTACCATCCCATCTCCCACCCCAGCATGATGCCCTGCAGATGCAGCAGATCCTGTCAAACAGCCCTGCTCTTTGATTATCTCTGAACAGCTAAGGCTCCTGGCCTGTTTGAAATTGGGTCACATACTGTTTGTTCTCAGAAAAGCAAACTCATGTTGTCTTCTATTTCCATCTCATTTCCAGCACTGGATTGACCAAGTGGGCTAAAATTCTTTTTTGATAAATTTGTTTCAGTTCAATGGGAGGAGCTGCTGATTTTTAGTCATCAGACCTGTGAGGGTGAGAGGAACTTAACTTGTAATATTTCTTAAATGGTATTTTAATGAAGACTCCCATTAACACTTATAATAATTCACAGAAAAGAAGCCCAAGCAGAGCTGGCTGAGATGTCTTCCTTAAGTGAAGGTCCTCATCACAGATCAGAAACAGAAAGTAGCATGTCTGAGAATTGCCTCTCCCCTGTGTGGGCCAGTCCTCATGGCCACACCTGCCTCCCAGGGCTCCTCTAAGAGAAGAGGCAGCCTCTCCTCACCTGTCCTTTTCCCTTCCTTCCCCTTCTTTTCCTTCTCCTTCAGAGCATCCTTGCTATGAGTCAATGCTGCATGTGGGGCTTCTTAACTGTACAGAGAGCATCTGGATCTTGAGGTCTTTCTCTAAGAGTGTGTGTGTATATATATAAATATCTATATCATACGTGTTTATATATAAAATATTTATATATAAATATATAAGTATATTATATATCTTTTATATAACATATAAAAGAGGTAATATATATTATATGTATTATAAATATCTAATATATATTAAATATATACTATACATTATATATTTATTATAAATATATATTATTATATATTTATTATAAATATATATTATTATATATTATAAATATATTATATATTAAATATATATAATGTATATTAAAGAGGTAATGTCAAAACAGGGTTACAAAAATTGCCGTAATATTTGCATTCAACAAACAAGTACTTTTAACACAAAAATTGCAATACTGTGTGTTATGCTACAAGAAGAGACTTGACAGATTTATAAAATGTATACATGCACAGGGACCAAGAGGCAGGCTGGTTGGACAATGGGACACAATTTGAAGTTGTGGATGGACTTCTCATTTCAGTCCTGTGAGTGTATTTCACTCAGTGTGAATTTGAGGCCTTTCTTGAATGGGAGCAGGCCAAATGGCCGTCCTGCCTTGCTGTGACAACCCTATTTGGACCTAGAGTCTGGGTGGGTGGGCAGCTCTGACAGAGTTATGTCCCTTGTGTTCCTGCACATCCCAGGTTGGGCCTCAGCTGCCCATCTCTGGCCCAGGGGGGTTGGTCTGGCTTCCCTTCTTGCTCCCTCCACAGCCTGGATAGGTGTTCCAGCAATAAGGCATTGGAGTCTGATTCAGATCATAGATAAATCTGGCACAGTTACTTACCTTTCTTGGGTGTGGGGAATGTGTCCTCCTGCAGGAGCTCCAGCTGTGGCACACCCTGTAGTCTCAGGTGTGCAGCCCTTTCCAAGGGCAGACACACAACAACAGGATTGCTTTCTCTGGCTGTGTTCACTGGCTCCCTTGCCTTCTTCAGGGATGGGGACAGTGAGAACCTGATAGTGAAGGGCAGGGTTGACCAACAAGGTCCACAGCAAGTTTCTGGCTCAGCCTGGAAGAGATGCCCCTGCTTCTTTAACCAATGGTAGGTCTGGCAGTGGGAGAGGAACCGAGCAGAAGCACTCCTTGTCTGTCTTCTAGTCTTTTTTTTTTTTTTTTTTTTTTTGAGATAGAGTCTCACTCCCGTTGCTCAGGCTGGAGTGCAGTGGCATGATCTTGGCTCACTGCAACCTCCACCTCCTGGGTTCAAGCGATTCTCCTTCCTCAGCCTCCTGAGTAGCCGGGATTACAGGCATGCACCACCATGCCCAGCTAATTTTTGTATTTTTGGTAGAGACAGGGTTTCACCATGTTGGCCAGGCTAGTCTCGAACTCCTGACCTCAGGTAATCCACTTGCCTTGGCCTCCCAAAGTGCTAGGATTACAGGCGTGAGCCACTGCATCTGGCTTGTCTTCTAGTCTTAAAAAATAAATTATCTGAGCAGAATTAAAATGCCAAGGGTTGGTAGGAGTGGGATAGGGTAGGGCTTGTCAAAAAGCCTTGGGAGAAAGCATTTCCGGAATACTCAATCCTAGAGAAAATCTCTGCAGCTGCAGGATTCAAGGCTTGGCCTGGAGAGTATACCTTATTCCTTTAGGGAAATGCTGAGAGGTTTTGTCTGACCTGGAAAAACAAGAGGAGCATGTCTGCAGGAGAGAGGACCCAAAGGCCAGCAGGAAGTTGGTGATTTGGCTGGAAGGCAAGTCTTCAGAGAGTGCTGTGAAGTGATATAGAGCTGCATATGGGCTGGAGGAATATCCCATTTCTCTGCCTTTATCCTTTATCCAGTCACAGTGGTCTCTGACCACACCCTAGTTCATCTCCTCTCCCCAGATACATCTTCCTAAATCCAAGACTCAGTCACAGGTAAGCATTCAAGGATGCACGCGTGCGCACACATACATACACACACATGCGCACAAACACACACACATACACACACGGGCCCCAAACCCAGTTTGTTTAAGAGTGTAGACTCTGGAGCCAGACTGCCTGGGTTGGAACTCTGGTGCTACCACTTACTAGCTGTATGACCTTGGGGTAAGTTACTTTACCTTTCTGTGCGTTGCTTTCCTCGTTGTAAAATGGGATTGATAGTAATCTATTTCCTAGGGTGTTATGGGAATTGAGTGAATTAATGCTTGTAAAGTGCCTAAAACACTGCTGGCCCTCAGAGAACATTCAGTATGTATTAGCTGTTATTATTTTCCACCTTGCATGCATAGCGTGCTGTGTCCCCACCCCTGCCCCACCTCTTCAACGCCAACAGTTTAAATTGTGAATCTCATCAACCCTTCTTCAAGCCTTGCCTAAACTCTACCTCTTGTGTGAAGAGTTTTTGATTTCCTGCTCCAGTGCCAGCTGACATCCTAATGGCCTCTTGTTGGCACCTGCCTCAGCATATTGCCTGTTTCTTTCCTCTTTGCCCTTTTGTTTCCCAAGTCCTTGAGTCAGACTGTGAGCTCCCCAAAGCAGTCCGCAGTCCCATGACTTCATCTCTGATCCGTGGCAGCATTTTCCTGTTTCCAGCACGGGAGGGGCTCTCAGCACACCCTTCCTGCTTGAGCTGCTCCTGTGCCTTGCACCTCCCTGCCCTTCTTCCTTCTCTGCTCTCCTCTCCCCTCCCTGCCACTGCCCATCCTCTCTGTGTCTCTTTTTTCCTCCCCTCTCTCCATCTCTTCCCTTTTGATTCTCCTTGCTTCTCTGACCTCCCCCACCTCTCTCTTAATGAGAACTTTCACACATCATATTGATTTGGAGTTTCAAAAAGCCGGCATTGATTTTTCTGGGAGACTTTTCATGATCTTATTTTTAAATGTAGGAAGAAGGCTGTTTCCAAAGCTGTTGACTTTGTTCTATTGAGTTAGGGAGTCGATGTTGGAAACTTTTATGGGGACTCAGAGAGCTCAGGGACCTGAGATGCCATATCTAATGAGCTGGGATCAGGGTTGCCATCCCTTTTGCAGGCCTGAGTTTGGTGGCAGAGAGCCTTGGGCAGGGCAGGGGATGCAGAACTGGGGTGGATTTCTGGGTAAGGCTAAAGAGCATGTACAGAGAGTGAGCAAAGTCAAAACAGAAATACTATAGGCTGTAAGAGAGTGAAGGGTAGGCTTAGGGGGAAGAATAGTGGTGGGAATTTGCTGTGGGGGGCCACAGCTCCTGACACTCTGCTACTCTGGCATCAGAGACAGCCTCCCAGGACTGTCTCCCCTAGCCCCTCATGCAACACATACTGACCCAACACCCAGCACCAATGTACTGCCTGGTCCTGTACTGAGGGCTTTGCTTACATGATCTCATTTAATCTTACCAATAACTTCAGGAGGCAGGTCACATTATTTACATCTCACTTTATGGATAAGGAGTCATTATAGGCATAGGTTAAAGTTAGTGAAGAACAGTGTTTTTTTTTTAAACTATTCGTAAGGATAGAATAATAGAAAGATTTAAGAGGGCAGGGGGGGAGTGAGAAAGACAACATCTTGCCTCCTAAAGGGCATGTGCAGATGCATACATGTGCACACATATTGGCCACATTAAATCTTCTGGAGATGAGGCCAGACATATAAAAACAAACAAACAGAATCAAGCCACTAGATGAGGATATAGGATGAAAGGGAAATAAAGACAGAGAAATAAGATGATATGTGGCTGAAGGTCCTGACACCCATAACCAGAAGTGGGTGGATTAACAGAATGCAGAATGGAACAGGCACCTGGAGGGAGTCTGCCTTGGCCTGGGTCCTGGATGGGGTATTTCAGGCCCTCTGTACGGGTTAGTTAGTTGTCACCAGGTCAGATCCACACACACACCCCTGCTCTTGCCAGGTTCTGCAGCCATTAACTGGGACTGCCGTTCCCCTACATGAATTCAGAGATCTATGGGAGCAGCTAGGGAGGAGCAGGCACAGATGTCATCTGAGAGATTCCAGGGCAAGAGCAGAGAGGAGGCGCCAAGGACAGGATGGGATGAATGCAACAGCTCCTTTGCACTGCAGCCTGGCAGCCCCCTGGCAAATGCAGGAGAACAGCTCCTCACCTGACTCAATAAAGGCAGCACTGGGCAGGGTCAATTCACCAGGAAGTTGAAAGGTGATCAAACCACACTGAGATGACAGGAAACCTTTGGCCTGCTTGCTAACTTTCTAATATCATCAAAGATAAATCTAATTTTGTCGCAGGACAGTTTGTCTTGTTTGGTTTGAAACATTCTTGCTCTCCTTTTTATCTAGCGAGCTTCTCTGGTGTTGCATCTCAGCTTAGGGTTCACTTTCTCCAGACGTCACCCCATCTCCTCCTCTATGCATCTGTAACACCCATCATGGCCCAAACATTTCTTCTGTGATGCCACATATTCTTCCATAAACAACCTTATATGCAAAACTGCACTCCAAATAGCAGTGCTTATGGGGTTAAAAAAAAAGGTTAGGGCTTGTCCTTCAACACCTGCAGGAGTTTGTATCAAAAGCCCTAAGAAAAACAACCATCCTAATAGAAACAGCAGCTCAGATAAATCTCTTGCACCCAGCCTCCCAGTAGGTGGAGACTTTGTGGCCTTGAACTCTGGGGCTCTGCCTTCTCCTTGGAAATGTAGGTGCTAGAGGGCATTCATTTCTATTTGAAACCCAGTTCATCAACATTACAACTCTGACAATTTTTATTTGACAATTTTACTTCAATAAAGCTGAGGAACAATTCTGAAATTTCCTTGAGGATGTTTTCACACAGGAGGAATGTCTTTGTAGCTTCTCCATCTGCATTTTCACCTTCACAGCTTAGCAGAATGGTGGAGTAGAGGTGCTTGAAGCCTCCAAACCACCCACAATGTACACTAGAGGAGGCACTTGTGCAGACTTTCAGCTTGTGCTTCACACTCCTCAAGGCACCGCCACTGTTGCGAGTGGCCTGGGATGTGAAGGAGAATGCCTTGGAAAATCTCTAGCTCCAGGCCTGTGGCCTTTCAGCAAGGTGTGCTCTGGGAGGGGTGGATGGACCTGCAGAAAATCCATCTTCACGAAGAATGGACTCCTGCATCCTGCATTCCTTTAATTCTCACTCTAGAGCCCATGCCGTGGCAGACTCCCCCGCAAATACCTGTTCCTTCATTTACATGCCTTCATTTCAAGAAAAATAGTAAAGACCAAGAATGTATCTGGCAGACTTTCCTTCAGTGGCCAGGACATCCTTGTTTGTCCCTTTTTCTCCACATCCCCTGCCTCCATTTCTCCTGCCATGCTGACCACATTCAGTCTTCTCCAGGGCCAAGGCTCACCTGGGCCCCCTGACTTGCTCCTGGTGAAGTACCTGCTTTGGTTTTCCATCTGTGTGTAGAGGGTGCTCCTTTGTTTTCTGCGACTTTCCCTCAACATCCTCCCCTCTGCCTTCTCAGCTTCTTCTCCAGCCCCCTCCATCATTGGGAGGATGGATTTGTCTATTCCCCTAAAACACCTAGAGCCCACAGTTTGCTCCACAGAGGGATAGGAGTAGAGGCCTGACCCCAGGAGATGTTGGAAACCACCTTAAGCCCTGTAACAGAGCTGGCACCAGAGCCTCCTGCCGTCCCAGCCCTGGTTCTACCTGTGAAGGAGAGAATGGAAGGAGGCACTTGCCTGATGCCATCCATTCTGTTTTTCTTTCCACAGTGTCCAGGCCTTTTTGGAGGATCCTTAGACAGCAGGATTGACATTGGAGGAGCCTGGTATTTCTGCCACACTCACACAGCCTCCTCTGCATCCACCCCCTCTGAGGAAGCAGGTGACTTGCTTGTGGAGCCTCAAAAATGGAAGATCCAAGTTTTCCCTTTCTCCCCTCAGAAGCCCTCCACTCCTGCAATCCACTGAGTTACAAGTCCTATCCATTCCACTGTGGAAGAGCTCAACCTTCCCTTTCTCTCTGCTGCCCCTACCCTAAGCCACTGTAGTTGGGCTCTCTCTTGTCTTCCGGGATCCTGCCCTGGCCCCTCAGTGCATCTTCCACATGGTTGCTCCAGGGATTTTCCCAAAAAGTAAAGCTGGTCCTGTCGACCTATGGGAGGCTCTTCTTTAGATGTCTTCATTACTCCCATAAAAAAGTCTGAAAACCCTGCCTTAGCACCAGGGCATTTAGCAATCTGCCCCCACCCCTCCTCTCTAGCTCCATCTCCTGCAGCCCCACTTTAAGTATCTGGCCACTCGGTGCTAAGGGGTTCCCAGAACTGAGTCTGGTCTTTCATGCTCCAATGTCACCTACACACTCTTTCCTCTTCCTGGATTTCCCTTCTCTTTCCTTTCAGTTGGCACAACTCCAGGTCTGCTGAAACAGTTCAGCCTTACTAAGCCTTCCCTGTCTGTAGTAGGCCTTGCTTCAGTGTCCCCAGTGCTTTTTAGCATCTGACTCCAGTGTCATTGGTTGCACTAGACAGGCAGAGTGCTCTTGCCTGGTCCTCCCATGAGACTGTGAGCTGTGGCAGGACAGCCTCCAGGTTGCTCCTGTGGCTCTGGCACCTAGCATGGTGGAGCTATTAGGAGAAACTCACCGCAGATGTGTGGAATGAATAAGAGAGCATTGTGGGACCTACCCAGTAACCTGAGAGGTGGCAACACTACTGCCATCTGGCTTCAGAGGAGTAAAATAGGACCAGCTTTCTTGGGTTTTCTCCTCCATGATGTTGTCCTCATGGAGGGTGGGGCCAGGGGCCTTGGGGTCTGGCATCCCAAAACCAGGCAAACACTTAGGATTTCTGGCCTCATAATGTGGCTTATAAAAGCTTCCAAGGAAACAAAATCAAAATGTTAGAGGATTTTTCTTTGGGGAAATAATTACTCTCATCTTATATTTAGAATGGTACAGTGTCTTCTACTTTGTGATTTGACTGACAGAGAAGTGTATTTGAACTATTTTTAACTTGGAATATTAAGAAGAAGAAATCAAGTGATTAGATCTTTGGAAGCTATTGTATAATTCTTAAACTTTGGTAAAGGAGCATGTTCAAAGGGGGAAAAAAAGGCCAACCAGATTGGCACGTTTCAGTTCTTTCTGTAACTTTAGACTTTTATTCCAAAGGAATCCATTGTCTTTAGAAAGGCAGCCAAGGATGTGCCTGTGTATGTTTGTGTAAAAGTCACTCCATTCTCCATAAATAGCTTCAGATTATGGTCTTCACTTCAAGAAGACATTTTAGAAAGGGCTTCTCTCACTCCATTGACAGCAACAGTGAGCGTTTGTACAGGGCTAAGCAAGTTACACTTTCCCATTTGCTTTTTAAACAATCTTATAAGGGAGTTACTACAGATGGCCCCCAACTTACAATGGTTCAACTTATGATTTTTCAACTTTATAATGGTGCAAAAGTAATATGTATTTGTGTAGAAACCATATAGATTAAACTATGATGTTAGGTGTATTAAATGCATTTTCAGCTTATAATGGGTTGATCAGGAGCAACCCATTGTAAGTCGAGGAGCATCTGTAGTCTGTTGATGATTTTCTTTGTTTTGTAGAGGGAAAAAAATGGAAACAAGAGTGCTTGAATGACCAACCCAAGACCATCTAGTCAGTATATGGTTGTAGGTGGTATTTGTGTCTAGACCCTCTCTCCCTTAATCAGTTTTTTTTGTTGTTGTTGTTACTTTGCGGCCCAAATGCAAAAGTCATTTGGGTTATCCCACATTGCACTGCTGGAGACCTTAACTGGAAAGATTGTGTTTTTATTACCAATTGCTGCATAGCAAAACACCTCAATGGTAGTTTTTGACAGGGCATGACAGGAATGAGTTATTTCTGCTTCATTATATCTGGGGCCTCAGCTGCAAAATTTGAATGGCTGGGAGATGGAATCATCCAGAGACTTATCACATGCATGGTACCTGGACTGAGATGACCAGAAGGCAGAACTCATCTGAGACTGTTGACTGGAACTCTCAGATATGCCCTCTGCATGTGACTTGAGCTTCCTCATAGCATGGTGGTCTCGGTGCAATTGGATTTCTTATGTGGTGCTTCAGGATTCTAAAGGAGACTGTTCCAGTGAAGAAGGAAAAAGCTTTATGGCTTTTATGACTCAGTCTCAGAAATCACATATGATCACTTCTGCCATACCCGATTGGTTGAAGAAGTCACAAGCCCAGCCAGATTCAAGAGGAAGAGATAGATGCCACTTCCTAATGGGAAGGGTGTCAAGAATTTGAAGCCTTTACTTACACTCACAAGAAACTGTTTCTCTTCTGACTAGATTGCCCAATGTACAGTGCTATCTAGAAGAAAGTAAACGAGCAAGATAATCTCTAGAGATCTAGAGAGAATTGCTAGCAATGGGCTCTAGATTTCTCCATCCACATGAGAAGAGAGGCCTGACAGATTGTTCCATTTAGTTCTCCCTGGCATACCAGGTCAGAGAAGAGGTGACTCTTGCCATCCTTTGCTGAGGATAAATACTCAAGGCATGTGTGTCTTCATGTAAGATGAGTTACCTGGCACCAGGCTAGGCTAGGGGCTTAAGTATTATATGGCTTGAGGATTCCCTGCCTGCTGCTCGTAAGTCATAACATTGTATCACCTTGGAGGGACAATATTTCCTCTGCCACAATCCTTCAGAATAAAGGTACTAGGAACCTTTGTGAGTGAGGAGAAGCCAAAGAAACAGATTCCTGGGAATTCAAGGTACTTTATCCATGAGCTCAACAGGTTCCTCTCCTTCAAGCCTTAATCAAGGGATATAAGCACAGGGCAAGCAGGGTATCAGACCTTACAGGATCATCTTTGTTGTACCAAACCATTGCTAACACACTGGGGTCTCCTGAAACACAGATTCACTATCTGCTTTATTCTTGGTAGTCAAAGGTAGCCCCAAATAACCTTTTATATCTCATTTCCCACATGGTGCTCCTCTTACCAGCACTCTGACCATGCTAGATTTTTGTCATTAGATCATCATGATTAACTGTACCTGCACTGGTCAGCGGGGGCTAGGTTGTGTTGCAATAACAAAAACTCCCCAACTCTTAATGCCTTAAAACAGCACAAATTTACCTCTTCCTCATCTTGCGTGTTCATCAAGGGTAGGCAGGTATCTGTTCCATGTCACTGGTAGTCATTTGGCAGAAGGAAAGGGAGCACTAGAGGGTCTTGGATTGGCATTAAATGGCCTGGTTCAGAAGTGACACATATTACTTCTATTTACAACTCACTTTCCAGAGCTAAAATTATGGTCTAATCCCACCTCAAAATGGCCAGGAAGTACAGTTTTACCATATACTGGAACACAGCTAGAAAAAAATGGCAAATTGCATTGAGTACCACATGACAACCACATGCTGTCATTCTTTTTTTCTTCTTCACATTTTTATTTCTGCATCCATGCCTGCGTGCATCTGTGCACCCACCCACCCACTTATCAAATGTTTAGTGAGTACCCACCCTGTGCCCAGGTATGGCTTTTAGGTGCCAAGCATATGGAGATAGAAATGTTCTTTGGAGAAGTTAATAATTTTGCTGAAGTTGTTCAAAATCTGTCCAATTTTTCCAGGCTATAGCTGGACTCTCCATGAAGACAGCCAGTATTAATGGATTCTTCCTTGACAACAAGTCCTTGATGGTGGAGCATAATAATTATTAATATTTAGTTATTATTGAGCCCTTACAATAAGCCAGATAATTTTCTAAGTCTAATTTAACCCACACTACAGCTTTGAGTGGTAGGCTATATTATGCCATTTACAAATGAGTAAGTTTAACTTCACAGGGGTTAAGTTGCTCGTTCAATATCATACAGCTACAAGGTGGCAGAATTGAGATTTAAATTTGGACTTTCTGAGTCCAAGTCCTTACTCTTCAATGGCTACATTACACTTATCTTTAATGCTCACGCAATTTTTTTCTCTAAATCGTAGACCTGGAAACAACAAACAGACAAAGATTATCCTCTGCAGTTGTACTGTGAGGGCTTAGAAGATAGAAATCATCCAGTGATTTCTGATCATTGGATTCCTTTTTGATGAATGAATAAAGGAGGGAGAGAAAGAGAGGGAAAGAAGAAAGGGAGAATAGAGAAAAGCAAAGAAGGAAAAAGAAGGAGGAGTGAAGGAGGAGGAGAGAGGAGCTGATTCTTTTCACATGGAATGCAAATCTTGCCAGTGAGGTGGTGTGTTCCTGCGTGAGAAGGCAGGCAAATGCTTGTATCCTGAGGAAAGGTGTTCTGCAAATCGTTGGCATCACTCTCATAACCTGATCATCAGCTCTGTCCCTCAGTCTACCAGTTCTGTGCCTCAGCACGTCTCATTACGCTGAAGAGGTTCTTCAGTCTACCACGTCTGAACCAACTACAATTAAACACACAGATGTATTCCTCCTCACTCGGCTGCTAAAAAGGAAATATTTTTGAAAAATATGACAAGTCAGTATCACAGCTCGAAGAAACTGGAGGAAGGAAGAAAGGGCTACAAAGAAGGCATTAAACAGAGCTTTTAAAGGTCACTCTCTGATTTTGTGTGTTACTTTCCAAAGAGATATTTTCAGATTAAAAAAAAAAAACTGTGAATATAGCAATTATGGCTAGCCTCTGGCCTGTGCAGTTAAATAATGGTTTACATCGGGGATCAACAACAGTCAGTGAGGCCTGAAAGCACTGGCTTTTTCTGCAGCCTGACCCTGCATGCCCAGGTCCAATTTGTTTTCCACGATTACTCTGTCCTTATCAAAAGAACAATCTGCAATCCCATGCTGTTCTTATCTGGTGCCGGAGCCTTAGACTGTGTCCTATATATCGATATAAGGCTTGGAGTAACCTAGATTCATGTAATAATGCAGCTTCTAAACGTTTTAATAAAGAGGCCTCCCTTAGTGACTTTCAGTCTCCAGCCTCACAGGTCAAATTGCTTTGTCTGTGTTCACTCCTTCATTGGCGAGTGTGTGTGTACCCCTGAATATGCATGTGTGTGTATGTCTATGTGTGCATGATCATGCATATGCTAGTGACTACTGTGTTGGCAACTTTCATCCTGGAGATAATGTGTAAGTGCTTAATTGCATTTGCTATTTAGCAATTAACCACTTGCAGGTGCAACTAGTTGTGAGCACAGTTCTGCATGTGTGACTAATTACAGGTGTAAAATATTCACCTCTTCAGTTCTCATCATGGCTCAGTGGGGCTCAATGCTAATTCTCTCTTGCCATCTGGGTTCAGACTCATCCGCTGGCCAGAGGATCTCCTCAGGAGAGGGGTCATGTTGGGGAGGCAGAGGTGCTGTTTTAGAGCAAGAAGGGAAATGGAAGTGAAGGAGAGCAGGACAGAGTGCCTGAGAGACTGCAGGGAGTCAGAAGCTTAGCTATGAGCATCTTCCCCACCATGCTGCCTGTGCAAAGCAGAGGACTAGCTGTGTTCTTGGACCTCCATATCAGGACCTGGCATCTCCTTGGTTGGAGCCCCCTGTGAGGGGTGCTGGCTTTCTGAAGGATCTGCAGAAGGCATCTGTCTCTCTCCTTAGACCCTTTGCATAGGCAGTGACCCAAAACCTCATAGACAGGTGGTTGATGGAAGTCTGGACAAGTTTTTAGAAAGTGTTTACTCTCTCAGCAGTATTGCCACCATGCTGTGTGATGGCTGCATCTTTGGTCCCCGCAATTCATCTGCAAAGTAGGGGTGACACCCTCCTCCACCTTCCTAGTGGAACTCCAGGGTACCTCAAGGGTTAGGTGAATGTGGACTTGCCTAGTGAAGATCAAATGCTCTGTCCTGCAAGGGATCAGGGTAACTCTTGGGTGGTCATAGGGAGTTTCTCACTTGTAATATTTTCACAGTAAAAGTCACTAAAGGGGTAAAGAGGATGAAGAAGTAGGAACTAGAGTAGAACCCCTGACCCTGAGTTTCATTCACTGTGTCTGTGCCTCTTTGCATTGCCAGTGGAAAGCAGAGGTCTGAGAACAGCTTTTTGATGATCCTCTTCTGGGTGAGGATCATCCTCTTGGTGGCCCCACAGCTGTGGGCTCCACTGCAGCTCGGCCGTCTTCCCTCACCACTGATCCCACCACCCATGTGAACAGTGACCCTGAGAGTAGCCATCTGAGAGCCCCTCTCCACAGCTTGAAGTCTGGATGGGATGGGGCTTCAGAGAAGGGAGAAGTGGGAGAAGGCAGTGTCCAAAGGAAGAATAAAAGCCAGGATGTGGCTGGGACAACATCAGAACAAACAGAATATTTAAAACTCTTCAAGAAGCCTTTCTGGAAGATCTGGGATAGGGGAATCAGCTACTCTTCTAGGCCCTAGAGAGGGAAGGGCCCTCACCTGGGCCCCAGAGAGGGAAGGGCCCTCACCTGGGCCCCAGAGAGGGAAGGGCCCTCACCTGGGCCCCAGAGAGGGAAGGGCCCTCATTTGGGACCCAAGGAGGTCAGAGCTCCCAGCCTAGGAACTTGCACTGAGCCATCCTTGCCACATTAGAGGGATCACAGCAGATCCAGGTATGTGCCTCCAGTGTGTGTGTGGTCAGGGGAGTAATGGGGGGAAAGCCTTGAAGAGGCCTAGCGAACTGAGTGCGGGGGCTAGGGGCGAGCCAGAGAGGAGGGTGTGAGGATGTGGCCTGAGGCAAAGGGAGAGATGAGGTAGCAGAGGTAGAGTAGTTATGTCACAGTCCACTTCATGGCTGGAGTTAGAGAGCTTGGTGGCATCAAAAAAAGAGCTGTGGATGAGTGGGAGAAGCTGGGCCAGTGTGGACCAGCACCCTGATGTAAGGTTTTCCGTTGAGTACTTTTTATTGCACAATGGAACTTGGCTTACCAGTTCCTGACTCTTGGTTTCTGACTCTGGACCACTTTCAGTAGACTACCCTACAAGAGTTGGCTTGTTCCCTGGGACCTCTGGTGTGTTTTGTTTTGTTTTTTGAGTTGGAGTCTGGCTCTGTTGCCCAGGCTGGAGTCCATGGTGCGATCTCAGCTCACTGCAACCTCCACCTCCTGGTTTCAAGCAATTCTCCTGCCTCAGCCTCCCGAGTAGAGTAGCTGGGACTACAGGTGCGCACCACCACACCCGGCTAATTTTTGTATTTTTAGTAGAGACAGGGTTTCACCATGTTGCCTAGGCTGGTTGGAACTCCTGACCTCGAGTGATCTGCCCACCTCAGCCTCCCAAAGTGCTGGGATTACAGGCGTGAGCCACCATGCCCGGCCGGTGGGCTTTAATGGAGTGCAGCAGAGCAATTAAAGATGGTTTTCTCTTGGAATCATTGTGAACTGGTCCTTTATACTTTATTTCACCAGAGATTCAAAAGCAAGAAGGACGTTTCTGTATCTACTCTACCACTGGCTACTTGTGCCTCAGTTTCCTCTCTCTAAAATGAGATCATAATAGAACCTATTTCCTAGGGCTGTTGTGAGGACTAAATGAGATGAGTAACATGCCCAGCACATTCGATGGACAGAGAAAACCCTCACTAAATATTAGCTACTCAAGTTACTCCTGTTTTGTTCTTTTAGTTCACTGAGGCTCCTTTCTTCCAAAAACATCTGCCTCCACCTAGATTGATTTGAGAGGTGGTGTCAGTGTTATCTGTTGGCTTTAGATAGCAGAAGCCCATAATTCTGAGATCAGTACAGTTTAAGCCTGAATCACTGGCTTATTCATAATAGCAAATGACTTTGGAGCCTGCTGGGAAAACCCTGGTCAGGAGTCACACATGCAGAATTCCAGCCAAGCAGAAAACATGTTTGCCCCAGATAGTGACTGTCAGACACAGATTTCACTCCCAATAACTTGGGAATGAAACACAAATAAGGAAGTCTGCATTTCACATGTCTTCTTAGATTACAAATTCAGGCTTAGCACATTAGGTCAGGATGTGATAGCTCAGATGCCAGCTCTTCAGCTTTATTCCACAAGCACCGGGAGTGACTCTTTTCCAGATGATTACAGAATGTGAGTGCTGGAAGAATCCCTCATGATTATTCCATGAAACCAAATTTTTCACTTGAGAAAAGTGGTGACAGGGTATTCAGTGAATTTATCAAGGGTGGGCCAAGTAGGGGTGCTTTGTCTCTGAGATGGTTCCTTTTAAGTCATTCCTGTCAAATGCAGCGTGGCATAGACAAGGCTTTCTTAATTGCCATTCCTCACAAATGAGCATGTGCATTGACATATGTCTTGTCTGTGTGCGTGGCATGGACCATCCCAGCCAACATGCGGCTGATTCCAGATGTTAGCTTGAGGGGCCAACTCAGGTTCAGCATCAGCCAAAGCACTTGGAAATACCTAAGTGATGTCATGATCCCATTTACGCATCTGGAGGATGGAGGCCTGGAACATAAAACTCTTATTTTCCAGTCCATATTGGACCTTAGTCTAGCCTGTGTTCTTCAGACTTTGCGGCCAAAAATGTTCTCTAAAATGTCAGGTTACTATTATAAACTTTTGATTTAAAGATATTAACACACACACACACACACACACACACACACACATCCCAAACAAAAACAAGAGACCTATTTTCCATCACTGGTGCATCATTCATTAAAGGAAGGTCAGCTTAACACCAACAAAAAATTTTGTAATTGTAATCTCAGAATTTAAACATTTAAGGATTCAATATTTATGAAAATTATTGCAAAAATTCAATCTTTGTGAAAATCTCACCACATTGCATTTAGCCCTTTTGTGTTAATAGAGTCTTCTCACCTCTGTCAGATCTGAGTATGAAAACAACTGGACTAACCTGAATTTATTAATAGAATGAAGGGCATCCCTTTCTTACCTTACACAACCCATCAAGATACTTACACAGAGGGAACTTTGACCATGAAATACTGGGCACTCACTATTCCTCAAATGTTAGCCTATCATGCCTAAATAATAGTAATAACAGTAACAACAACAACAATAATAATAATAATTACTAACATTTATTAAGCATATAATACGTACAGGCATTGTCTTAAGTATATTGCGTGCGTTAATTTATCTAATCATCACAGCTGTCATGGACTGAATTACGTCCCCTTAAAATTCCTGTGTTGGGCCCTAAAGCCCTGTAGGGCCTAAGGCTCTAATGTCCTCTGATGGCATTTGGTTATAAAACCTTTAAGGAGATAATTAAGGTTAAATGAGATCATAAAGGTGGGACTTTAATCCAGTGTCTTTATAAAAAGAAGCACCAGAGTGCTGTTTCTGTACATGCACACAGAAAAGACCATGTGAGGCCAGGCACAGTGGCTCACACCTGTAATCCCAGCACTTTGGGAGGCTGAGGCTGGCGGATCACGAGGTCAGGAGATCGAGACCATCCTGGCTAACACGGTGAAACCTCGTCTCTACTAAAAATGCAAAAAATAATAATAATAATCAGCTAGGTGTGGTGGCACGCGCTTGTAGTCCCAGTTACTCTGGAGGCTGAGGCAGGAGAACCGCTTGAACCCGGGAAGCGCAGATTGCAGTGAGCCGAGATCACGCCATTGTATTCCAGCCTGGGTGACAGTGCAAGACTCTGTCTTGAAAAACAAACAAACAAACAAACAAACCATGTGAGGACATAGCAAGAAGGTGGCATCTGCAAACCAAGGACGGAGGCTTCACCAGAAAACAGCCCTGCTGATACCTTGATCTTGGACGCCCAGCCTCCAGAACTGTAAGAAAATGAATTATGTTTAAGCTACCCAGACTGGTATTTTTTTTAATGGCAGCCTAAGCAGACTATACAACAGCCCTATGGGTATATACTTTTATCAGCTCCATTTTGCTAAAGAGGACCTTGAATCTCAGAGTTGTGACTAGCATGAACAAGGTCAAATAGAAATCATGGAGCTTGGCCTTGTTTAATTCTCAGTTGGCATCCATTAAGAAGCAGGCCTTATGTTGAGATGGGAGGAAGGCCCAAGTCCTTGATCTCCTGTCTGAGCCAGTAGCTCTGTCCTTCTGAGCCACTGTACAAGACTCTGTTGTGGAATAACTGCCAGGCCAGAGGGGCTGTTATTACAAAAAGGAAAGACTAGAAAGTCCTGAACTCAGGGCTGGGCACAAAGGAGGGAGCTCAAGAAATGTGAATGGAATCTGCTGAACAAATTAATGAGCAGTATTGTCATTGGCATTCCTTTGTCTTCAACTTCATGTGTGCAGTCACAGTCCTAAGCAGACTATATATTTTTTTTCAAAAAAGAGCAGTTAGCCTAATCAAATGAGTAAACATAAGCAGAACTAATGACTGTTGGGTTCTATAAATTGTGTCTTGAAATGCTAACGGCCCTAATAAGAGCATCCACAGTAAATGAATGCACCATTAGGCTGAAAACAGGATCATCAATACCAGAATATGCCCACTCCTCCTCCTTCCCCATTTATTAGAGTTGGCTGCCCATGAGAGATACATGGTACAAGTATTCAGGTAACCCTATCATGCGGTTTTTACTTGTATTACTCACAGTGATTTGTATGTATAGTAATCCTTCCCCAACCACAGATTCTCTTTTTATGAAATTCTGGTATCCTTGAATTTATTTCTGTATACTTGGAGAATTTCTGTTCTAGGATATTCAGGTTTTTGAGTCACTGCTGTTGGGTATAATTTAGAAATAGAGAAACTGGTGGGTGGTAGGAGAAAAGAGTAGAAGGCAGAACAGGAGATGTTTCACAATGCAGCCTTGGCAGAAGACCTGGGAGTGCCTTCTCCTGTTCACGTCTGCTCTGGGAAGGGAATTGAGATGTGCTGACCTAAGCTCAGAACTCTAGGCCAGGGACTGAAGAGCTCTGCTGTCTATCATGCTCTATTTTTAAGGGAGCTAAGAATTGGACCCCTACAGAGCTCTTTTGAGTAAGTTAAATAAAGATTCCTGCAAGTGTTTCAAACTTCCCGCTTACTGTGTCTCTGGCACCACGGTGGAAGTGGTGAAGCAGGATCACAGGTGACATAAATCAGAAAGGCTCTGAATATTTGATTGGAGGACAAGATAGGGAGGAAAGTGAATTTACTGCACCAGAGGGGGAACATTACAAATGCCTTATTGAAACTGTGGAGAGGGAGATTCTGAAGATTTTTGTATTCAAGGCTAGCAAATGGGAATTAACTAACATGGAAATCATTATTACTATAACTTATACAAAACGCTGTTGATATTCTACTTATGTGTGTGTGATGTTTTTATATTAGAAAAGACTTTGCTTTTATTAAAGTTACACATTTCTATTGACATTTCAATACACACGCCTGCACACGCACGCGCGCGTGCACACACACACACACACACACACATATATGTGAATGACTCAAAATAATCCAGAAACTACTATTGTTAAATTTAGGTCAACATCACTTTAGAGCTGTATCTATAAGCTATCTTCACTGTAACTAGAAAGATGGATGGCAAGTCAAAACTAATTTTAGAAAGATGTGATCACGGTAATCTTTAACACATTAATTTAATTGTGTTAAATGTAAAGGAAGAAAAATAAATGAATATAAATGGAAGGAATTGCTACATTTGATAAATGCTTCTTCACCACAAGATATACTCTTTCCTGGAAGATTATTTTAAGATTAAGAAATAATTTTATAGAAACAATGAGATTTAAATCACTATTTTAAAAGTCACACTTCGATTTTAAATAGTACCAATTAACCCCTTGCTATGAAAGATGAGGAAGTTGGTATACTTGACTATTTCTAATATTTCTTCACCTTTCCCCACCTCCCAATTTTTACTACTTTTAATTTCTTTTTTTATTTTAAGGTTTATAACTTGTTTTGGTTTTATTTATGTATTTAAAAGAATGTAACAATTCTTGGTTGCTTTATCACAATTTCTCCTTACCAAATTCATTAATTTATCTCTTAGTTGATTGAATTTTGTTATCAAAAAACTTTCCCCTCTAGAAGGACTCTCTCCCTTCCCTGAGATTCTAGTACATTCAGGAGAACCTCAGCCTATGAATATAGCTATAGAGAAGTCTGAAGCTAACCTATGTTTTCTTTTGAGGTGATTTATTTATTCTATTTGCTGGCTGAATAATTCTTTCTTTATCTTTGAAATTCAACAATTTCACCAGGCTATGCCTTTGCCCCTGCTGATTCTTCCTTCATTTTAAGAAATTTTTTTATTATAAGCTCTCTGAATATCTTTTTTGTTTGTTTGTTAGTTTTTGTTTTTGGATAGAGCCTCTAACTTAGGGATGCTAGTAATCCTCCATATACTATTGTGAGCCGTTTCTTTGTTCAGAACTTATTTTCCATGTATTTTCTCCATGTTAATAGTTCAGTTTTAAACTCTATCAATTATTTAGCCATTTCTTTTTTATTTACTAGTTTTATCTGTCAGTATCTGCAGAGATCTGTCAGTATCTGCAGAGAATTTGTACCAGGACTCCTGGGGATACTGGGGATCTAAGTCCCTTAGACAAAATGGTATAATCTGTGCTCATTCTCCTGTATATTTTAAATTATCTCTAGATTACTTGTGGTACCTACTACACTGTAAATAACTTATACTGTATTATTTTTATTGTTGCATTTAAAAAATGTTTTTGATCCATGGTATGTTGAATCTGCACATGTGGAAACCATGAAAACAGAGGGCCAACTGTATTGTTACTTTGATCCACAATTTGTTTCCTGAACTCGGCAATCTCCCTTTTATATATTATTCCATTATATTTGGCTTTTGAGCTTTTGTATTATTGAATTCTTTTGGAAGTTAAATCCTTACGGATAACTTTCTTCTATTTCTTGGGGTACATTTTTTTCCACGTGGAGCTCTTTTTCTGTCTTTTTCATGCTATGCTGCTATATTTCTTTCTTGTTTTTTCTAAGGCAATTGAGAATGAATTTGCATATTTGCCCTGCCGTTTCTTTTCATTTGTGCTCACATTTAAGGGCAGCTCTGTACAGACCTCTTGTTTGCTCTAATGTGGGCTGGGTAATTCCTCCTTGACTCTGCCCACTTTGTCTGAGGTTCATTTGTCTTTATACCCAAGCCACAGTTTAATTGCCTGGATATGTCTCCTATCTCCCTTTCTGTAACTGTGGAGGAGGGCTGGAAAGTACAGATGCATCGGTGTACAGGCTTTGATGCACTATCACTGTCTTCTCTCTCTCTTAGACTTTGTTAAATACTCGCAACCAGGGCTGGTCTTCCTTGGTTTGAGGTAGTGGTGGGGTAAAGCCTTGGTATTCAAATTGTTTTCCTGCCTCAGAGTGGAGATCTGCAGTTTATGTTTCCATACGGGCATCAGCCCTGAAAAGAAAAATATTTTTAAAAATACCCTCTCAGCATGCTCCTTTCCAGCCCTCCAGATAAAGGGGTCTAGAGGAATTTCTCAGAACTCTAGCTCACTAGTGCTGCTGCCACTGGCTCCATGGACCTCACCCCTTGCCCCAGTGCAAACACTCTCCCCTGGCTGAGCACCCCTACTGAGGGCCTGCTCTTTGTTCCTTGCCTGCCCCACATTTTCTTTCAACTTGAGGCCTTTCCAATATTGATCCCTCTGCCTGGATTGCACCTCCCTTTCTTCCCTCCTCATTCCCTAAGTCAGTCTCACCTGACCCGTCATGTCCCCAGGGAGTCTTGCTGACCCCTCCAATGAGACAGAGTCCCTGTTATTTGCATGCACAGCTCTCTGCTCCCCATGGTAAGTATTTTGCTGCTTCTCCAGGTTGTGGTGTGTGGTTACACTTTTCCAGGACTTCCCTTTGATGGGTAAATCTAGAAGCAGGCCCATTTCTAGGGCTGCTTATTTCCATAATCCTTCTCTACCTGCGACTCCCTCAGCCCCCACTTTTTTTTAGCTGCATTTTAGAAACTTTAAGCTTAGGTCACCTGTGAGGAAAAATTGGCTTTCCTTTTTTAGTTTTTTAAAGGTCACACTCTCAATGAGCTTAATGTTGGGACCAAAAAGACAACACGGGGGGCCAGGGAAGACTGTGATTTATGGTGCTGGGACACTAGCCCAGCACTCAGGGGGTGATCCAGGGAGCAGGCGGGCTGCTCTTGGAGAAGATGACGGCCTGGAGTCTGTTTTCAGGGCCCTGCTCTGTAGGAGTCTCTCATTTCAAGCCATAGGCTGTGGGGCCTTGGCTTTGCCTCTGAGAGAGCCAACCACGCACAGCTCTCTGTGCGCAAAGGACACATGCTGGTCCCAGGACGACATTGCCAAGCCTCCGGTCAGTATGGCAAAGGCAAGTTTGTTTCAGTTCTTGTTTCCTGAGAAAAAGAGGTTGAAGCAAGACAACCATGCCACAAATACTGAGTGAGCATCTGCTACGTGTCAGGCCCTGTCCTAAGCATTTTGAGCACAAGTACAAGGTGATCCCTGCACAGCGGAAGGGTCTTTCCTAGTGCTTTGGCTTCCAAGGTAAATGGCCTCAAAATCCCTGGGGCTCACAGCCTTCAAGTGCCTGCCTAAAGGGAACAGAGTGTGTAGAGTCTGAAAGGGGAGGAGACGGGGAGCCTTGTTGTCTTGTCTCACCCTCTCCACACTGTGAGTTCCCTGAGGGCAAGGCCTGTGTCATTCACCTCTCTACTCACAGTGAGGCAGGAAATGGAACAAAATCTCACCCACTTCCTTATTGCTGTATTTGCTTCCCTGGGTGCTTGAATTCCATCCCTTCTGACCTAAACCACACTGACCCCACTGTCACAGCCCCTGAATACTGGATTTCTAACCCTCATTTCCCTCCAGTGTTTGAGGCTGACTGATGGACTCCCCACTGCCAGCTCCACCAGCCCTGGCCCATCCTCATGTGTCACCTGCCTTGTGAGCTTTTCTGAAAGCTTCTCCTGAGAGTGCACTTGTTCCCAACAGGCATCTCAAAGTCCAGAATGATGTCCTGCCTGGTTGGAAGGGGTCCTGTTCCCCAGTAATCCCCATTAAGAGGTTGCTAGTCTGCAGTTCTTGCTCTGTCTGTTTCTAAGCCAAAACAGCACAGGCAGTTGGCTGCCCTGCTGCCAAAGCAAGGCCTGGGAAGCAATCCAGCCTCATCCTGATGTTAGACGAGCAAGTCCTGGGGAAACAGATAGATCTCATCCTGGCCTCAGAGGGGACAGCTAAATTGTCAAACAGCACACTAATGGGGGCTGCTGACTGCACAGGTATCTCTGGGTTATAAATGCCCAGCACCAGAGAGCCTCCTAAGTCACCAGAGGACAACTTTATGATCCAGAAAGTAAAGAACTGGAACAAGATCAGCTTGTGACAGGGATCAATTGATCGGGGACTGGAGAGAGCTTGGCCCGGGAGTTCAGAACTCCATAAAACTTCCAAGCTCAGCACTTTCTTGGGGGACCTGCACTGGCCCCAGTACAAGGAGCCCAGAAAACTGACTGAGAGCTCTGGAGGGATGTACAGTGTTGGCCTGCAGCATAGATGAGGGCTAGGAAGGAGCTTCCCTGAACTTCCCCAGTTCATTCTGTCACTACTCTCAGCCCAGTTGATTATGAGCCTCCTTTTTGGAAAAGATTTCAGTGGCTCCCCATCACCCTTAAATGTCAGACTAGTCTCCTTGGCATGGCAATCAGGACTTCGTGAGATCTTAGGTTGATGAGCTTGCCAGCTTCATTCACATCTTACAGGGTTTCTACCTCTGTGTTCCAGCCACATTTAAAGTCTTGGGTTTCCCCAGTTGTGATGTAAACTGTCACCTCTGGGCTGTCATACAAGCTGTTGATTTCTTTAGCCTTGAAGGCCATTCTTCCCCACTTTCTATTCATTTGGATTTCTTTCACTGAACCTTCAGGTTTTAGCCCAGATGCCATCTCTTCCATGAAGCCCTCCGGGGTTAGGTACCCCTTCCATGTGCACATAATACGTTCTGTCATGGCACTTGTCACACAGTGTATTTGCATCTTCTGTTTACTTGTCTATCTCCCCAGCAAGATCTTTGTGGGGTGGAGTGGGAAAGGATGTTTATCATTTTATTTATTGTTTTATTCCTAAGCCATCATGCTGCGTCTGACACATGGAGAATATTTGTTGAACAAATAAGCGAATGAATGAATAAATAAATAATATGATAAATATATGAAATATCATGATAGTGGGAAAAAAGTTGGACCCTCCCAGGGCATCCCCTCTCCCTGTCTGCACTGCTTTTGACCCCTGCCCAGCAGGCATCTGAAGCTCTTGAGATACAGTCATCACCCACTGATGCCACATCCCCATCTTCTGTCATCCCGTGCCTGGGAATGTTCTTCTTCCTCACAGTACTTCCAGACTCCTCAAGTCATAGCCTCTTCCACGAAGGACCCTGGAATTTCTTGTCTGGCAAAATACCCATTGTGCCTGCCCCACCCTCAAGGTCTCTCAGTATTCCTTGCATAGCTCTGTCTTCATTTATTATTTTTTTAGAACTGAGGTCTTACTATGTTGCCCAGGCTGGCATTGAACTCCTAGGCTCAAGTGATCCTCCTGCCTCAGCCTCCCATGCAGCTGGGACTTCAGGCACATGCCACAGTGCCCAGCCTATATAGCTATATCTAAGCACTTTCTTTGTTACATTTTCATTGCATATTTTAATGTTTCATTATGGTTTTCTAAAACTTTTTATTGAGATAATTATGTATTCTCACGAAGTTTTAAGAAATATTAAGAAAAACCCATTTACCCTTCATCCAGTTTATGCTAATGGTAACACCTCATGTAACTATAGTACCAAATCATAATCAGGAAATTAACTTTGATACAATTGATTGACTTTAGTCAGATATCACCAGTTTTACATACACTTGTGTGTGTGTGTGTGTGTGTGTGTGTGTATTTAGATCTGTTCAGTTTTATCACATGTAGAGTTGTATGACTACCGCCATAGTCAAGACACAGAACAGTTTCATCACAAGCTTCCCTGGTGATACCCTTTTATAGCCATGGCCAGCACCTTTCCTCCTTCTTCTCCCTGATCACTGACAATCAATGTGTTCTTGATCTCTATAATTTTGTCATTACAAGGTGCTGTATAAATGGAATCATATGGTATGTTACCTTCAGGGATGGGCTTTTTTTTCACTCAACATAATCTCAACCTGGATGGATCTCATTTCCATACAAGTTGTTGTGAATATTAATGGTCCATTCCTTTTATTGCTGAGTAGCATTCTATGGTATGGATGTACTACAGATTGCTTCACCATTCATCCATTGAGAGACATTTGTGTTGTTTCCAGTTTTGGGCAATTAAGAATGAAGCTGCTATAACATTCATGTACATGTTTTTTTATGTGAACATATATTTTGTTTTCATTTTTCTAGAGATGACTAATGAGCATATGAAAGGAAGTTTAACATCATTAGCCATTAGAAAAGTACAAATTAAGACAAATGCAAATTAAGACCACAATGATATATCACTACACAGCAAACAGAATGGCTAAAATAAAAAAAATGATTACAACAAATGCTGGTGAGAATGGAAAAACTGGATTACATCCATTGCTAGTGGGAATATAAAATGGTACAACCACTTTAAAAAAGAATATCACTGTTTCTTACAAACCTAAACATGTGCATATCATGTGACCCAGCAATTGAAGTCTTGATAATTTTAATTGTATTTTAAAACAAGTTTTTAAAAATGTATATGTAATTCATATTCATGGTAGAAGTAGAAATACAAATAAACATAAAGAAACTATCTCCTATAATACTGCTATGTAGACATAACTACTACTAATATATTGGTATAATGTGCATGTATTATTTTGATAAAAAATTATGCCATAATGCTTTATGACTTTTTTTTACAATATATCATTTCTCTCCTTCATGTGAATGGATGTCCATGCTATCATGTTAACATTTGCCTTATATTAAATTTAGCAACTTATTTCACTAAACTTAGACATCTAGGTAATTTCAATCTCCTAATAATAATCAACAATATCTACTAATTAGGTTCCTTATTTACATATTTTTGGTAACTTAATGAATAATATTCTTTTATTTATTTATTTATTTGAAAACAGGGTATCACTCTGCCACCCAGGTGGGAGTGCAGTGGTGCAATCATGGCTCACTGCAGCCTCATCCTCCCAGGCTTGGGCAATCCTCCAACTTCAGCCTCCCAAGTAGCTGGGACTGCAGGCACACAACACCACACCCAGCCAATTTTTTGTAGAGATGGGGTTTTGCCATGTTACCCAGGCTACTCTTGAGCACTTGGGTTCAAGTGATCTGTCCACCTCAGTTTCCCAAAGTGCTGGGATTTACAGCCATGCGCCACCATGCTGGGCCATAATAGATAATATTCTTAAGATAAATCCAACACGTAGAAGTTTTGGATTAAAGTTTTTCTCATTTTTAAGGCTTTTAATAAAAATTCCCAATGGCTGTTTAGCAATGCTATACTGATGAGCCCTTCATATCCCAGCTGCCCATGAGAGTGACTGCTTCTTCCTAGTATTTCCAACAATGATCATTGTAATTCTTTTGATTATTTGTTAGTCTGATAGCTGAAAAACGTTAAATCTTAGTTATATTAATTTGGATCTTAAAAATTGATTGCCAGTTGGACTAAAAAACTTATTTGTATTTCTTCTATCTTGAATGCCTGTTCATATTCTTTACCCATTTTTCTATTTAGTTGCATGAATAAACCTTTGTCATGTATATTTCATTTCTTTTGAGTGTCATAATTTGTTTTAGGCCTGTAGTTTTTTAGCAAAATTTAACATTTTTAATGTAGTTTGATCTATCAGTCTTTTTCCTTATGTGCTTTTCCCTTTGGTTCCTTCTTTGGAAGTTCCTCCTCACTCTAAAGTTGTATAAATGGTCATCTGTGTTTTATCATACTACTTTTATGGCACAATTTTTAATTTAAGTATTTAATCCAGCAGGGATTCATTTAGGGATTGGATATAAAGTAGGGATTTAGCTTGTTTCCCAGTAGCTAACTTGTGTCTCAGCCTCATTCCTTGGGAAATTGATCCTTCACCACTGATTGAAAAGGTCTCCTTTGTTATTGTCTATGTTTCATCACTTCTCAGGTCTGCTGTCTCTCAGAAATGTCTAAAGCCACCTTATTCAGCTTGTGAATAGCCTGCATTCTCTCTGACATTATCTTAATTTTCCAGGATATGTCTGGGGTCTCCTTCTGGTGATTTTTCCTGGTGAGCTCATCTGTCTGTAGGCAGAAACCTTTATCTTTAATTCAGTAACATTTTATTACACTATGTCTTTCATTTCTCTTCTTTATTTGTGGTACATTCTATTTTAGGAATCTTTATTGTCTGCCTGTGGTTCTTCATTCTCTCTGTTTTCCAAATCTTTCACCTTCTGCCCAATTGTTTTAATTTCTTTCATATTTGCTTTCTACATTACTGACTTGATGTTCTGAAGCTTCAGTACTACTCTTTCCTCCCTGCAAAGTGGCTTTGTTTCTGCTATAACGTTTTTAGTTTCCTTACTATTCTTCCGTTTTGGATAAACCTTCCTTTTCATCTAAACCTGCTTATTTTCCTCTCTTGTGACTTTCTCTCCCTCTGACTTAGAGGTCATGCCTTCTTGTGCACTCCTGAAAAAGCAAACAGTTTCCTGAATTTTTCTTCTCAATTCTGCAGTATCTCATTTTTAGAGGTATGCTCTTCCTCTCACACAGTAGAATGGTGTTCCCATTCCTGCAGTAGCTGGTATTTTCCCTATTCTATTTTAAGCAAAATGGACTTTGCTGAGACCCAGTGAGGTTTTATAGGCGGGGTTAATAGCTTATTCTAGGACTCCATTTCTGCTCTCTTTCAGGGTGATTTAATTATCTTCTCAGTTTGCACCAGCTGTGGAGGAGATCAATGTGTGTAGGTCTTAGTTCAATTTCTCATACCTGAAATGCTTTCTCTTGATGTATCTCTGCTCTGCTCAGGTGGCACGGCAGATCTAAAGCATCTGGTTCTTCAGTTCTTCTGGTCTGATGCAATATGTGAAAAATACAGTTTCCTGCATGCACCACTTCTGGGTCATGACTGTCTTTACCCCCTCTCACAGAGTGCTTTTCCCATAGGACCACTTCTAGGTTCTCAGAAGGCATTGCACCATTTCTAGTCCTTGGGTAGCTATGCTGTGTATAGATGTTTTCTGGGCAAGGAAGAGAATGTAAGTCATGAAGTGAAAACTTTCTTGACTCACAACATAGCCCAGTTCCTCATTGGTAGTAGCCCTGGGTCTCTAAGGCAGGGCAGAAGCTGGACTTTATTACCTTTTTCTTCATGCAATCTCTGTTTTAGGCAGTAGAGTTAGGATGAGCATGTACTAAGTCTGGGGAGGTTTTCTCAAACCATCTCTGATGCAGATACCACCCATTCTGACACTGGGTTATATGTCAGTATTAAAGATAGGTTGTTGTGAAGTTTCAACATTTTTCTGACACTATAATAAATTTGCTAAAAAATGTGTGAATGCTTTGGGGATACCATCCCCATTTTGAGCTAGAAACTTCTTAATATATTGCGTTAAATCATTTATTCATTTATCTGTCTTTTCCTCCACCATTTGTCTGTGAGGCTTTGAAAGAATTATAATTCACCACTACATCAACAGTGCCTAACACAGTGTCTCATTCATAATATTTGATAGATTTTTAAAATTTATACTGGGATGAGATTGCCAAGGGAGAGAAAGTAGAGAGAGAAAAAGGGATCAAGGATAGGCACTGGGCTTTGAGGGACATGATGGCGACAGGAGGAAGAAGATAAGCCAGGAAGGGAAACAAAGAAGTCACAGTCAGAGAGGCAGGAAGAGAGCAGAGCCGGAAGCACAAGGCTGCACAGGCTGACTGGGCTGGGAAGACAGGTCCATGGCATCAGTGTCAGCCAGGTGGCTATGCAGGGTAGTGAGTCAAGTAAACCCGATACCTGGTCAGTCACTGGTGATGGTTAATTTCAGAACCATGATGGAGACAACCCCTTCCCTAGTTGGAAGGCTGAGTGGGTTGAGAAAGTGGAAGCAGTTAGGCATAGATTTAAAAACAAAAGGGAAAGAAAAAAAGAGAGCTTGAGAGAAAATCAGCATGCCGGAAGGTTTTTTGAGTTACTGTTGTTGGAATGGGGAAGATTTGATCAGCTTCATATCTTAAGGGAAGGTGATTGTGACTAGAAACAGCAATTTGCCAGACAGAGAAGGGATATTTGAAAAAGCCATTCTGAGTCTAATCTGAAGAGGATAAAATCAGATATGAGGAGAGAAGGGATGGTCTGAAAATTCCTTGAGAACAAGGGCTGCTTCTTACCAGAACTGGTGAGGGCCCCAAGCAAGGAAAGTGCAGGTGACTTGGATGCAGAAATACTGTGGACTGTGGTAAAAATATATTCAGGTGAGAAGGAAAGACGGTGAGCTGCTCACTCCTCACCTCCTGCATCTTAGTAAAGGAGGAAGGATCATCTTCAGAGGAGAAGAAGGGCTGGGCACAGCCCAGGCTTTATGAAGAAGGAAAAAGAAGGATGAGAGGATTGCCTGGCAGCTCCCAGGCCCAGGCTAGGAGCAGAAGAAGCTTGTAGACATGTTATGGGGCAGTACTACCAGAGAGCCTATAAAGCGTCTTGCCTCAGGTGGCCTTGTGACTCTGTGGTAACATTGACTGGCTTTCTGGGAGGCTAAGGAAAGCTTTTAAAAGTGGCCTTGATTAAGCCAGGAAGGAGGATCTCCCTTGGACCAAGGTCTGCTCTTTCTCACTTTTCTTGCAGGGTATTGCTCCATACTTCTGTCTCCAAAGATGTTAAGTACATAGGCTGCAGGCACACAATGCACTCTGTGGAGATGCTCCTTGTCCTGGGTCCTCTGGTCCCCAGGCTGGTACTCACCAGACATGGAAAGTAGTTCTCTCACCCCTATGCATCCTGCCCACCTCCTCACTGGAAATTTACTTCTCCAGGAACTAACTTGAATCTTTCAACTAGACTGGCTTAGCACTGCCAGCTGGATAAGAAAGCTGCATGTGAAAAACCTAGCTTTGAAATGGAAAGATAGCCTGCTGTTGAAAAATGAGGTCTCTCTTAATTAGAGAATTAATCAATTAATAAATACAGCATCTTTTGACAGACTTCTGTGTGTCAGGTGTTGACACCATAGAGGTGATGAGGCATCATCTCTGCCCATGAGAAGGGTACATATAGCTCAATACAGGAAACTGACAGAAAGACCTTTAAGAGGGAAAAAAATCATTCCATGGGGGAAATAGTCCATTTAAATGAGAGGCAGAGGGATAGATTAAGTGACAGCTGAAGCCCTATCCCAAGCAAGTCATTTTATTATAAAACAGGACCTGCAAATTGGCTTTTCTTTTTCGTATTCTTCCTCACCTTTTCAAACAAATAATTAATCATGCAAAAATAACGCAACACATTCTAGAACTCAATTCCTAGTACTACTCTCCAGAGTACTTGAACCGTGTCCTGGGGTTGGCATTGTTACAAAAACTCTTGATGAGAATAATGCCTGATATTGTGCAATTGTGTGCAGTTGGCCCGTCTTGCATGGTTCTGTGTATGCACATCAATTACACACATTTGTTATAATTTGCCTTTTTAAAAATCACACCTTCTATTTCACCCCAAGAAGATAAATGGATCCTGCCTCAGTCCCAGTTCCATTGATTTTTTGTGGTCCTATGGTGAAGCTATTATCAACACTAATCTCAAACCCTGCCAGGAGCCAGGAAGGCCTTAGAATACAGAACACCAATTTCTGCAACTTCCACCTTATTTTTCTTTTCATAGACTTTTGTTCTGACTCCCCTCCTCATCTCATTTTCAAATATGATTTGATTATCATCATGTGAGGTCTGTTCAGCTGGCTCGGAGCAGACACCTTTTCCATGTATCTGGCCTGGAGGAGGAGGGTGTCAGAGGCCTTTCCTGATTGAGTGCTGATCCTCCTTGGGGCAGGGTGTTCTTGCAACTTTGAAGACTCACTCCATGGCCTCTGTCTCCAGCAGTGTGAAGCATGAACAGCCAGGCGGGGGAGCCTGCACCTTCCATCTTGCAGCTCTCCAAATTACTTTTCTGGGGAGGAGAGGAAGAAAAGAAGAAATGGGGGATTGGAATCAAGAGGCTACAAGGCATCTGGGAGGTTGCTAACAGTGAGCTCTGTGTTTGAAGATGGGGTGGCAGTGGCGATGTGTCCAGGGCTTGCAGGGATAAATGTCGGCTGGTCCCCTGCCTCCATCTCCCAGGGCTGTTCTATAGCCTCATGGCTGTCAAACACTCCCACCTGCTGCTGGACCCATGACCACACTCAGGACTTTAAAAGATCATATGCCAATTTAAAGTATTGACAAATTTTGAGAAGGTAAAACATTCAGTTCATTAAAATATTTCCAAAGGGCATATAGCAAAGCCTTCCCTCACCACTAACCCCAGGCCCAATGGCCTCCCAGAGCACCACTCTCACTGGCTTTTGTGGAGGCTTCCAGGGACAGCCTAGGTGTCGGGCATGCACTCAGTTCTTCCCTTTGCTGCTGCTGCTGCTGCTTCCTTCTTGCCTCCTCTATGTTATCCTTCTCTTCCTCCTCCTTCTTTCCTCATAATGTATCTTATAGATGATTCCATACCAAGACTCATAAACCTGCCTCATTATAAAGAGTTGCATAGTATCCTCATGTATGGATGTACCATAACTTATTTAACTAGTCTCCTATTAATAGTTGTTGTGGTTGTTTTCCATCTTTTTGTCATCAAAAAGAATGCTGTCCAAAAGAACTGAAAGCAGAGACTTGAACATATCATTTGTACAGCAACATTCACAGCAGCATTATTCACAATAGGCAAAAGGTAGGAACAATCCAACTCTTCATCAAGAGATGAATCGATAAACAAAATGTGGTATATATATTGAATGGCATACTATCCAGCCATAAAAATGAATGAAATGTTGATGTATGCTGTAATATGGATGGACCTTGAAAACAATATTCAGTACTGACATGTTTTGGGTCTATGTCCCCACCCAAATCTCCTCTCAAATTGTAATCTCCATGGGTCCAGAGAGGGAGGTGATTGAATTATGGGGGCATTTATTGATTTGCATATATTGAACCAGCCTTGCATCCCAGGGATGAAGCCCACTTGATCATGGTGCATAAGCTTTTTGATGTGCTGCTGGATTCGTTTTGCCAGTATTTTATTGAGGATTTTTGCATCAATGTTCATCAAGGATATTGGTGATATTGGTCTAAAATTCTCTTTGTTGGTTGTGTCTCTGCCCGGCTTTGGTATCAGAATGATGCTGGCCTCATAAAATGAGTTAGGGAGGATTTCCTCTTTTTCTATTGATTGGAATAGTTTCAGAAGGAATGGTACCAGTTCCTCCTTGTACCTCTGGTAGAATTTGGCTGTGAATCCATCTGGTCCTGGACTCTTTTTGGTTGGTAAGCTATTGATTATTGCCACAACTTCAGATCCTGTTATTGGTCTATTCAGAGATTCAACTTCTTCCTGGTTTAGTCTTGGGAGAGTGTATGTGTGAAGGAATTTATCCATTTCTTCTAGATTTTCTAGTTTATTTGCGTAGAGGTGTTTGTAGTATTCTCTGATGGTAGTTTGTATTTCTGTGGGATCAGTGGTGATATCCCCTTTATCATTTTTTATTGCGTCTATTTGATTCTTCTCTCTTTTTTTCTTTATTAGTCTTGCTAGCGGTCTATCAATTTTGTTGATCCTTTCAAAAAACCAGCTCCTGGATTCACTAATTTTTTGAAGGGTTTTTTGTGTCTCTATTTCCTTCAGTTCTGCTCTGATTTTAGTTATTTCTTGCCTTCTACTAGCTCTTGAATGTGTTTGCTCTTGCTTTTCTAGCTCTTTTAATTGTGATGTTAGGGTGTCAATTTTTGATCTCTCCTGCTTTCTCTTGTAGGCATTTAGTGCTATAAATTTCCCTCTACACACTGCTTTGAATGTGTCCCAGAGATTCTGGTATGTTGTGTCTTTGTTCTCGTTGGTTTCAAAGAACATCTTTATTTCTGCCTTCATTTCGTTACGTACCCAGTAGTCATTCAGGAGCAGGTTGTTCAGTTTCCATGTAGGTGAGCGGTTTTGAGTGAGATTCTTAATCCTGAGTTCTAGTTTGATTGCACTGTGGTCTGAGAGATAGTTTGTTACAATTTCTGTTCTTTTACCTTTGCTGAGGAGAGCTTTACTTCCAAGTATGTGGTCAATTTTGGAATAGGTGTGGTGTGGTGCTGAAAAAAATGTATATTCTGTTGATTTGGGGTGGAGAGTTCTGTAGATGTCTATTAGGTCTGCTTGGTGCAGAGCTGAGTTCAATTCCTGGGTATCCTTGTTGACTTTCTGTCTCGTTGATCTGTCTAATGTTGACAGTGGGGTGTTAAAGTCTCCCATTATTAATGTGTGGGAGTCTAAATCTCTTTGTAGGTCACTCAGGACTTGCTTTATGAATCTGGGTGCTCCTGTATTGGGTGCATACATATTTAGGATAGTTAGCTCTTCTTGCTGAATTGATCCCTTTACCATTATGTAATGGCCTTCTTTGTCTCTTTTGATCTTTGTTGGTTTAAAGTCTGTTTTATCAGAGACTAGGATTGCAACCCCCGCCTTTTTTTGTTTTCCATTTGCTTGGTAGATCTTCCTCCATCCTTTTATTTTGAGCCTATGTGTGTCTCTGCACGTGAGATGGGTTTCCTGATACAGCACACTGATGGGTCTTGACTCTTTATCCAATTTGCCAGTCTGTGTCTTTTAATTGGAGCATTTAGTCCATTTACATTTAAAGTTAATAGTGTTATGTGTGAATTTGATCCTGTCATTATGATGTTAGCTGGTTATTTTGCTTGTTAGTTGATGTAGTTTCTTCCTAGTCTCGATGGTCTTTTCATTTTGGCATGATTTTGCAGCAGCTGGTACTGGTTGTTCCTTTCCATGTTTAGCGCTTCCTTCAGAAGCTCTTTTAGGGCAGGCCTGGTGGTGACAAAATCTCTCAGCATTTGCTTGTCTGTAAAGTATTTTATTTCTCCTTCACTTATGAAGCTTAGTTTGGCTGGATATGAAATTCTGGGTTGAAAATTCTTTTCTTTAAGAATGTTGAATATTGGCCCCCACTCTCTTCTGGCTTGTAGGGTTTCTGCCGAGAGATCTGCTGTTAGTCTGATGGTCTTCCCTTTGAGGGTAACCCGACCTTTCTCTCTGGCTGCCCTTAACATTTTTTCCTTCATTTCAACTTTGGTGAATCTGACACTTATGTGTCTTGGAGTTGCTCTTCTCCAGGAGTATCTTTGTGGCGTTCTCTGTATTTCCTGAATCTGAACGTTGGCCTGCCTTGCTAGATTTGGGAAGTTCTCCTGGATAATATCCTGCAGAGTGTTTTCCAACTTGGTTCCATTCTCCCCATCACTTTCAGGTATACCAATCAGAGGTAGATTTTGTCTTTTCACATAGTCCCATATTTCTTGGAGGCTTTGCTCGTTTCTTTTTATTCTTTTTTCTCTAAACTTCCCTTCTCGCTTCATTTCATTCATTTCATCTTCCATTACTGATACCCTTTCTTCCAGTTGATTGCATCGGCTCCTGAGGCTTCTGCATTCTTCACGTAGTTCTCGAGCCTTGGTTTTCAGCTCCATCAGCTCCTTTAAGCACTTCTCTGTATTGGTTATTCTAGTTATATATTCTTCTAAATTTTTTTCAAAGTTTTCAACTTCTTTGCCTTTGGTTTGAATGTCCTCCCATAGCTCAGAGTAATTTGATCGTCTGAAGCCTTCTTCTCTCAGCTCATCAAAGTCATTCTCCGTCCAGCTTTGTTCCGTTGCTGGTGAGGAGCTGCGTTCCTTTGCAGGAGGAGAGGCGCTCTGCTTTTTAGAGTTTCCATTTTTTCTGTTCTGTTTTTTCCCCATCTTTGTGGTTTTATCCACTTTTGGTCTTTGATGATGGTGATGTACAGATGGGTTTTTGGTGTGGATGTCCTTTCTGTTTGTTAGTTTTCCTTCTAACAGACAGGACCCTCAGCTGCAGGTCTGTTGGAGTACCCTGCAGTGTGAAGTGTCAGTGTGCCCCTGCTGGGGGGTGCCTCCCAGTTAGGCTGGTCAGGGGTCAGGGTCAGGGACCCACTTGAGGAGGCAGTCTGCCCATTCTCAGATCTCTAGCTGCGTGCTGGGAGAACCACTGCTCTCTTCAAAGCTGTCAGACAGGGACATTTTAGTCTGCAGAGGAGACTGCTGTCTTTTTGTTTGTCTGTGCCCTGCCCCCAGAGGTGGAGCCTACAGAGGCAGGCAGGCCTCCTTGAGCTGTGGTGGGCTCCACCCAGTTAGAGCTTCCTGGCTGCTTTGTTTACCTAAGCAAGCCTGGGCAATGGTGGGCGCCCCTCCCCCAGCCTCGCTGCTGCCTTGCAGTTTGATCTCAGACTGCTGTGCTAGCAATCAGCGAGACTCCGTGGGTGTAGGACCCTCCGAGCCAGGTGCGGGATATAATCTCCTGGTGCGCTGTTTTTTAAGCCCGTCGGAAAAGCGCAGTATTCGGGTGGGAGTGTCCCGATTTTCCAGGTGCCGTCCATCACCCCTTTCTTTGATTAGGAAAGGGAACTCCCTGACCCCTTGTGCTTCCCGAGTGAGGCAATGCCTTGCCCTGCTTCGGCTCGCGCACGGTGCACGCACCCACTGACCTGCGCCCACTGTCTGGCACTCCCTAGTGAGATGAACCCAGTACCTCAGATGGAAATGCAGAAATCACCTGTCTTCTGTGTCGCTCAGGCTGGGAGCTGTAGACCGGAGCTGTTCCTATTCGGCCATCTTGGCTCCTCCCCACATCTGATGGTTTTATAGGCATCTGGTATTTCTCCTGCTCACTCTTCTCTCTCCTGCCAACTTTTGAAGAAGGTCCTTGCTTCCCCTTCACCTTCCGCCATGATTGTAAGTTTCCTGAGGCCTCCCCAGCCATGTGGAACTGTGAGTCAATTAAACCTCTTTCCTTTATAAATTAACCAGTCTTAGGTATTTCTGTACAGCAGTGTAAGAACGGACTAATACAAGTACTAAGTGAAAGAAGCCAGACACAGAAGGACAAATATTGTATGATTCCACTTATATGGGGAAGAAGAGGCAAATTCATAGAGACAGAAAGTAGAACAGAGGTTACTACGGGCAGATGGGGAGTTATTGTTTAATGAGTACAGAATTTCGTGTTGGGGATGATGAAAATGTTCTGGATATAGATAGTGGTGGTGGTGATATAATATTGTGAATGGATTTAATGCAACTAAGTTATATTCTTACAAATGGTTAAAATGATAAATATTTAGTTACAGTATTTTGCACCATAAAAATGACAATAAAAGATTGAAATGTTTTGCCAAAGCCTAAGAAAGAGAATGATGCAAAGTAGCATATACCTGTAATCCTAGCTACTTGGGAGGCTGAGAGAGGAAGATTGCTTAACCCCAAAAGTTCAAGTGCAGTCTGGGCAACATAGTGAGACACTGTTTCTAAAAAGAGAGAGAATGAGAGGAGAATGCTGCAGTGAACATCCTTGTACAATAGAGTGCTCTGTAGGAATCCAAATATATCTATACGGTACATTCCCAGAAATGGGGTTACAAAGTGGGAAAGTGTATGCATTTTAAATTTTGATATATGATGCCAAGTTTTTTTTTTTCAAAATATTGTGCTAGATAATGCTCGAACCCATGAAGTATGAGGGTTGACCATTAGCTAGTATCAAATATTTTGATCTTTGCCACCCCGACAGCTGAAACATGGTACCCTTGTAGATTTAACTTGCATTTCTCTTCTGGGCTTATGCTATGTGAATGGAGGTGAGACCCAATGGATCAGGAGTCACTTTGGTTCCAGATCAAGGCAGAAACAGGTCAGGAGCAGCCTAGAGGCAAAAGGAAGGCTGGCTGCCTGGGATATGAAAGATCTGATTTAGTCTACCTCCTTTTCAGTTTCCCACTACCTGCCTCAACTTTATCATGTGATTCATAGGACCATGGAATAGCACCTTGAAAGAGGACCTGAGGGTCCCAGCTGCCTAACGCAGTAGCAATTCTCTAGACACTCCCTTACCTCCCTTGCAGAGCCTGGGTACACAGCTAATGACAGGAAGTTCACTTTTTTTCTGATTGTTGGAAAGATTGTTTCATCAAATGCACCTTCTGGTGGTCTCCAGCCCCTAATCTTAGACTTTCTGAAGAACCAGACACTCTTCTGTTAGTAGTTCTTAGGCCAATTACCTGCAAAAATAAAGCCCGAAATAATGGCAAGTGGATTCATGAATAAATGAATGATGTGCAAACTCCAGTCACTGTTGTTCGTATTATCTTGTGGCTTCCATAACAATACAGAACTCTTTGGAAGGGATGTCCTTAATTCAGAGGATAGTGAGTGGGCCTTTTCTGGGATGCAGACTCACCCTAGGTCATGGCAGGAAGTGCATATTCACCTGCACACCTCCATCTCCTTCACATATTGTGCTGCAAAGCCAAGGCTCCCGATTTATAATTTACATTTGTCCTGTATAAAGAGCACCTTCTCTTGGCTTCAATCCAGAATTTCAATCCCCACGTGATCAGTCTGAATCTTAACTCCCCAGCATTTTAGTCATTCTTCCAGCTTTCTGTCACTTCCTGATTTGATATACATCTTGTTAAATACTTTTCCTCTACTTCATGGATTAAGCTGTTGATCAGGTCAGGACGAAGGGCAGCACCAGGCGATGACATCCCATTTCTCAGGGATGACGGGACACAGTTATTTAACAGAATTATTACTAAGGGGATGGCCGAGGCCCCAGCCAGCCTTCACATCCGTGACAAAATCATGAGGGGAGGCTCAAATGCTCTGCTGAAATCAGGACAACTGAGATTGTGGGAGGAGGCAGGGGACAAAACAGGAAAGCTACTATTGGCGCCTGAGCTCTAACTACCAAGGAAGAACTAGATGGTTAACTAGATGGGGGCATGCAGGGCAAAGCATCAGCTTGGTACATGGAACAGAAAGAAGAGAGGAGGCTGGTTGCATTCAGACACGTAGATAGAATTAAGGAATAATCATAACAAACATATACATAGTGCTTACTATGTGTCCTATGCACACTTACAATGTGAACTCATTTGATTCCCAAGCATTCCTATAAGGCAAATATCATTATTATCCCCATTTTACAGATGAGGATGCTGAAGCACAGAGAAAGGTTAAATAGTTTCCCTGAGTCATGCTACTGGGGTTTAAACCTAAACAGGCTGGCTACAGAGTGTGTTCTTAAGCATTTCACTCTATGGCCTTGAAAAGCTCAGCCTCCATGATATTATCAAATGAATTTCAAAGAATGCACTGGCATGTTCAGCCAGCACACTCTTTGAAAGTGGATTTGAAACACGCTAGGGATTCTAGTTCCCAGGGCAGTTTCTTTAGGACCAGCAGTCCCTTGTGGAATCTTCTCTCAGCAAAATGGGAGAGGTGAAAATTGCTGCTATGAGGAGCAGTTAAATAATCTGTCTCAAAGGGTGTCTCGTTGTGCTCTGAATGTGTAAATGGCATTTCCTAGTTGAGTGGAAATGGCATGGGGCCATCCGAGAGAAGAGCTGGATCCAGGGAAGGCTTGACCACCACCTAGCACCTTGGCCTTTATTTGCTCCATCTTTGGAAAGATGAGGCTGACCCAAGGACAACTTCAGTGTAGTTATTTTACTTAAGAAAGAGTTCAGTGTGTCTTGAGATGGAGGAACACAACTCACATGTCTGGGTGTTAGAAAGATTGAGTGCATTCAGTGCGGCCAGGCCCTTCACTGGGCAGGTGTGGTCACAGGGGCGTGGACTTATGGATCCCATCCTACTCTGTTGCAGAGTCCCAGGGCCATGGGTTGCCTGGAAGGAAAGGAACAGCATAAACCCCCATCCCTCCTTGTCTGACTGGGAGGAATATGGATGCAGGAGCAGATGTGAGGGTAGTGATTAGAAACCCTGGCTGCAATGAAAGCCACCAGGAAAGGTTTGAGGCCCTCTGATGCCTGGCCCATCTCCAGAGTTGGATTCAGTTCCCTCTGACTCACCTGACAGCGGCTGAAGTCTACAGGCCCCAGAGCCATGAGGAGGACAGGGCCTGGGCTTTAATATTTTTACTAACGTTCCCTGGGTGATTCTGATAACCACCAAAATTTAAGAACCATTGGTCTGGGGTCTGGCTCAGAAAGTCATGTATTAAAGGGCCTGGGTGTCTTATTATGCAGCTCAGCTACTATAATTTGGGGGCTTTCCTGTATCTGTAGATGATGTATCCTGTATCTTTGAGATGCAGAAAACAGAAAAGTACAGAGAAAGAAAGGCAGGCCTTGGTGAGCCCAAGCAGGGGCAAAAAATACCAAGCTTCTCCCACTGCCAAAGCTGCAGGCACTGAGCCTGAGGGCCCCCAGGCCCTGGAGAGACAGAGGGTTTGCAACTACCTGAGAAGCTTCCTAACAGAAGGCATTGCTAAGATTTTCTAACATCCTAATGCAGAAGCAGTGTTTAGTGATGGGGAGCAGGTCACATTTTAGGCAGCTTATCACCCAATTTGCCTTCTTTTAACCTAGTTTTAATTACCTTTTACTTCAAATTTATGGAATCTGAGTACTACTTAGAGCATTATTTAAATCTGTTCTGTTATGTAAAATAAAAACGTTTCTGATTATGCTTTTAAAGAACTTTTTTGTGTGAAAATAGTAGACGCTATTATTTGCTTTTTAAATCAAGTAATGTACAAAAGTACAAATTTTAAAATGACAAAAAACAATTACTTCAAATTCCACCATCCAGAGGAAATCATTAACATTTGGTGCTGCACAGCTATCCCTCTGATAGAATGATAGCTAATTAGGTGAATTCAAACACATTTACAAAAATAGAAAATTACTGTATATCTTTTTTAAAATTAAAAGCAATATAATTTGATTTGAATTTAATAGATTAAAAAATTAAAATGAAAGTGCAAAAATTGCTAAAGTTCAAAAATGTTTTTCTTCATTACAAGTTATTTTAATTTCTGTAAAGTTTTTTGGGTAGAGTAAAGATGAGATTTATTCACATTTTAAAAATTTCACAGTATCCCTTGATTTCCTACTTCCTCTCCTTCCCTCATCCCCCTACTCTGGATTTCTTATGTTACTACTTTTACATTGATGAGATGTGTAGCTGTTACATTCTGTTCTCTGCCATAATACACAGGCATTTTTTTTCTTATCCACTCAGCTGCCATTGCCTGTTCTTCCACTATGGTTTCTTTGTCCTAGAAAAGTGGTTCTTAAGGTTTAAAGAGTATATTAAGTGCTTGGGTATTTTGTTAGAATAAGAATTCTGGTGCAGTGAGTCTGAGGTGGGCCCTGAGGGTCTGTATTTTTTTCTGTTTTTTTTTTTTTTTTTTTTTTTACGCAGAGTTTCACTCTTGTTGCCCAGGCTGCAGTGCAATGGCACGATCTTGGCTCACTGCAACCTCTGACTCCCAGGTTCAAGCGATTCTCCTGCCTCATCCTCGCAGGTAGCTGGGACTACAGGCAAGCGCCACCACGCCTAGCTAATTTTTGTATTTTTAGTAGAGATGGGATTTCACCATCTTGGCCAGGCTGGTCTCGAACTCCGGACCTCGTGATCCACCTACCTCGGCCTCCAAAAGTGCTGGGATTACAGGAGTGAGCCACCGTGCCCGGCCGAGGGTCTGTATTTCTAACACCTGCCCCCAACCTCCATGATGTCAGTACTGCTGCTGCAAGAGCCACACTTGGATAAACAAGTTCTAACATTTTTGGTTTATGTTACTTTTTGTTTGACCAGATTCCCAGATTCCATTTTCAGGTTATTCGCCACCCACCTCCCACCCTCCATAGCTCACTGGTGCTCTGTTCCCTGAAGTTTTGAGAATGCTTGAATCTTCTTGCCTATTTGTGTACATGGGGTTGCAGGGGCAACCTGCCTGGGTTTATATACATGGGTCACATAAATTAAAATTCCTTTGCTCAGAATTCATGGACATTGCTTCAGTGTCTTATGGCATTGAACGTGGTCAGCTGAACATGGCATTGCAGTGGTCAGTTTTAGGGCAGGCCTCATTTTTACTTCTTTTAGGTCATTTGATTTTTTTCTACCTGGATGTCAAGAAGATTCCTTCTTTATCCTGGAGATTTAGTAATTTCACCAGGATGCATCTTGATTTTATCTTAGGATGTATTTTGACTTTTTCAAATGGCAGTTCCAAGACTTTAATTCAAGAAGCCTTTCTTCTGTGTGTTTTTGAATAGTTTTCTGTTATATTTGTTGGTGTTCTCCTCTCCAGAGTATGAATGAAGCGCGTGTCGTGGGATGCCCAGGAGTGTGCCTTCTGCTGAGGGTGCTGGGGGTCGTAGCCACTGAGGCTGCTGCTCTGCCTGCTTCATACTCTGTTCTGGAAGTTTCTTTCAGCCAGGAGGCAGTGAAGATGGGAGTGGGGGAAACAGAGACAGAAAGAACACCCTCTGAGCTATCCCACAGGTCCCCACACTTCCCTTACAACATGTGGCTGTCTTATTACTGCAGGGCCTCTCAGGATGCAACATTTGCCTTTAGAGAAACCCAAATCTGGGCCAAAGTCTGAGGAGGTGTGAGTCTGCTTTCATTGTTCTTCCAAATTCCAGTGCATTTTCTACTAGGTGGTTTGTAATGCCACCATTTCTTTATTTTCGTGAAGATTGATTTTTCTCTTTTTTCCTATCTCCTGTTTTGAAGGGTGTCAAGAGAATAGGGTATAGAAAAACTGTATCCTGACAATGCAGTCCAGATTTTTTTTACTGGATAAAGCAATACTAACTTGATTTTCATATTCTTTCCTTTTGGCTATTCCATGCCAGAGAGAGTCTGTCAGAGTCTTCTATATACGTAATGAGGGACCACTTGATCTGGTGGCAGTGATTCAAACTGAAGGTGCCTTGTCCTGAAGGAATCAATAATCTCTGAATAATACAATGTATAAATTCAGTACCACCAAGCAATTACTGGGCAATCAGGACTGTCACTGCTCCAGGACAGAGTAGTGCTCAGCTGAGCACATCAGGGCATTCTTTGCTCCCAAGGCATCAACATTGCAGCTTGGTGTTTGTGCTTGGTGTGCATTTGGCTGCCATGTGGCAGTGGGCTGGTGTGTGCTCAGTAAGCACAGCCAGTCCTCAAGGCTGACTTCCTGGAATAGCACATGGTGGCAGTCAGTGAAGCGGCCGCTCACTCATGGCTGGCTTGTACACACACACTTAGAACATCCTCCGTCAGTTGCCTTGTTCTGGAATGTTCATGAAGGTGTGTAGCTTATTAAAACAAGAAAAATACCCTTCATTTATACATTTACCTAGAGACATGACAGAGGACATAGAGAGCTTCAGAAAAACTTCATTTTCCCCTACTTTTCAGTCTTGGCCAAGGCCAGATTGTGGTTCAAATTTGTTGGATTTAGTTGGCATATTTCTTTCTTGTTTCCCCAATTAACATGGCTAATAGAGGGATACATGCCAGGAGGTGCCTGGCTCTCTGTCCCCACTGCCCTGTCTCCTGCAGCTGTAGGAGGTCAAGCCTGTGAGGATCCCCCAAGCCAACTCCCTCAGAGGGAGAATAAACATCAGCTCAAGCTTCTCAGCTTATTCTCTGCAAAGGCTATTTTATTGGCAAATGGTGAACTAGCAGAAACTCTGAATCCACTGATCCAGATCCTTGAGTAAAAGCCACATACACCCAGCATTTCATATAATATATGTATTTGCATGTACATATTTTATTGAAAACCAGGGACTTTGCTGGAAGTATTTAAAGGTAACCAAAATCTGCCTTTTGCAGTACATTTCCAAGCTGAGACATCATAATAGATGTGGCACCTGATGATTTCAGAACGAAAGCCTTTCAACCTCCAAAATCATCCCCACCTTTACACTACTTACGAATGGGCCAAACGGGATGGGGAGTCATTTCCGTTTATCAGAAGGAAAGCTGACAGCACAGGAATGCAGTCACTTGCCTACCTTGTCTATACCCCAAATGTGAAAAAGGACAACAGTCCCACCCTCTCAGGACCTTAGTAACAGGAATATCGGGATTGAGTGAGTAGCAGAGGTTTGCCCCTGCACCGTCATTGTGTGGTCTACCCCTGCAGTGCCAACTCTGCAGTGCCCACATCTCTCATCAGGACAGCTGTAGAGTCATTGCCTGCCTGTCAGGGGGAGTGGGAAATGAGCAGATTGCAGACACTGGGAGGTAGCGGCCTGACCTGCTATATCACCACCGCATACCGAGGAATCCGTATGTCGGAAGACACATCTGGGAGAGTTAGCGGGTGATTTAGACAGACAATCTTAGGGTGAGAGCAGAGAGACAGAAAAGGAGGCATCAACCACTGGGCTGAGAATCCTGGGGCCAAGTTGCTTTAGGAAAGGCAACCACTTTCAGTGGTTTATAGTCCATATTACAACCACCCAGCCCGCCCAGCTTGGAACAACTTAGCTCTATAAGGGGGCTAATCTTATTTCCAAATATATTCCCAAAGAGAATGTCCACAACCTCCCTTGGTAACCAGAGGCTAAAGTTACAACTGCAACAGTGTTTCCTCTTGGCTGTGGATGTTAGCACATTGTAAACACTTGAATATATGACTAACTCAATTACACATCAATCAAGAGAGCTTATTCCTGCTTGAATTCAGGTACTTTAAAAAAGTCTGATGGAAACAGTGATTCTGAAGGTTGAAGATGAGATTCTATGCTGTGATGACCCTATGTCTAATGGTGGTGGTGGAAACACTACCCACAATCCAAATGTTCATTCCTGCTTGAGTCGGGAGCCATGGGGATGGGATTCTTGGGGTGGGAAAGGTGGAGCTGGGTTATTGGGAGGAGGAGGTCTGCCCTGTGAGAGTGCCAGGAAATCCAAAGGGCCCAGGTGGTCTTCCCTCCTACTTCTGGGGAGCTAGGATGTGGGCACCTGATCTCAAACCAGCTACCTGGATGCTCCTGACTCGGGCTTTGATTGTTAATGGAGGGAATTGAAGATTCAGGGAGAATTGAGACATCTGCAACTGCATCAAGTGTTTGGAGGGTGGGCAGGGACAGAAGCGCCATCCAGAATGTCCAGCCAGGTCACTCAGTCCCTGTGGTGTGGCCCATGCTCTATGGCCCAGCCCGACTTGATTCTGAGAACTGCTTCAAAGCTTTCCAAAAGGGGGCCTTCCTTTTCTGTTTCTTTTATTCACAGTTCATTTCTGTTGCTTATAATCAGAAATCCTAACTGATACAAGAGTGGTGCTGAGTTTTGAGTTATCCAGGTATTTATTTAGTAGGGGAAGGCTGCTTCTAGCAGGAAGACCATACATACTGAGTGGACTGATAAATGTTTAATTTTAATGCAGCAAATTGGCTATTGAGTGTGTGCTGGTGGCTGGCACTGTGCTAAACACTGGGAAAACATGTGTCCTTGTGGGGCTGCAGACCAGTGGAGGACACATGCCTGCCCAGCGTCCAGGTCACCCTTCCAAATGGATCACATTTTGAAGCCTGCCTTGCCTGATGAGAGCATGTGTCATTCATGAAGCAATTTCCCTGCAGGCCTTAGTGGAGTCACACAGAGCAAGGCCCTGGCATTCCACAGTGATGGCCCACCTGGAGCTGGCTTTCATGCAGGCATAAATCACCCTCTCTTTTATGAGTTGTTATACTTATTTCTTCCAGTTTTTGCTTTCTGGTTTTACTTTCCTTTCTTCTTATTTAATAGACCTCAAGAGGGAAAGAATTTCTGGTCACAGCCAATCACAGATTAACCCCCTGTCTTTAGGAACAAAAGGACCCTGGGCTGCAGGTGTGTGTGGAGGAGAGTGGGGGTGTGTTAGAAACTCCCGTGTATGGCACCCCAGCCTCACAGGACCTCACCTCCACCTCTGGTCCTGACTCCCCCTGTGCGTGGCCATTCCAGCAACTGCCCTCTTGCCTTTTGCTCATGGAGTCTGACTACATCCTTCTGTGGGCCGGACTGCCGCTTTCATCTCCCAGTGACAGTGCTTTTCTCAGTGCTGTCCAGTTGTCCAGTGCCTGGTTTTTTTTTTTTGAGATGGAGTTTTGCTCCATTGCCCAGGCTGGAGTGCAGTGGCATGATCTCGGCTCACTGCAACCTCTACCTCCTGGGTTCAAGCGATTCTCCTGCCTCAGCCTCCCAAGTAGCTGGAATTACAGTCACATGCCACCACACCCAGCTAATTTTTAGCATTTTTAGTAGAGACGGGGTTTCACCATGTTGGCCAGGCTGGTCTCGAACTCCTGACCTCAGGTGATCTGCTCGCCTCTGCCTCCCAAAGTGCTGGGATTATAGGTGTGAGCCACCATGCCCAGCTTGTTTTGCCATCCCTAATGTCACTGGGCATCTAGGTCTCTGGGAGCCTCAGGATCCCTGGCTGCTTACCAATGACCCAGTGGCCTTTGGCATACCCCTGAGAGCAGACAGAGATCTGCTGACTATGAAAAGGTGGCACAGATCCAGAAAATGCTGATCTTTTAACCTGGATGAACTTGAAAATGGCCTGGGGGAGGTTTTAAATAAAGATGGAGTGTGTCTGTGGCTGGGACTGCTTTAGCTGGATAGTCTGGGAAGGCCTCTTTGAAGAGGTGACACCTGAGCTAAGGCCAGAAAAATGAGGAGCCAACCACACATAGAGAAGTGGGAAAGGCATACCAGGAAGAGGACCCAGACAGGACAAAGGCCCTGAGGTGGGAAGATCTTGGCAGTGTCAAGGACCAGATAGGACCATGGGCTGGAAGTAGCAGAGGAGAAGAGTGGTTGAGATGAGGTCTGGGAAGTAGCCAGGAGCTAGTGGCAGCAGCACAGACGTTGCTCTCAACTTTCCTTCCTGACAAGTGGAGAAAGCTAGCCCTCCTGGTTGGTGCAATTATAAATGGGTAAAGGTGGGGATGAGTTTGGAGATTGAAGGGCCTTCATTCTGAAGTGATCAGCTGCCACGTCTACTTTAATGTCATAGTTTAAGAGAATACTAAAGAAGCAAGGTTTGGGTCACCTTAAAGTACTTCCAGCAACAGCCTCTGTTTTCCAATAAAATGCAGATATGCGATAATAGCATATGAAATGATAGGGGTGTGTGGTTTCACCTAGGATCTGTGTCAGTGGGTTTGATGGTTTCAGATTTTCTCCTGATTCACCATTTGCCAATAATATACTCTTTGCAGAGAAACAAGCTCAGGCTGAAGTCTATTGCCTCTGTAAGTGTGAAGGAAGCTGTTGGAGAGATTGGAGGAGGGGAACAAGTGATCCAACCTAAGTGAAACAATAATTCTAATAATTACAACCACCACCACTCTGGGCAATATGTGCACAGAGCTGGTTGCAGTGCAGCCAGTGTGGAAGAGCAGACTTTGAGGGGCTGAGGGCAAGAAATGCCAGTTGCCTTTCCCATGGCCACCCAGTGCATCAGTCATAGGCAGGATCAGGCCTAAAGACCCACCCTGGCCAGGGTCTGGCTGGCCAGGTGAGCCCAGGCTCCCCTACATGGCAGCGGGGTGCCAGTTCCTTCCTCTTGCCTGGGAAAATTAATAGCTTTTTTTCCTTCTTTCAAGATCAAAATAAAAATTTCACTGATTAGCATTGCTTCCATCCCATCCATGTGATGTCTCTTCCTTAAAAGATCCCATCAGGCTCCTTTCTCGGGACTCTGGCCAGGTATGTTTGCCCGCTGCAGAGATTCCCAGAGTTCTCCTGCTTATCTGGGCTGTAGCTCACCCCAAACAGCTCCCTTCCCTCATCTCCAGGCATCCCTGAAGCTTGAAGGGAAGGAGGAGGCAGAACTGGCAGACTTCTTCCTTAGGCAGGCTGGGGACATATTGTTCAAATTTAGGCCTTATCCTCCAAGAATGAAAATACGTGATGCTTATGTGAATAAGTATTTGTGATTGAATTAAATGTAAGTACAGGGCACTTCTAATTCACAGCTCTGTGTGCAAGTGCAGGGTCTGTGTCACCAAGCACCGCCTTCACTGCTGGGCTGGCAGTGAAGGTGGCTCCTGCATCTCCCACCTTCCCTGCTCATCTGTCTTGTTTGCCTCTCCCAGCTTTGTCAAATGTAACGTGAAAGAAAGGGAAATTAAAAGAAAACAAACAAAAGAGAGATTTTCCCAGAGGGGAAATCAGATTTATCCTAAAGTAATTAAATGTGTAGGAAACTGAGAACAAAGGATTGCAAATAGTGTGCGTGTGTGAGTGAGAGAGAGAATAAATCATTATTTCACTGGCAGCCGGAGCCCTCCAATGAATCTTAAACTCAGGTCCCTGTGAAGTGGAGTAGGCAGGGGAATCGGACCATAGCTGTGGCTCTGGTGTCCCAGCACCTGCTTCCCGTAGCTCCCACAGCTCTTCTGCTAGGCTTGGGGACTGGGGGACTGGGGTATGCCCTCCCAGTCGTGGTTGGTGGAGCTACTGTTCACTCCTTTTCTATGCTGCCTCCTATGCTCCCCTCCCTGTGGGACTGGCCTTCTCTGTGTTGAGTACTTGGGAGTCTTGGCAGGCTCCTGTTGCCCAAGCACCTGGTGGCACTGGGCGTGTCTTTTTCCTTTGTCTCATTACTTAGAGGCTGAGTGTGTTGGGGTCAAGGACTGTGTCTTTTCACTGGGGCATGCCCAAGTGTCCATGCAGGGCCTGAACTGCTGTGGTTGCTCAGTCTGTGTTTGTTGAATTAATGAAGGGGCCCTTAAACATTCAGAGACATTGAGGTTGTCGCACTATGACCTTTCACTGCAGCTGCTGTTGTGGCTGGGGAGGCAGGCACATGCACCATGCCTGGACTGTGAGGGGGGGCATGATGAGAGCTCCAGGGAGGGCAGAGGAGGTAGGAGAAGCAGTCAGGTAGGAGATGGTGTTTAACCTGGGCCTTGAAAGGTGGACAAGTCTTTGACGTAAAGGGGAAAAAACATCTTCTTCAGAAAGTTGATGTGAAGCCCCCAAAATGCAGGGTGCTTGTACTTCCAAGCAGGCCCCGTGATCATCCCATCTTCCCCATGTTCTGACTAGCTTAGACCCATTAAGGCAGAGGTAATTTGAGATCATGTGCTGACAAGTGGCTAAGAAGGCCTTTTGGCTACTATGATGGGGGTGCTGAGCAAGAGCTGACTTCCTGGGGGCTTCCTGGGGACAAAGTCTACACAGCCCATCTGATGCTCCTCCCACCTCCAGGAATTTGCTGATGCTGTCACTTCATTCTGTAATGGCCTTTCTCCAAAATGCTGCCCTCCCTTTCTTCGAAGACCAGCTCAGATGTCACCTTCCTCCCTTTCTCAGCCCACTGCAATCCCACCCCTTCTTAAAGCACCCACCGATCTCCTCCATGAAATCTTCCCAGCTCCCTACAGCTTCCCAGCAATCTTTGTTGTGAACATATTTAGTAGATACCTTTGAACAAATTTAGCAGATACCTTTGAACATATTTAGCAGATTCTTGAAACCTCTGCTTACACCAGCAACCACAATCCACCCACCTTTTCCTATGATAGACCCATCTGTGAGCCTCGCAGGACACAAACAGTGTCTCATTCTTCTTGGGGACATGTAGCCTAGCACTGTGTCTGCTGAGTGAATGCCGGCCTCATTTCCTCCACAGACCAATTTACTAACATGTTTTCAGTGGCTACGATGTGACAGGGATTGCACATGGGCTTTGGTGATGGTCTCATTTACTCCTCAATGCTGAACAGGAATGAGCCTCGCCAGCTGATAGGGACTGAGAGATAGGAATTCTAAGCTGAGGCTGTGCCTTGGAGAGGCATGAGGCAGAGAGGACAGGGGAGAGAGGGAGCATCAGGGAAGTCTGTCTGTGAGCACCACGTGTTCAGTGGCGTTTCCTACCAGGGCCTCAGCCATCACAGCCACCAAAGGGAGCTCTGCGTGCCCCACTCCACAATACCTGGAGGCCCCACACCCCATACCTCAGACCCCGAGCCTTTAGCACCAGCACAGGAGGTGGCTGCCCCCACAGCAGTAGGCTTGTTGGCTGAGCAAGATTCTTCCCTACCTCTTCCAAAGGCCTGAAATCCCATCACAAAGCAGTCTTATCCCCCAGGGATAAGAATGGAGCATGTATCTGGGGTCCCTTAGGCTGGTCAAGCAGGGTGGGGCTTTAAAACGGCTTCCACCCCAGGACTCTGGGGGCCAAAGGGGAGTCATGTGTGTGCAAAGCAGACATAAGCCTTTAAAGGAATAGCATTGCAGTTATTCATCTCTGCTGTCCAAAGACTTGCCTGTAGATGAATATGTCAGAAAAATGACATTTTCTTTTCTAATCACAGAAATAAAATATGCCTATCGTAGAAACATGGAAGATATGGGAGATATAAAGAAAAAATGAAAATCACCCAGAATGACACCATCTGAATAATTTCTACCAGCCCTTTGATATATTTTATTTTAGCATTGTGTGTGTATGGGATCACATTGTAAGCAATTTTATATCCTTCATCCATTGAATATTACATTGTGATCGTTTTCCCTATCATTAAATTTATTGGAAAACATTTTTAATGCCTTCATAATATTCAATCTTGTGGCTGATCCATAATTTATTTAACCATCTCCTCCTTTTTGAGCATTTAAGTTATTTATAATTTGTGAATATTAAAAATATCCACAAATAATAATGTTGTGAACAACTTCATTCATAAATCCATAGGCACTTTTGTGCTTATTTCTTTAGAATAGGTTCCTAGAACTGGAATCAAAGGGTCTGTACTTGGCAATGAGTCTGGATACCTACTGCCAAGGTATTGGTCTCCAGATGCAGGCTTTGCCTCAACAGCTGAGAATGCCCTTGTCCCAGCACCTTCATCCGCATTGAGCATTACTGCTTCTTAAACCTCTGCTAACTTGGTACAACAAACGGTGTTGGTTAATTTATCTGTTCATTGATTTTTTTTCCAGCTTTCCAATGGTGTGTCAGTGTTTTACTTATTATTTTAAGTGTTCCTTATATGTCAAGTTTATTACCATTTCCCCAAACATGTTACAATATTTCTTCCCGTTGGTTATTTGCCATTAATTTTTTTATAATAGCTGTGTTGAGATATAATTCACATACCATACAGTTCACCCAATTAAAGTGTACAATTCAATTCAGTGGTTTTTAGTGTATTCATAGAGTTGTGCAACCATCGCCACAATCAATTTTAGAACAGTTTCATCTTCCCAAAAAGAAGCCCTTGCCCAATAGCAGCCACTCCCCATTTCACTTCAACTCCTCCCCCAGCCCTAGGCATCCACCAATCCATTTGCCATCTCTATGGATTTGCCTATTCTGGACATTTCACATAAATGGAATCATGCGCTATATGGCCTTTTATAATTGGTTTCTTTTGCCTAGCAAAATGTTTTCAAGGTTGTAGCATGTCTCAATACCTCAATTTGCCATTAGACTTTCTTATGATTTTAATAGCAGCAGTTTTAAATTTTTATGTATTGACTGTTTCAAGCTTTCCCTTTGTGATCTACCCCTCCTATTCTCCGAGGTTAGGTGTCCTCTAGTTAAATTTACAACTATATTTTCTGCTAATTTTTTTAAAACTACTTTGTTAAAACATTAAAATAATTAAATCTCAAGGTAATATATGGATATAGTCCTGTTGTAAGTGGCTTTAGTTTTTACATTAATTCTTCAATCTACCTGGAATGTATTTTCGTAAATAGTAATAGGGTGAGAGTCTAATTTAATTTTTTTTTCCCAATAGTCAATTGACGTAGTGTATTTCTACCCCATTTGCTGCTACTGCTTCCTTCATAATTTATTAAGTTCTTAAATGTACTTGGGTCTATTTCAAGTCTTCTCTGTTACAGTGCCTTGTTTATCTATGATTGTACCAGTGTTGTATTTTCTAATTCTAACAGTTGTAAACTAAGCTACATCCTGGTTAGACAAGTCACCTCTCTTATTGTTTTTACAGTCTTTCTTAATTCCTTTGCCTATTCATTTTACCAGAAGATCTTAGAATTATTTTGTCACATCTATCTGTCTTCTTTTTAACCATGCATTTTCCCCACCAGTAAACAGCTGCCAATAATTTTATTTGTTGTGTTTTTTAAATAATACATTAATTTGGGAATTGATTGTATTCAGTCTTCCATCTGGTAACATATGTTTCATATTGTCAAATCTTATTTTATATATTTTATTATGTTTTTAATTTTTTCTATTTCTGTGCCACAATTTAGGGCCTTCCCGATGTCTTTGATTGCTTTTGATTTTTTTTATTGCTATTGTGAGTGGATTTCTAAAACTGGTTATTTCTGGTATTAAAGAAATCTCTCCCCCCACCCCCCACCGGTTTACTTTTCTCAACACTCTTTTCTAATTATAAGATATTTTCTGGTTGTTTCCTTTGCAATTTCTATGTCTTTAATCATACTGTCCAAAGCGATGATTATTTTTTCTTCCTTTTTAATAGTTACATCTCTAATTTCTGTTTCATTTCTTATTGCCCTGGTCTGATCTTTGAAAAGTGTAAAGCATTAGTGAAGGGGAATAAGATTATTTCTCTCTAATTTTAATGGGACTGCCTTTTGTTGTTTCATCAATAAGAATTGTGTAGGTTTAAAGTAGAATGCTAGGAAGAAAATAACACATATTAACTTGAAAGAATAGTAAAGAAGAATATATATGTTTGGAAATAAGGATATTGTTTTCCTTGTTGATCAACTGACATGAAATTTTGATTACTATTAATGAAAACATATGAAACTATATTTCAATTTTAGGATCAACCTTAGTCATGTTGAATGTTGTGTTTTGTTTGTTTGTTTGTTTTAGACAGAGTCTCGCTCTGTCGCCCAGGCTGGAGTGCAGTGGCACGATCTCGGCTCACTGCAAGCTCTGCCTCCTGGGTTCACGCCATTCTTCTGCCCCAGCCTCCCGAGTAGCTGGGACTACAGGCGCCCGCCACCATGCCCGGCTAATTTTTTGTATTGACGAGGTTTCACCATGTTAGCCAGGATGGTCTCGATCTCCTGACCTTGTGATCCCCCTGCCTCGGCCTCCCAAAGTGCTGGGATTACAGGCGTGAGCCACCGCGCCCGGCCTGTTGTGTTTGTTTTACAGTGCTCTTGTTTAATGCTTACATCTGTATTAATATGTAAATTTCTCTCTCTTTTTTTAGTTACATTGCCACATTTTGGTATAAGATTTTTACTAACTTCATAAAATGAACTAGACAGAATTTTATATTTTTTAATTCATGAGGCAGTTAATATAGCATGGAATTATGTTTCTTAAAAGTTTGAAGAAACCCACTTGTAACACTACTCGGTCTTGGAATCTTTCTCAGATGTAAACTTTGGTAGTTTTGAAAAATTCTGTCCTTATAATTGACCTCTTAAGTTTTTATTTGTTCTTGTGTCACAATTTGATAATTTACATTTTCTAGAAAAAGTATTAAATTTGCTGGGATTTTTCAATTCATAAGCACAGTACCATATAGAAAGGTTTTAAAACAGAAGACAACACTGTCTGTTGTTGTATCCCCTTCCTTATTACTTGTGTTATTTATTTTCTCTCATTCTCATTATTTATAACAATAATGTAGAGAACTTTGCATTTAAATGGGTTTTATTACTCACCTCCAGCTTCCTCATTCTCAAATTCTTCATTTGGATTCATTACTCAATAGGGTGGAGTGTGTTTTCAAGTATTATGTTTTTTCTAAAATCATATGTTATAACTTTAGAGCTCATGTGTGTCTTGAAGTGTGTTTGTTGCTCCACATTTAGACAGTGTGTTGGTCAAGTAGAAAATGTCTGGCCACAATCATTTTCTGCAAAATTCAGTAGATATTGTCCAACGTGTTCTGTTCTTGCCTTTGTGAGATGACGGGAGGCTAGTCCTTCATTGGTTATCTGGTTTCTTCTTTTACTTTTTCTCCTGCCTGAATTCTTGTTGATTTTTAAAAGTCCTTTTGGACAAATATGAGAGCTTTCAAACATAATGTATTAAGATGTATTAAGTTGTTTCTGTGTGTATGTTTGTATGTGTATGTTAACAAGAGTATGAGATTAATATGTTCAGTATGATGAGAAACAGGCACTCTTACTGCCTTAAAATACATCTCCCATGGAGTACAGCAGTTTTTCTCATCCTCTGCATTAGTGAAATTTTGGTCTGAATAATTCTTTGTTGTGGGGAGCTGTCCTGTGCATTGTAGAAGATTTAGCAGGATCCTTGGCCTCTATTCATTAGATGCCAGTAGCACCCCCTCTCCTCAAGTTGTGACAGCCAAAATATCTCCAGAAATTGTTAAATATTTCCTGGGGTTGGGGGTTGGTGCCAGAATCGCCCCCTGTTGAGAATCAGTGCAATAGAAGGTGGCCTGACTTGTATTTTTTTATTTAGAACTTAGGGGCAGAAATAGATCATTTCCACTATTTTATTTCAAGTTTGCTCTGTTTCAGGCAAAAATCCATTTGTGTGCCTCAGTTTATGTTTTTAAATTTCACTTTCATGACCTAATAATTGATGGAAATCCCTGAAGGTTCTAGGACTGTGTCAATTTGTAGTATATGCAGGCTTCAAGTTTTTACTTCTAGTTTTTATGGTATTTTAGTGGGAATCTGGGAGAAACTGTGTCAGGCATTGCTGTCTAGCCACTATTTTATACCATTCTTCTTTTTATGTGAATTTTCTCACCCTGTGCATGTTTATACTTTAAACTCTTTAAAAAATAATTCCTGTTTCTTAGGAGAATTGTTTTGAATATATAGTTTGGTATTTTAGGTGAATATATCACTGGTTAAGATTATAATTTGGGATGAACAATGAAGTAGTTTATTTTGGGCCAAACTGAAAAGGGGCCCCGCTGCAACTTTAAATACATGTAATCAGCTCTTCCAGACACCACCAACACTTGGTTCAGGCCACACGTGGTAATGATGGCTGAGCTGAGCTATCAGCTTACAGTCTCTACCTAGTCAATTCTGAAACCAGGCAGTGATGAAAATCCCCTCTAAATGCAAAGAAGTGTGAGACTCAGTTGAAGCATGGTGTGAAAACAGTTTGGCTGCATACCCTTTGCCCAACTTCATCTCAAGAGACTCGGGAAAAATATAGAAACACCTCCTTTCCATATTGTTTATTTTCATGTCACAAACTGTTGGGTGGAATGAAAACAGGGCTCTAGTGTTGCTCTAGTTGTGAAAATACAACTTTTACTTCTTCTGTTTTAATCCCAGAGAGGGGAAGTTCCAACTAATCTGCTAAAGCCACCTTCTTTAAAACCTTTCAACCACGTGGTTTAGAAACACGGATGGACATCGCCAGAATTTAAAAGTGTGCTAGTTCCCAGCCAGAGCAGAGCACGTGTCTGGGGGCTCCCTTTTCATCTGGTCTCCATCCATCCTACACCGGGGGGTTGTCTAGCACCTTTTTCCTTCCTGTTGTAGTGGGCCCACTTTGGAAATGGCAGCTTTTCATTTCGTAAATTAATTTCTATTTTTATTAAAGTAATGGATTAAACAATTCCATGAGTACCAAAAGGAAAAAATCAGTTTCCTGATCATCTCCCCTACCCCATTCTTTTCCCTAACACTTCCTATCTGTTTCTTAGATATACTCCCATTTTTTGAATTATATGCTTAATGTGCTTTATTGATGTCAATTTAGACATTGTCTTTTGACTTCCCTTTATCAATGCTGAGGATTTGGATCTCTTGCCCCTTTCTATATTTTTCTTCTTCTCTTATTTTGCTAATATCTATTACTATATGTATTATATATCCATGTGGTAATTATATATGATTTTTCATATCTACATATGTATAATACAAAATGTATATTTGTTCACTTTGTTAACATATATTTACAACTTTTTTGTTAAATGTAGCGTGTTTAGATTATTATATCTATACAACCTTCCTTCCTTCCCTCCCTCCCTCCCTCCCCCCTTCCTTCCTTCCTTCCCTCCTTCCTTCCCTCCTTCCTTCTTTCTTTTTTTTTTTTTTTTCAAGAAGGTTACAAAGAATATTTATTTATTTATTTATTTATTATTATACTTTAAGTTTTAGGGTACATGTGCACACTGTGCAGGTTAGTTACATACGTATACATGTGCCATGCTGGTGTGCTGCACCCACTAACTCGTCATCTAGCATTAGGTATATCTCCCAATGCTATCCCTCCCCCCTCCCCCCACCCCACAACAATCCCCAGAGTGTGATGTTCCCCTTCCTGTGTCCATGTGATCTCATTGTTCAGTTCCCACCTATGAGTGAGAATATGCGGTGTTTGGTTTTTTGTTCTTGCGATAGTTTACTGAGAATGATGATTTCCAATTTCATCCATGTCCCTACAAAGGACATGAACTCATCATTTTTTATGGCTGCATAGTATTCCATGGTGTATATGTGCCACAATTTGCTTAATCAAGTCTATCATTGTTGGACATTTGGGTTGGTTCCAAGTCTTTGCTATTGTGAATAATGCCGCAATAAACATACGTGTGCATGTGTCTTTATAGCAGCATGATTTATAGTCCTTTGGGTATATACCCAGTAATGGGATGGCTGGGTCAAATGGTATTTCTAGTTCTAGATCCCTGAGGAATCGCCACACTGACTTCCACAATGGTTGAACTAGTTTACAGTCCCACCAACAGTGTAAAAGTGTTCCTATTTCTCCACATCCTCTCCAGCACCTGTTGTTTCCTGACTTTTTAATGATTGCCATTCTAACTGGTGTGAGATGGTATCTCATTGTGGTTTTGATTTGCATTTCTCTGATGGCCAGTGATGATGAGCATTTTTTCATGTGTTGTTTGGCTGCATAAATGTCTTCTTTTGAGAAGTGTCTGTTCATGTCCTTCACCCACTTTTTGATGGGGTTGTTTGTTTTTTTCTTGTAAATTTGTTTGAGTTCATTGTAGATTCTGGATATTAGCCCTTTGTCAGATGAGTAGGTTGCAAAAATTTTCTCCCATTTTGTAGGTTGCCTGTTCACTGTGATGGTAGTTTCTTTTGCTGTGCAGAAGCTCTTTAGTTTAATTAGATCCCATTTGTCAATTTTGTCTTTTGTTGCCATTGCTTTTGGTGTTTTAGACATGAAGTCCTTGCCCATGCCTATGTCCTGAATGGTAATGCCTAGGTTTTCTTCTAGGGTTTTTATGGTTTTAGGTCTAACGTTTAAGTCTTTAATCCATCTTGAATTGATTTTTGTATATGGTGTAAGGAAGGGATCCAGTTTCAGCTTTCTACATATGGCTAGCCAGTTTTCCCAGCACCATTTATTAAATAGGGAATCCTTTCCCCATTGCTTGTTTTTCTCAGGTTTGTGAAAGATCAGATAGTTGTAGATATGCGGCGTTATTTCTGAGGGCTCTGTTCTGTTCCATTGATCTATATCTCTGTTTTGGTACCAGTACCATGCTGTTTTGGTTACTGTAGCCTTGTAGTATAGTTTGAAGTCAGGTAGTGTGATGCCTCCAGCTTTGTTCTTTTGGCGTAGGATTGACTTGGCAATGCGGGCTCTTTTTTGGTTCCATATGAACTTTAAAGTAGTTTTTTCCAATTCTGTGAAGAAAGGCATTGGTAGCTTGATGGGGATGGCATTGAATCTGTAAATTACCTTGGGCAGTATGGCCATTTTCACGGTATTGATTCTTCCTACCCATGAGCATGGAATGTTCTTCCATTTGTTTGTATCCTCTTTTATTTCCTTGAGCAGTGGTTTGTAGTTCTCCTTGAAGAGGTCCTTCACATCCCTTGTAAGTTGGATTCCTAGGTATTTTATTCTCTTTGAAGCAATTGTGAATGGGAGTTCACTCATGATTTGGCTCTCTGTTTGTCTGTTGTTGGTGTATAGGAATGCTTGTGATTTTTGCACATTGATTTTGTATCCTGAGACTTTGCTGAAGTTGCTTATCAGCTTAAGGAGATTTTGGGCTGAGACAATGGGGTTTTCTACATATACAATCATGTCATCTGCAAACAGGGACAATTTGACTTCCTCTTTTCCTAATTGAATACCCTTTATTTCCTTCTCCTGCCTAATTGCCCTGGCCAGGACTTCCAGCACTATGTTGAATAGGAGTGGTGAGAGAGGGCATCCCTGTCTTGTGCCAGTTTTCAAAGGGAATGCTTCCAGTTTTTGCCCATTCAGTATGATATTGGCTGTGGGTTTGTCATAGATAGCTCTTATTATTTTGAAATACGTCCCATCAATACCTAATTTATTGAGAGTTTTTAGCATGAAGGGTTGTTGAATTTTGTCAAAGGCCTTTTCTGCATCTATTGAGATAATCATGTGGTTTTTGTCTTTGGCTCTGTTTATATGCTGGATTACATTTATTGATTTGCGTATATTGAACCAGCCTTGCATCCCAGGGATGAAGCCCACTTGATCATGGTGCATAAGCTTTTTGATGTGCTGCTGGATTCGTTTTGCCAGTATTTTATTGAGGATTTTTGCATCAATGTTCATCAAGGATATTGGTGATATTGGTCTAAAATTCTCTTTTTTGGTTGTGTCTCTGCCCGGCTTTGGTATCAGAATGATGCTGGCCTCATAAAATGAGTTAGGGAGGATTCCCTCTTTTTCTATTGATTGGAATAGTTTCAGAAGGAATGGTACCAGTTCCTCCTTGTACCTCTGGTAGAATTCGGCTGTGAATCCATCTGGTCCTGGACTCTTTTTGCTTGGTAAGGTATTGATTATTGCCACAACTTCAGATCCTGTTATTGGTCTATTCAGAGATTCAACTTCTTCCTGGTTTAGTCTTGGGAGAGTGTATGTGTCAAGGAATTTATCCATTTCTTCTAGATTTTCTAGTTTATTTGCGTAGAGGTGTTTGTAGTATTCTCTGATGGTAGTTTGTATTTCTGTGGGATCGGTGGTGATATCCCCTTTATCATTTTTTATTGTGTCTATTTGATTCTTCTCTCTTTTTTTCTTTATTAGTCTTGCTAGCGGTCTATCAATTTTGTTGATCCTTTCAAAAAACCAGCTCCTGGATTCACTAATTTTTTGAAGGGTTTTTTGTGTCTCTATTTCCTTCAGTTCTGCTCTGATTTTAGTTATTTCTTGCCTTCTACTAGCTTTTGAATGTGTTTGCTCTTGCTTTTCTAGTTCTTTTAATTGTGATGTTAGGGTGTCAATTTTTGATCTCTCCTGCTTTCTCTTGTAGGCATTTAGTGCTATAAATTTCCCTCTACACACTGCTTTGAATGTGTCCCAGAGATTCTGGTATGTTGTGTCTTTGTTCTCGTTGGTTTCAAAGAACATCTTTATTTCTGCCTTCATTTCGTTACGTACCCAGTAGTCATTCAGGAGCAGGTTGTTCAGTTTCCATGTAGGTGAGCGGTTTTGAGTGAGATTCTTAATCCTGAGTTCTAGTTTGATTGCACTGTGGTCTGAGAGATAGTTTGTTATAATTTCTGTTCTTTTACCTTTGCTGAGGAGAGCTTTACTTCCAAGTATGTGGTCAATTTTGGAATAGGTGTGGTGTGGTGCTGAAAAAAATGTATATTCTGTTGATTTGGGGTGGAGAGTTCTGTAGATGTCTATTAGGTCTGCTTGGTGCAGAGCTGAGTTCAATTCCTGGGTATCCTTGTTGACTTTCTGTCTCGTTGATCTGTCTAATGTTGACAGTGGGGTGTTAAAGTCTCCCATTATTAATGTGTGGGAGTCTAAGTCTCTTTGTAGGTCACTCAGGACTTGCTTTATGAATCTGGGTGCTCCTGTATTGGGTGCATATATATTTAGGATAGTTAGCTCTTTTTGTTGAATTGATCCCTTTACCATTATGTAATGGCCTTCTTTGTCTCTTTTGATCTTTGTTGGTTTAAAGTCTGTTTTATCAGAGACTAGGATTGCAACCCCTGCCTTTTTTTGTTTTCCCTTTGCTTGGTAGATCTTCCTCCATCCTTTTATTTTGAGCCTATGTGTGTCTCTGCACGTGAGATGGGTTTCTTGAATACAGCACACTGATGGGTCTTGACTCTTGCCAATTTGCCAGTCTGTGTCTTTTAATTGGAGCATTTAGTCCATTTACATTTAAAGTTAATAGTGTTATGTGTGAATTTGATCCTGTCATTATGATGTTAGCTGGTCATTTTGCTCGTTAGTTGATGCAGTTTCTTCCTAGTCTGGATGGTCTTTACATTTTGGCATGATTTTGCAGCAGCTGGTACTGGTTGTTCCTTTCCATGTTTAGCGCTTCCTTCAGAAGCTCTTTTAGGGCAGGCCTGGTGGTTACAAAATCTCTCAGCATTTGCTTGTCTATAAAGTATTTTATTTCTCCTTCACTTATGAAGCTTAGTTTGGCTGGATATGAAATTCTGGGTTGAAAATTCTTTTCTTTAAGAATGTTGAATATTGGCCCCCACTCTCTTCTGGCTTGTAGGGTTTCTGCCGAGAGATCCGCTGTTAGTCTGATGGGCTTCCCTTTGAGGGTAACCCGACCTTTCTCTCTGGCTGCCCTTAACATTTTTTCCTTCATTTCAACTTTGGTGAATCTGACACTTATGTGTCTTGGAGTTGCTCTTCTCGAGGAGTATCTTTGTGGCATTCTCTGTATTTCCTGAATCTGAACGTTGGCCTGCCTTGCGAGATTTGGGAAATTCTCCTGGATAATATCCTGCAGAGTGTTTTCCAACTTGGTTCCATTCTCCCCATCACTTTCAGGTATACCAATCAGAGGTAGATTTTGTCTTTTCACATAGTCCCATATTTCTTGGAGGCTTTGCTCGTTTCTTTTTATTCTTTTTTCTCTAAACTTCCCTTCTCGCTTCATTTCATTCATTTCATCTTCCATTACTGATACCCTTTCTTCCAGTTGATTGCATCGGCTCCTGAGGCTTCTGCATTCTTCACGTAGTTCTCGAGCCTTGGTTTTCAGCTCCATCAGCTCCTTTAAGCACTTCTCTGTATTGGTTATTCTAGTTATACATTCTTCTAAATTTTTTTCAAAGTTTTCAACTTCTTTGCCTTTGGTTTGAATTTCCTCCCATAGCTCAGAGTAATTTGATCGTCTGAAGCCTTCTTCTCTCAGCTCGTCAAAGTCATTCTCCGTCCAGCTTTGTTCTGTTGCTGGTGAGGAGCTGCGTTCCTTTGCAGGAGGAGAGGCGCTCTGCTTTTTAGAGTTTCCATTTTTTCTGTTCTGTTTTTTCCCTATCTTTGTGGTTTTATCTACTTTTGGTCTTTGATGATGGTGATGTACAGATGGGTTTTTGGTGTGGATGTCCTTTCTGTTTGTTAGTTTTCCTTCTAACAGACAGGACCCTCAGCTGCAGGTCTGTTGGAATACCCTGCAGTGTGAGGTGTCAGTATGCCCCTGCTGGAGGGTGCCTCCCAGTTAGGCTGGTCGGGGGTCAGGGGTCAGGGACCCACTTGAGGAGGCAGTCTGCCCGTTCTCAGATCTCCAGCTGCGTCCTGGGAGAACCACTGCTCTCTTCGAAGCTGTCAGACAGGGACATTTAAGTCCGCAGAGGTTACTGCTGTCTTTTTGTTTGTCTGTGCCCTGCCCCCAGAGGTGGAGCCTACAGAGGCAGGCAGGCCTCCTTGAGCTGTGGTGGGCTCCACCCAGTTCAAGCTTCCCTGCTGCTTTGTTTACCTAAGCAAGCCTGGGCAATGGTGGGCGCCCCTCCCCCAGCCTCGCTGCCGCCTTGCAGTTTGATCTCAGACTGCTGTGCTAGCAATCAGCGAGACTCCTTGGAGTAGGACCCTCGGAGCCAGGTGCGGCATGTAATCTCGTGGTGCGCCATTTTTTAAGCCCGTCGGAAAAGCGCAGTATTCGGGTGGGTGTGACCCTATTCTCCAGGTGCCGTCCATCACCCCTTTCTTTGATTAGGAAAGGGAACTCCCTGACCCCTTGCGCTTCCCGAGTCAGGCAATGTCTCGCCCTGCTTTGGCTCGTGCACGGTGCGCGCACCCACTGACCTGCGCCCACTGTCTGGCACTCCCTAGTGAGATGAACCCCGTACCTCAGATGGAAATGCAGAAATCACCTGTCTTCTGTGTCGTCAGGCTGAGAGCTGTAGACTGGAGCTGTTCCTATTCGGCCCTCTTGGCTCCTCCCTCAAGAAGGTTACAAAGAATCCCTTCTCTCTTTTCTTCCTTCTCTCTCTCTCTTTCTCCCTTTCTCTCTTTCTCTGTTTCTTGATGGGGTCTCACTCTGTAGCCTTGTCTGGAGTGTAGTGGCCTGGTCTCAGCTCACTGCAACTTCTGCCTCCTGGGCTCAAATAATCCTCCTGCCTCAGCATCCAGCGTAGCTGTGACTGGAGGTATACACCACCATGCCTGGCGAATTTTTGTATATTTTGTAGAGGCAGGGTTTCTCCACATTGTCCATGCTGGTCTTGAACTCCTGGGCTCAAGTGATCTGCCTGCCTGGATCTCCCAAATTGCCGGGGTTATAGGCATGAGCCACTGCATCCAGCTGCAACTATTTTTCAATGCTTAGCCAAGTAGAGTTACATTGTTATTTTCTTTTTCTTGTACTTTTTTCCACAAAGCCAATCAAAATTCTATAATAATAACAAATATTATTTTCCAAATGCTCAGATAGTTCAGATGATCTCCCAACTCCTTCCTCAAGTCCTCTCTTCAAAAGTATGCTTGAAAGGTAAATGTTTTGTATCCTCACTTCTCTGAAAATACAATTATCCTACCCTTATATTTCGTTGATTGGCTGGGTATGATGTCTAAGTTAAAAATCATTTTTCCTCCAAAATTTGAATACATTGATTTGGCTTCTTCTGCTTGTCAGTGCTGCTGTTGGGAAAGCCAGTGACATTTCAATTTTCCTTATTTTGTTTTTGGGTTTGGTTTGATTTTCTTCGTTGGAAGCATTCAAGTTCTTCTCTTTTATCCCTGAAATTCTGAAATTTCATGTTTCTTCTTTTTCTAATACTCATTGCCTGGGTACTGCACAGATATTTCAGTCTGGAGTTTGATGTCTTTTTATCTGATAAAATTTATTCTAGTGCTTTTTGGATAACTTCTATCCATTTTACCAGTTATCTTTCTCAAACTTTTGTTAGTAAGATATGAGACTTCTCAGATGGATTCTTTTATTTTTTTTTTTAAATCTCTTTTTTCTATCTCTGATTTTTTTTTTCTTTTTTTAGGTCATTTCTCCTACTTCATCATAAAACTATTTTATTGATTTGTTTTTATATTAGCTTTTATTTTTATTTCCTAAGACATTTATTTTCATAGCATCCTGTTTTACTTTCATGAGTGCAATATTGTTCCATCTCTCTGAGGATATTTATTCTAGTTTTAGACATTTTCTTCAATTATCTGCTTTGCTTCTTTTTCTTCTGAATCCTCTGTTTGTAGGTTTTGTTACCTCAGACTGAGGGCTTAAAAAATTGTATCTGAGCACCCAGGCCATCTCTTCATATTTTAGTGTGAGGCACTGAAAGGTGATCAGCAGCTCTATGTGAGTGGCGGGGGCTGATTGATGAATGGGTGCCATTGTTGGGTGGTGAGATGGCAAGATGATCAGTGCACTGAAGTTAGTATCCAGATATCTTTTCTCAGATGCCTTACAATTTTTAAGGAGAAAATTTCTCTAATCACTGAATTTTATTTATTCATTTGGTGGGAGCATGCTCCATCCCCTACTTCCCAGAACTGTGCTTTTGAGTTCCAGTGACAAAGAAGCTCATGTAGCCCCTCCAGAGACATGAAAATTGTGGCCATTTCTCAAAGTCAGTGTCTACTCCTCTCTTCAAAAATGTGTACAGACCTCTTGTATGCTGAGTATTCCTCCCAGTGCTCTTTGTCCAGGGGTAGTTTACACCTTTTCTCTTCTTTATTGTCATTGCAATGGGATTCCAAAAAGCAGCAAAGAGAAACATGTTTGAGTCAGAGCTTTGAGTGTAGGTGACATTGGTGGTAAAAGTCCATCTCCCTGAAGAATGACTAGCACTAGGAGCAGTGACCACCGTAATAACTGATGGACTTCAATGCAGGATTCAGTTTGTGTTGGGATAGGGCAGCATGGGGGAATTCCTTTCCTGCCAGTGTGACAGTCAGGGTAGATTCTGGAATCGTTTATGGTGGGTTCGGCTTAAAGACAGAGAGACAGTCTCAGAGAACCCAGGCCATGGTCATCCTGAAGAAAGGGTAGCATGCACCTTGTGTGGAAGGTCAGCTCCTCTTGGGGGTCCATGCTTTGCCTTTACAGCTAATAGAGTCTCCAGAATCAACCAGTCAACTCACACCTGTAGGAAACACATAGGCAGCTGCTCTCTCTGATATGTGTATTCACTCATTCTCAAACCTCCTGACTCTAAAGTGGGGAAATGTTTCAGCTTTCTGGGGCCTGTGGCTGTGAAAAATAAAATGTACACATGCATTTGGAGGGTCTAGGAAAGTTACCACTGTTCATTGAGGACCTGCTGTGCACAGGCATAGCACTGGGGATTCCACAGAGGTAAATTCTTCTTCGTAATGGATTTTGATCGCCTCCGAGGAAGATGGGAGATAACTAGAGCTGTCCTTAAGGATATGCAGGGTAGTATCTTAAAAAATGAGAAATTGCAGTTTCTGAATACATTGTTTGCAAATAGGTTGAGAGACAACCAGGAAATGAAGACTAATACGTTAGCTCTTTTCGTATTGCATGGAGAAGGCACCATCCAAGTCTAATGTATCCCTGCCCTGGCCTCTGAAAGCTGAATAATGTGTCACAGATTCAGAGAATTTTGTTGCCGTAAGGGACCCCAGAGGTTCTAGCAAAATGCCGCCTTTTGTAGATCCTGCTGCAGAGGAGCTATTGTGCTGCACGGTCTCCCTCACACCATTAGTGTCAAACCTCCGTCAATATTTAAACATTCATTATTCAGAATTTCATTTCTCTGCTTCTCTTTTTTTTTTAAACTCTGAGAAGGAAAGAAAAACACGGTTAGCAACTGTATCCTGTATTTCTTCAGGAAAGAAATGAGCCACTTCAAAGCTGAGCTGATTTACTGGATAAATATATATTTAGGCATTTGGGGACTTTAAATGTGTATGATTTACCAGAGAAACAGGGGGCATCCTTCAGAATCCACTATGCAAAGATATATTGACACAATTTCAACTGTATGGTTATGTCTCTGATAAATCAGCCTGCCTCCCTCAGACCTTCATGGTCCACTGGAGATAAAATATGCACCTCCCGTTCAGGGAGGGCAAGGGGCAGGCAGACTTCAAAGTACAGCTGGGTCTGCCTTGGAGGATCTCACAGGGAAAGGTCCTGTGCAGCACCAGAGGCTTGATCTGGGAATCACGTGTGAGGGCTGCAGGCTCTTGACTGTGCATCTGTAAACAGTTTCTGACTGCTCTGAGAGGCAGGTGCTGTCTGCCTGGGGGAGGATTAGAGGCTGAAAACCCATGCAGGAAACTGGACAGGTGGATTGTGGTGAATTGATAGCTAAATCTTGCACTTTAGTGCCTAGACAAGATTCGGTCTCAAGTCACAGCCGCAGGGACTCTGGACAAGTCCTGCCATGTGGCTGTGCCTGGGGTGCCCTGCCAAGGCAGCTGTCATGGCTTCCAGAAGCAGGCACTTTCTAAGGTCCCCAGCTGGAGGCCTATGAATGCTCAAGCAGGTGGGGGCCCCAGACTGTAGCTGACTTGTAAGTGCAACACTTTATTGCCTGGGAGCCTTTTGAAACCTTCCTGGGTGTAGACCCTACAGGATAGCCTCTGCCTGTAGGACCTGAATAGGATGCACAGCCAGAGGAAGGAGGACGATGGACAAGGAGGCTGTCATCTGGAGCTGAAGAAGGATACAGAGAAACCTTGAGTATGAAAGGCGGAGAAGAAAGCTGAGTGCTCACATGCTACCCAGGCTGGAGTAATCTTCTTGTAGTGCACTCCTTCCTACTGCCAGCTCATAGTCATTTCTCAGGCCAGCTTCCTCCGTTGCTACATTCCAATCTCATGCTTCTAACTCAGTGGGGTTTTGGAGTCACATGGCCTTAGCCTGGGGTTCTGCTGCCCACACGAAGTGGGGATGGGTTGTGCCAAACAACTCCCCTACTTCCTTCTCCTGTCCTGCATCCATCGCTCCTTGGGGAGGCTGCACCAAAACCTGCCATCACCCCTGCTTAGGGGTCTAGTTTCCGTTGTCCACAGGACTTCACCTTCAGCCTTTTTCCACTGAAAGAAACTGGCTTCTACCCACAGAGTTGAGATTTTGTTGCCTACTTCCACAGAGGGAGAAGGTAGACTTGCTTGGGGGAAAAAAGAACATTCTCTTATTCCAAGCCAGTATTTCCAATAATTACATGCAATGGTAAATGGAATTGGGAAAAGTGAATTACCTTTAATTAAGGAGTCTTTTATACTTAAAGTACATCCTAGGGAGCACATCCCTGGGTAATTAGAGGAGGAGGCTGAAATCTAGCGTGTTCTGTTTTGGGGCTTGGAATCCCACCAGGACCCTCCTGCTCATCAGCACAGTCCCTCTCATACTCATTTTCATGGGTCTGGCATCTGTTTCTGGGAAATGCTGGACAGCTGGAGACCTACTGTCCACTGGCCTTGAGGTACTACTCCAGCATCTCCTGCCACTGCACATATACTTGCATGATGCATTAGTCATATACCATTCCATAGCATATGAGCTTGTGGCAGGGTCAGGTGACTGGCCCATGTGGAGGGCTGTCTGTAACATGCCAGCACTGCTATACCACCAAAAAGACAAGTTTGGTCCATAGGGTAGTTGGCTCATGGGATTTGCCGAAGCATCTGGTCTAGCCAGGTCCCCAGGTTTGAAGAAAAGAGGGGCATAAGTGTATGGAAATCCTCTTTGGAGCTAACATTCATTTATCTATCTCTCCATTCATTTTTCCTTCCATCCACTCGTCTCTCCATCCATTCACTATTTCCACATACATCCACTTAGTACTCTCCAGTGGCTGCCAGGCTTTAGTCTAAATACTGAGGACAGAGAGGTAAGAAGCCGCTTCTGACCCCAGGAGCCTATGGTTGGGTGGGAAGACAGAGGAGGCCGTTGGCATAGGTAGCACAGCAAGGCCGTTGAGACGCTATCTCTGGAGGACTAGAGCCTCAGGCCCATATCATAACTACTCGGGGAGGGTGATGCCAGAGAGGACTGAGGCCAGTGCAACCAAGCAGCTGGGGGTTGCTTGAATTGGACAGGGAGAAAATCAATCAGGGAAGTGGTGGAATTGGCATATACCCATCCAAACCGGTCAGGATGGAGGAGGCAGGCCTGCATGGCCTGTGAGGTCAGCTGACCCCTCACTGTTTTCCCATTCTGTGTTGTCTTTGCCATGTGGGTGCTCTGCAGTGTATAGGCTACTGTGCCCTGAGACTGAGAGAGATGGGTACCTGCAGGCTTGCACAGTTCAAGTGTTGCTGTCTTCTACATTAACTTCACCCTTCAGACCTGTGGAGGGTCCTCCTAACTCAGCCACCATGAAAGTGTGACTGATGGGTGTCCTGGCCTTCATCTTCTTCTGAACCGTTGTATAAGCATGGGATAGGTTCCTTAACCTCTGTGATCAGTCAGGTCCTATGTCTATTTAGGATATTTCTAGAATATCTAGCAGCTAGGTCAGCTAGGTCCACAGGCAGCTAGGTCAGGAAACCCAAATATGGAAGCTGCATCTTGATCTGTGGACGGTAGCACTGGACTGATGTGACTGGGTTTCAGGGCTGCAGAGGTTTACAAAAGTGAGCAGTGGGGCTTGATGAGCAGTCCTGATGTGGCTATTAGGACAGCTTTCTGCTCTCCTGATTGATTGATTCGGGCAGCCAAGTGTCAGGCCAAGTGGGCAGGACCAGAGCAATGGGGTGGTAAATAGACTACCGAGAAGATAGATGGATTGTTGTTCTTTAATCAGGCATTCTCTCAAGACATGGGGAACATCTTGACCTGGGATATCGCCACCCTCATCCCAGGCCCAGTAATGAGAGAATTAGCACATGCTGAAGAGCTAGAGTAACTGCTCAGGCTTGGAAGCAAAATAGAGGGTTTTCTGTGCAGCAAATCACTTTGAAACTAAATCTCCTTACTCCAGATGCACTCTGAAAATGAAAAGTCTGTTCTTTGTTTCAAATCTCCAAGAGACAGGAAGAATACTGGGATCAGACTGTGGCCTCTGGGGAGGATTTGATAGAATGCTCCCTGGTCTTGGCCTTGAAAACTGGAGGAGGTTCAAATCCTCAGGGAGACGTCCCTTGAGGACAAATGCTTTGTACAGGAAAGCACTCGTTAGATATGTACTGGAGAAAATGACTGGTTTTGCATGAATTTGGCTTTTAAAGGTCACTAGCATTAGCTCCCAACATAAAACCGTTGGAAGGGATTTAGAAATCACATAGACCAAGTCCATTTGACAGAAGGGGAAACTGGGGTCCAGAGAGTTTAGGTGACTTGCCTATGACCAGGGACACCATTGATTTACCATCTATCTCCCCACCGCCCATCAGTGATGCTTTCTGTATAATGATAGAAAAGGAGTAAATGAACCAGCTAAAAGTTTGCACTGTATCTCAGATTCACTTTGGATAAAAGTCTTATTACTGAACAAGCCAAGAGGTACAAGATTGAAATGTGGATTTTACATTTCCTGGAGGTTTCATGATTTCTGCATTGAGTGGGTACAATTAATCTATGTTCTTTGAGTGGTGAATTTTATTAAACCAGGTTTTCTCTGCCTCCTCAGACACTGACTGGTTAAATGACTTATAAAATAAACTTGCAGGAATTCTGCAGTTAGTGTTAGAATTGGTGTGCCCCATATTAGGCTCTACCCTTTTCTTATCACAGTCATTGTTTACCTACCAGATCTCCCAACCTAAGAGCCGCAGGAACATGTGGGCTTATCACAGAGCTCGGGTGTGTCCCCTTCCTGCAAGTATGCTTCTCCCACTATCCTCACCAGAGTAAGGTGTGAGGGGCAAGTTAGCCATTTGTAGCTCCAGTGAACAGTCCAAGCTCCACTGGGGTAGCCTCCCTAAGTCCTGCTTATATAACATGTGTGAGTTTACTTTTCACCCGTGGTGGGGTAGGAATGACAGAAAATTCTTTGACACATATCCAAAGAAGAGATGGTGCCCATTTCTCCTCCCTTTGAATCTGGGCTGGGCTGTGATTATTTTGACTAATGGACTGTGGCAAAAGTAACACTTTACCCGTTCCGAGTCTTGCCTTTAACAGCATGTGCTGCTTCCTCTTTGGTCAGTTCGTGCCCTGAGTAAACATGTAAGTCCTGCTCCTCTGCAAGAGGGGAGTACATAGAGAATCCCTGAAACTTCAGGGAGAGAGAGATAGGCCCAGTCTGGCAGCTGACCCTGTCAAGGTGCCAGGCTGCTGAGTTGGACCATTTTGGCTCCTTGAGGCCCCCTATGTCCGGAATTGGTGGGTTCTTGGTCTCACTGACTTCAAGAATGAAGCCGCGGACCCTCGCGGTGAGTGTTACAGCTCTTAAGGTGGCGCGTCTGGAGTCTGTCCCTTCTGATATTCAGATGTGTTCGGAGTTTCTTCCTTCTGGTGGGTTCGTGGTCTCGCTGGCTCAGGAGTGAAGCTGCAGACCTTCGCGGTGAGTGTTACAGCTCATAAAAGCAGCGTGGACCCAAAGAGTGAGCAGTAGCAAGATTTATTGCAAAGAGCGAAAGAACAAAGCTTCCACAGTGTGGAAGGGGACCCCAGCGGGTTGCCAATGCTGGCTCCAGCAGCCTGCTTTTATTCTCTTATCTGGCCCCACCCACATCCTGCTGATTGGTAGAGCCGAGTGGCCTGTTTTGTCACGGCGCTGATTGGTGCGTTTACAATCCCTGAGCTAGATACAAAGGTTCTCTATGTCCCCATCAGATTAGTTAGATACAGAGTTTCGACACACAGGTTCTCCAAGGCCCCACCAGAGCAGCTAGATACAGAGTGTCGATTGGTGCATTCACAAACCTTGAGCTAAACACAGGGTGCTGATTGGTGTGTTTACAAAGCTTGAGCTAGATACAGAGTGCCGATTGGTGTATTTACAATCCCTGAGCTAGACATAAAGGTTCTCCACGTCCTCACCAGAGCAGCTAGATAGAGAGTGTCGATTGGTGCACTCACAAACCTTGAGCTAAACACAGGGTGCTGATTGGTGTATTTACAATCCCTGAGCTAGATATAAAGACTCTCCACGTCCCCACCAGACTCAGGAGCCCAGCTGGCTTCACCTAGTGGATCCCGCACTGGGGCTGCAGGTGGAGCTGCCTGCCAGTCCTGCACCGTGCGCTCGCATTCCTCATCCCTTGGGTGGTCGATGGGACTGGGCGCCGTGGAGTAGGGGGTGGTGCTCCCGTCGGGGAGGCTCGGGCTGCACAGGAGCCCACGGAGTGGGTGGGAGGCTCAGGCATGGTGGGCTGCAGGTCCCGAGCCCTGCCCCGCGGGAAGGCAGCTAAGGCCCGGCGAGAAATCGAGCACAGCGCCAGTGGGCCGGCACTGCTGGTGGACTCAGTACACCCTCCGCAGCCACTGGCCCGGCTGCTAAGTCCCCCCTTGCTCGGGGCCAGCAGGGCTGGCTGGCTGCTTCGAGTGCGGGGCCCACCAAGCCCATGCCCACCCGGAACTCAAGCTGGCCCGCAAGCGCCGCACGCAGCCCCGGTTCCCGCTCGTGCCTCTCCCTGCAAGCTGAGGGAGTGGGCTCCAGCCTTGGCCAGCCCAGAAAGGGGCTCCCACAGTGCAGTGGGGGGGCTGAAGGGCTCCTCAAATGCCACCAAAGTGGGAGCCCAGGCAGGGGAGGTGCCGAGAGCAAGCGAGGGCTCTGAGGACTGCCAGCATGCTGTCACCTCTCACCCCCAGCCACCAACTGAATACATTGAGGGACTGTAGTCCCTGCCACATGGAGCAGGAGAATTCCTCTGCCAATTACCAACCTCTGTCTGAATTCCTGACCTGCAAAATCTTTGTAGATAACAAAAATTTGAGTTTGGAGTCAAGTTTCTTGGGTTTAAATCCACACTCTGCCACTTACTTGCTGTGTGTTCTCAGGCAAATGCTGTTCATCTCTGAAACTTGATTCCACCATCCATATCTGGGGTAATAATACTTTCCTTTCAGGAGATTCGAGATACATACACTATAATGTGGTATAAAGGGCCTGGCATGTAGTAAGTGTGCAATAAGCCCAAGCTGATCTTTGGAATTTTCTCAGCCACCCAGAATTCTATCAGGCAGGGGTGTCTTAGGAATAGCTCCCCACATGCAGTGTGACATCCTCAGAGCAGCCTGGCTTGTCCTCTTGGGGACCTGCAGCATTGGGAGGGATGGGCCATGCAGAGACACAGAGCCCTGGGGCTGGGGGGCATTTGGTAAAACAGGCCCAGCCCTGACCTGCAGGAGTGTGGGACTGACCCTGGATTTGTAGATGAGACACACCTGTGTCCACATGCGTGTTTGTGTGCCCTTGCACAGACATGTGCACACATCAAAGGGAAGGAGAAGGAGCTGCTGTTGAGGATGTTCAGCCCAATAAACATGGCTGTGAGGGGTCCTGAAGCCAGGGGTTGTGAGAACTCAGGGAATCATGTCATAGCCCTGGCAGGTCACTGCTCTGCCCGGCCTCAAAGATACTGCAAGAGAAAGCTCTTTCTAAACTGTAAAGCATTCTATGTGTGCAAGGTATTATTCTTAATAGCGTGACAAGGAGGAGGAGGAGATAGAGGAAGTGGATGAGGAGAAATCCGCCTGAATCCTCCTGATAACAATTTTACATCTATAATTCCTTCCCCTTCCTACCACATCGGAATTTTATGGGGGATTAGTGAGCGTCCAGCTGCAGAAGGCCTGGAGCCCCTTAGGATAAGGCTCAGCTAGGACTTTATTTAATGAATCCCCTTAGAGGGGATTTTCTTTTGTGGTGGAAAGTTCCCTGCTGGTAAAGGATATATTCCACCACCTGGGGCCTCTTCCCTGGGCTCCTGTAAACCAGAAGAGCAGGGATGCATCCGCTCTGCAGTGTGTAGTGGTGGGCGTGCTAGCCAACATACTGAGAACTTTCAGCCTGCTATTCTATTTTCTCTCTTCTTGTTTTTGCCTCAGAGAGAATAGCTCCCAGTGCTTTCAACCCCCCAGCCTTCCCCCAAACCATAATGTGGTACTCCCTGGAGTTCACTTGTCTGGCTCAGTACCACTGGGATGCTGGGAGGCACAGTGTCTGGGGGGCCTTCTGTGACCCGTGGAAATGTGAGCTGTGATGCTGGTGTTCATGGCCTTCCTGTAAAGATACCTCCTCACATGGAGTTCCTCAAATGCAGGTATTCCAACTACACTTGTGCAAAGAACCCCATGGTCTCACTCTCTCCTGACAGCCCTGAGCAGGTTCACCCCTATGAAAATGAAAAGGAAGGTCCAGACTGCTGAGTACTATGGGCAAGAAGGTAGAGACTTGAAGCCTAAGATTTGAGACCCCAAATAGGATAGGGTTGCTAGCTAAAATATAGGATGCCAAGTTAGATTTGAATTTTAGATAAACAATGAATGCTTTTTTAGTATAAGTACGTCCCTGTTTTAGTCATTTTGGGCTGCTGTAACAGAATACCACAGACTGTGTAATTTATAATAAACAAAAATTTGTTGACTCATGGTTCTGAAGGCTGGGAAGTTTAAGATTGAGGGCCCACATCTGGGGAGGGCCTTCTTGCTGCGTCATCCCATGGTGGAAAGCAGATGGGCAAAGAGAGGGCACCTGCACACATGAGAGAGAGAGAGACAGAGAGCACACAAAAGAGGGGATTGAACTCCTGCTTTCATTTATTTATTTTCTGAGACAGGGTCTCACTCTGTCACCTAGGGTGGAGTACAGTGGCATGACCATGGCTCACTGCAGCCCCGATCTCCTGGGCAGTCCTCCCACCTCAGCCACCTGAGTAGCTGAGACTACAGGCCTGCACCACTATGCCAGCTAATTTTTTAAATATCTTTTTGTAGAGATGAAGTTTTGCCATATTGCCCAGGCTGGACTCGAACTCTTGGACTCAAATGATCCAACTGCCTCAGCTTCTCAAAGTGTTGGTGCTATGGTATGAGCCACCATACCCGGCCTCATCTTTTTATAGGGAACCCACTTCTGTGATAATATCCTTAATCTGTTCATGAGGGCAGAGCCCTTATAGCCTAATCACCTCTCATTTGGCCCCACTTCTCAACACTGTTACATTGGGAATTACATTTCTAAAATATGCTTTTCAGGAGACACATGCAAACCATAGCAGTCTCAAATGGATTTTTCACAAAGAACAGTATTTTAGTGTAAGTATGACCCACAAAATATTTAGGACATACATATATGAGTATATGAAAAAAAAATTCACTGTTTTGTGTGAAATTCCAGCTCAACTGAGTGTCCTATATTTTTATTTGCTAAATCCAGCAACCACCCTGCTGAGGAGGGCTGCCCCTCCTGCAGTGCTGGTGGTCTGGGTCTTGCTTATTGAGCTGAGTTTGTTGAGTTTGCAAGGCAGCCTTCACTGGGCTGATTGTTTCCTCTTGAAAAATTCACTTGCACTGAGGTTGGTGACTCTAGGTAGGTAAGGTGCTGCCTTATTATCTGGTCTGTCCAAACAGCAAGCTCATTATCCAACTGATCACAGGAAAATTCTCGTGACTCATACTCTAAGACCTCTTCCTAAAACATGTATGTATTTATTTATTTTTTATTTTTTATTTTTTTTGAGACAGAGTCTCCGTCTGTCGCCCAGGCTGGAGTGCAGTGGCGCAATCTCGGCTCACTGCAACCTCCACCTCCCAGGTTCAAGTGATTCTTGTGCCTCAGTCTCCCGAGTAGCTGGGACTACAGGCATACGCCACCATACCTCGCTAATTTTTTGTATTTTTAGTAGAGACAAGTTTCGCCACATTGCTATGGCTAGTCTTGAACTCCTGAGCTCAAGCAATCCACCTGCCTCAGATTCCCAAAGAGCTGAGATGACAGGTGTGAGCCATTGTGCCTGGCTCTTAAAGTATTTAAACAGCTCCCTATATCAAACTGCAAATGCCAGAGTATTGAATTTAAGGAAGTCCACTCCTAGGATTTTATTTTCTTGTGGATATCTTACACACATATCAAATAATAAATAATAATAATAATAGTAATAATAATAATAATAATGTGTGATATCTGAGCCCCTAAATACAGTTTGGTACTTTTCTCTGTAATCTTCTATCTGTTAGAAAGCCAGGTTCAGGCTTAATCAACGCTGGAATTGGGGTCTCCATCATTCCCAAATCTCAATTTCAGAGTGAGAAGCCCTCTATGAGAAAGGTCTGTGGGCCCGATGCCTTCCTGGGATGGAAGCCTGGAGTGAAGTCTCTCCCCAGCTTCAGCTCTTCTCTCTTCCTCCCTATACCTTTCCATACCATCTTCTCTGCTTTGACTATCAAGGAGCAGGCCTCACTGACCTCCCTGTCAGGTAATCACCTGTCTCTGTGTCTGGTTTGTGACTGCCTGAGGATTCCTTGCACCTGGTGCTCCCTCCACATAAGGTCCGGCTCCATCCTGATACAGACGTTCCTAAGATATATTCCTTTAGCGGAAGACTCTTGCATCCATAGAAATGCAGCTGCCTCTTCCACGGATGACACCTTCACAAATTCTTTCCCACGTTAGTGCTTGGGAAGGAAGAAGCAGGACAGAAGCTGACCTGCCTATTCCCTGAAGCCTGGAGGTAAGAGGTCAATGAAGGAGAGGCACTGAGATCAGGCCATGTTGGCCTCTCAGTGATCTTCACACAGCCCTGCCATGGAGCCTCCTGAAGACTCCACTCTTTGCAGGTCTGAATGTCAGGGCTGGGCTAATGAGAGAACAAATAGGACAGGCACTGATTAGCAGGCAGAGTTTGTATAATCAATTCCAGAACCATACATTTATCAGAAAATGGATTCTAATTAAAACTAAATTTGGCTCACTTACAAATCACTAACTTAAGGGGAATAAAAAGATTTGCCTCTGTTTATTGCAGCTTGCCAGGATGTGAAGGGGCAGACATTTCTGTATATGTCACAAGCATAGTGGGAGAATCCTGATGCTTTGTGGGGAGTCTGGTGGCTGCATTGTTACTGTAGCAGATAAAGGAAATGGAAGTCATCAGAAGGCAAGACCATCTCCTGAGGGTTTGCAAGTGTCGCCAAGCCATGCTTTCCTGGCAGGGAGTGGCTCTGCCTACATCTGCCCTGAGGGACCAGTCCCTGTGGGTAAAGGCCAGTATCCAGCCCTCAGCAAGCAGAGCAATTTCAGCTCTTCTTTGCAGCACATTGTGTGCTGCTGACTAGTGTGCTGCAAAGAAGAGAGGTTAAGAACACCAGCTTCATGGTCAGCCAGAACCAGTTCATAATCCCAATTCTGCTTACTTATTTTTGACTGTTTAATACGGAGCCCACTGCTTCACCTCTTTAGGTCTTAGTTTCCTGGCCTTAAATGGAGGCAAAATTATGCTTGTTTCATAGGGTTGTTGGAAAGATTAAACAAGATACCATAGGCAAAGGTCTCAGCACAATGTCTATTCTTGAGCAAATGCTTAATAAATGACACTGATTGTTCTTAGAAAATATATTAACTAGGTCTTTAATATCCTAACATATTTGGTTGTTTTTAAAGCGGTGTCTTAAAAGCTAAAATAAGCTGCCTACTCATTTCGAGTACATGTGAGTATTCCTAGCTGATGCATTATAGTATAGAAATGTTTTTTCCAATTTTTTTTCTTCCATAGTTTTACCTTTTGTATTTTCTTTGTTTGAGGCTTTTAATGTTTTCAGGCATCTCAGAATCAAGGCTGAGTATGAACAAGATAGGTTCCGGAGATGCCTGAGAAGTGCCGAGTAATTTAATGCTGCTGTAGCATAGTGGTGGTCAAAATGTGCCCACAGACCCCTGGGAGATCCTGTCAGGGTGATCTACAAGTTCAGAACTATTTTCACAATAACACTTAGAGATGCCATTGCCTGTTTCGGTGCATTGACATTTGTGTGGATGGTGTGAAAGCATTGATGGGTAAAGCTTTGTTCTGTCTGGCTATGAAACCAGTATTGCAATGACACCAAAATGCACTAGTAGTCATTGTTATCCTTTACACCAGTCACTGAAAAAAAAGAAAAAGAAAAAGAAAAAGAAAGCAAATTTTGCTGAAGAATGTCTTTGATAAACTAGTAAGGTTAGTGTTTGATTAAGTCTTTATCCTTGAATCCTTTTGACATTCTGTGTGATAAAATGATAAGTTCAAATAAAATACTTTTGCTGCATACTGTGGTATCATAGTTGTTGCAAGGACAAGCACTCGTGTGATTGAGTTGCAAGCTGAACTAGCCAATTCTTTTCATGGAATATTATTTTTCCTGAAATAACAATAAACATACACAAGCTGTGGGTATTCAGACTTGGATATTTGGAGGATATTTTCTTGAAAATGAAAGGAGTGAGTTTATCACTCCAAAGCAGACAACTGAAAGTGTTTGTTGCAAATGATTAAATTTGAGTTTTCAAGTGAAAATTGGAGCTTTGGGAAACTTGACAGCTTCCCACTATTTAAGAGTTGATATTAATGAATATGGGTTTTCCCATATTCATTATTTCCCAATGTATGATGTGACCAAATCAAGCCAGAGGTAAAAGTTCCATTGGAAGTTCAAAATAGATAAATGTATTTTAATGCAATATTAATGCAAAACTTTCATTGACTAGGTTTAAGATTCCACACTGCAACTTAACTTTTTGAGTTTTGGTGTAGTAGCAAAGAATATTCCCAATTATCTGAAAGAGCTATTACAGTTTGTTTCCGTTTTTCAACTACATATGTATTTAAGATGAATTTTCTTCATGTAATTTAACGAAAATAACATATTACATCAGGCTCAGTCTGGAAGCAAAAGTGAGGCTATAGCTGTCTTCTACTGAACCAGGCATGAAGAGATTTGCAATGCTGTAAAACCCAGTTTTCTCGCTGTTTTATGAAAATAGTTATTTTTCATAAAAATATGTTCTCTGTGTTAATATGTAATGAGTTTATTATTGGAGTCTGATAATTTTCAAGAGTGAAAAGAGCCATGAGACCAAAAAAGTTTGAGAACTGCTGCTCTAGCAAGTGCTTTGTTCTTTCTAAACTATAGCTCTTGCTACGTTGTATTGTCATTGTCGCATGTGAGCTTCTATTACTAGCTGGTCACACAAGCTCCTTGAGGATCTCTTCTTCTTTTTGTTTGTATCCATATCAACCAGCACAGGGCAGTATATGTTTGGTAAATATTTAATGAATGGGATAATGCATGTTTGATCGTCTTAACATCTATAAAAATTCCTCTTGGCCTACAGGATTACCTGAAATAATATCAGGTTTCAACAGAGACTCTACTGTACAAGAGACCTGGTTCCCATTTACATCTACCCCTTGGTGTCTGTGTGTTTGGGCAAGTTATACAATTTCTAGTCTAAAATATTAATCCTTCAATTGAGAAATACAAATTCCCCAGTCCCAGGCGAGACTAATTAAGTCAGAAATTCTGGGGGTGGGGCCGAGCAATCTGTGTCTTAACAAGCTCTCCAGGTGATTCTGATGTCCCCTAAAGTTTGAGAACTTCTGTGCATCTTTTATTCTCCTCTAACATGGGAAATATAACCCTTACTCTGTGAAGTTACTTGCAGATTACATGAGATAACACACATAAAATGCTTAGTGACAATGCCTGAACACTCGATAAGCAGTACCTATTCTTATTGTAAAAGGCAAGGAAACACAGACTATTTTTTATTTTACTGAACTCTTTCCTTGCCCACAGCCACAGCCCCTTGTTCACATTCTGTGGCCCTGAGCTTGATGTAATGAGTCTGACTGAGTTGGAGAGAGTAGAGGGACCCAGGAAGCTGAGGAGGATAGTGTGTGGCCAAGGCCCCGAGGCTTATGTTTTCTTCTCTCCTTGATGAAAGCCTGTTGACCATTAGCCCGGCAGGTTCACTTCTCCTACATAGTGAGGGACAGCGCACAACAGTCCAATGAACTCAAAAAAGGCCCTGATGGAGGGAGAGAGAGGAAAAGAAGTGACAGCTTACAGAGAGGTCAAGAGAGGAGAAATGCTGGGCAAATTAGAGCAAGTAACCTTTGCAGATGGCAGCTGGGGAAACAGAAGGTGAGAAACTGTCATTCCAAATTGCAACTTTCACAAGGAGAATGAATCAGTACCTTGGCAGACAGGTGCCTGAGTTTCCCAGTGTCATACTCTCCAGCCTGGCTTCTCAGAGGACCCATTCCCGTGACCCTGTTAAAGGTCCATTGGCATCTGCAGGTCTTCTTGTTAATTGGAAAAGCATCGAACTGCACAGCCAGCAAAAGCCCATTGAGGATTCAGGGCCTCTGCAGGACTGACTGACCTATTAACTGCTTCCCTGCCTGCAGCTCTCAGCTTTATGTACTCAGAGGTCCCCGAGGCTGTGTGCTTTCTCTGTAGTGCATTGATTCTCTCATTCATCTACTCCGTTTATTCATTCATTCACTCATTCATTTCTCTGTTTATTTGTTTCTTCCCTTAACAAACATTTACTTACACCCTTGTGACAGTTTCTTTTTACTGTAGGCCAGTGCTTCTAGAACAGAAGCAGTTTTCCATCCTTCCCTTTTGAGATATTTGGCCATGTCTGGAGACATTTTGGTTGTCAAAACTGGAGAGTATATTGACAAATGGTGGAGATGATGCTGTTACACACCTTAAATGCACAGGACAGCCCCTCCCCCTACAACAAATAGTTATGTGACCCCAAATGTCAATAGTGTCAAGGTTGAGAAACCCTGCCATAGATGAAAGATGGACATTTGTGGGTTACAAAGGGATTGAATAGGCAATGGAGAGAGCAGATATTGACCACACTGGCAAGATGGGCAGTGAAGAGCTAGAGACAGTGGAGTGATGGCTCAAAAAGGAAGCACAGGGAAACTGAAGGGTGCTCTAAGAGTCAGTGGAGGGCAAGGGTGGAGGTGCTGGGAAGGAGGAGGGAAGGGAATCCTCCCTTAGTCCCTTTTCTGTCTGAGTCTCTTTCAAGTCTTAAAAAAAATACTCTTTTTTTTTTTTTCTTTTTCTTTCTTTCTTTTTTCTTTTTTTTTTTTTTTTTTTTTTTGAGATAGGGTCTCACTCTTCCAGGCTGGAGTGCAGTGGCACCATCACCAACATCATGGCTTACTGCAGCCTCGACCTCCTGGGCTTGGGTGATTCTCCCACCTCAGCCTCCCCAGTAGCTGGGACTATGGGTGTGTGCCACCATGCCTGCCTGTTTTTTGTAATTTTACTAGACATGGGGTTTCAGCATATTGCCCAGGCTGGTCTTGAACTTCTGGCCTCAAGCAGTCTGCCTGCCTAGGCCTCCCAAAGTGCTGGGATTACAGGCATGAGTCATTGCATCCTTCCAAAAATACTCCCCTCTTGCCAAGGTCCCATAAATTAGATTTGAAGCAGATGTCATGAAGCATTAGGGAGCAGAGTAGCCAAGTCATCACCACACCTGCCCCTCGTGCACGCACATGCTGGCATCTAGCCACATCTGGCATGCAGTGGGCACCATGTTCCTGGGTCTACCTCCATACTAGGGCTGAGTGGACTTTGCTAAAGGGCCACTGTGTCTTCTGCTTCTTCCAGCTTTGTGCCTCATCCTATGAGTGTCTGTTTCAGGAGATGTTAGAACAACTCAAATGCCCAACCAATAGTCAGTTAATTCCTGCTTGCTTCATCTGTGGGCTTTGTTGCTAAGCACACATTGCTGGTGTGTGTGAGGATCTGTAGAGCTGGGAGTTCTAGCCCCTGTGGATGCTTCCTTACAGCCTCAGAAGTGGGCTATCTATTACCCTATAGAAGGTGCCTTTGGCCATCACAGTCCACTGGCTTTTTTGGGATCTAAGTGGAGCCGCCTATTCTGCAAACACTGCCTTCTGTTTCCTTCTTCCCCGCCACTGGGCTGCATCCATCATTGAGCAGGTGAGTTAGAGAGATGCCTTGCCATTGAGATTTTTTGCTGTCTTTAAAAGCACCTCCTTGCCTGAATATTTGAATCAAATTACATCTTTAAGCCACTTAATGTGTTCTGATGATCTATTGTCTAACAAACGCATTGGCTAAAAACAACGTTAATCATGTCATTATTTCTCACGGTTCTGAGAGTTTGCTGGGCTCAGCTAGGCACTTCTTGCTCACCTTCTTTTGTGCAATTGCAGTCAGATGATGGCTGAGGCTGGGGTCGTCACAAAGGCTTCTTCACTCACAGATCTGATGGTTGATGGTGGCATCAACTGAGAACTCAGCTGGGGCTATCTTTCAGAATACCTGCACCTGTCCTCTCCCTGTGACCTGGGCTCCCTCACAGCATGGTGGCTGGATTTCAAAATGGAGCATCCCAAGAGACAGGAATTGAATGCCACCAGTTTCTTAAGGCCTTGGCCTAGAAACTGGCATACCATAGCTTCCATTATATTAGGTTGGTTAACCATTTACAGAACCCAGATTTAAGAGAGGAGGCATAGACCCCACTTCTGGAAAGGAGGAGTATCAGGTACTTTGGGGACCAGGTTTTGATACCTCTTTATAATATGTGATCAGAGAAGTCCTGAGCACCAATTTTGAGTTGGTTTCTATGTGAGGACACAGGTGACGAAACCAGGCCTCCTGTCCATGAGGAACGCACAGCTTGTGGACTAACTTCTGGACCTGTGAAGTCTGTGCTCTGAGTGTTTTTCCTGTTGGAAACATGAGATAGGGCAAAAGCTGGCTGGTCCCTGATGTTGCTCTCCTTTATGCTTCCAGTGGTACCCCGGGACCCTGAGGAGCCCCACCCTGGGCATGGTGCCTGCCTCCTCTTACCTTTTTGTCTTCACAGCCAAGGCATTTTATTTGAAGTTTAAGGTCATGTGCAGTTTGTTTCCTGTTGCTGGCATCCAAATTGATATAAATCATTGACTAAAGGCAAGTTAGAGGAAATGATATAGAGATACATTCAAGACAGCATGTATACATGACTAATATGGATGGCCGATTGAGGGGATCTTCTAGGATTAGATTACACATGATTTTGCTTTATTTGATGACTTTAGATCCTAACCTTTTGAGTTAGACGTGACTCTCTTGAAAATGTAATGACCACCTACAGCCACTGTTATTCTGTAAAAGTCACCTTGATCCCCATGCCCCAAATGGTAAGGACATAATGTACAGCATAGTTCTTTAAATTAAAATAAACTTATATGTTTAAAAAATATATTGCATTTGTCATATTTTTGCCATCATATTGCAACACTGACAAGTGTTGTGGGCATTGTCTTCCTGGTGCTCATCCTCTTCGTGTGGGAAGGTGAGTGGCTTTTGATTACCAGGGCCTGGTTTCTGCTTTTTGCTGCTTTGGGCATGATAAGGTTTGGATGTTTTGTCCCCTCCAAATCTCATGTTGAAATGTGACTTCCAATGTTGGAGGTGGGCCTAATAGGAGGTGTTTTCGTCATGGGGCTGGATCCCTTTTGAATGGCTTGGTGCTGTCCCCATGGTAATAAGTGAGTCCTCACTCTGAGTTCAGGTGAGCTCTGGTTGTTTAAAAGAATGTGGCACCTCCCCCATGCTCTCTTGCTTCCTCTCTCGCCATATGACACGCCTCCTCCCCTTTCACCTTCTGCCAGGATTTGGTAAGCTTCCTGAGGCCTCACCAGAAGCAGATTGCAGTACCATGCTTCCTGTACAGCCTGCAGAATCATGAGCCAACTAAACACCCTTTGTGTGTGTGTGTGTGTGTGTGTGTGTGTGTGTGTTTAAGAACGGAGGTTTAATAGACAAAAGAAAGAGAAAGGAGAATAGCTCCTTCTCCTGCAGAGAGAGAGGGGCACCCAAGTGGGTCTTCCCTAAACCTCCTTTTTTAAAATATAAATTACCCAGCATTAGGTATTTCCTTATGGCAACACAAGCAAACCAACACAGGACCTTGCCTCATTTCGTGAGTATTTGCCTCAGATCCACTGGTAGTAGCTAATAGAATAATTCAAATGTCCAGCCACCCATGATATCTAAGAGTCCTTCTATCCCTTACTTTCTGGGGCTCTGTTATCTTACCTTTGAGAACTGCTATAAGGAAGGGAAATAAGAAATCCAACAAGCTAGATTGGCAGGGTCATTTCATTCTAGCCCACCTTTGCTCTGGGCCTGGGTGCTGACCACCTTCCAAAGTTTATTTTTTCTTTGAAAACTTAAAGCAAGACAAAGGCACCAAGGTGATTATTTCCTAATAATAAATCCCCCAAACTGCTTCCTATCACTCTATTAATAACTTATTCCTTGAAGGTTTCCTCTCTGAAATTTAGGAATGGCTCAAGCAAGCTGTCATCCTTCTAAATGGTTTCTGATCATAGCTTCAAGATTGATTAGTAACTGCTCTCCTATTTCTCCCCACCTGGAGGCATCTTTGAGAGCAACATGCTGAAAAGATGACAACAGCAGGACCTAAGGAATTCATAAATGGCTTTGACTGCGTGGGTTTTGATGAGGCAATATGGAAAATGATTGCATTAAGTATTGCTATTTATTTACTTGACTTTGTACAGGACAATCAATTTTTTCACGTTCCATGCCTCCTGTCAGGAAGTTAAACGGCAGAGAAGGCAGACTGGAGGCATTACCTCATTTCTCTAAGAGATGCTGTCACTCCTCAAATCACCTTAGAATGTTGTTAATAACAGCATCTTTCATTCCTATCCACTGAGGGAGTAGAGATTCTCCCTTCACAAAGAAAGGACACTGAGGAAGGCGAGATATGACCAGGAAAAGATGAGCTAATTTTTTCATGAACTATATAAAAATCTACTTCTGTAGGTCAATTATTGGCAATTTTATATAGGTAACCCAATAATGTAACACATGACTTTGTCAGTATAATGTTAATCTGTCCTAGGAAAGCAAGATTTGGCTCTATTTGAGCATTTAGAGAAAAAATTCCAGACCCTTGTAGAGAAAGCTGGTCAATGTTTAGCCTTGGTCAGAGCAGATATCAAACTGGAGTTATATAAAGAGATATGGGTCAGAGGCTGAACTGGACCCATTGAATGAACTTGATGGAACAGTGAATGCATTTCTGGTGTGTGTCGATTGAATATTTTGGGGAATTCTGGAAAATTGATCAGAATGATTGATGGCTCCTTTAAGATGGTCTCTTGAGTTTGAATATCAAGCTCTGGAAATCAGGCTCCTGGGTTAGAAGAAAAGGCTGGTTAGAGAAAGAGAAAAAGGAAACAATGTTTGCTTTTTATTTAAGAGGTGAAGTGTGGAAGAGGGAAGCTGCTTAGTCATGAGGTTTGAATTTGAGTTTAGGCTCTGACAGCACTGTGGCCAAGTCATGGTGTCTCCAAGGATCAGCTTTCTTTCTCATAAAGAAACCTTATAAAAATATAAATGGCCAAGCGCAGTGGCTCACACCTGTAATCCCAGCACTTTGGGAGGCCGAGGCGGGCGGATCACGAGGTCAGGAGCTCACGACCATCCTGGCTAACACGGTGAGACCCCATCTGTACTAAAAATACAAAAAATTAGCCGGGCGTGTTGGCTGGCACCTGTAGTCCCAGCTACTCGGGAGGCTGAGGCAGGAGAATGGCGTGAACCCGGGAGGCGGAGCTTGCAGTGAGCCAAGATCATGCCACTGCACTCCAGCCTGGGCGACACAGCGAGACTCCGTCTCAAAAAAAAAAAAAAAAAAAAAAAAAAAAAAATATATATATATATATATATGTGTGTGTGTGTGTGTGTGTGTATATATGTGTGTATATATATATATGTGTGTATATATATGTGTATATATATGTGTGTGTATATATATGTGTGTGTATATATATGTGTGTGTGTGTGTATATATATATATATATATATATATATAAAGTTGGTGTGTTGGTTAATATAATGTGTCACCTTGGGAGTCCATGGTATCCAGATATTTGTTCAAACATTATGTTAGATGTTTAGATTTTAGATGTTTCTAGGAAGGTATTTTTTAGATAAGATTAACATTTAAAAAAAAGTCTCAACACGTAGAAATGATAAATACTCAAGGTGATGGATACCCCCAAATATCCTGACTTGATCATCACACACTCTATGCATCTAACAAAATATCATATGGAGCCCATAAATATGTAACATACTATATATTATTCTTTTTAAAAAGGAAGGAGAAGAAAACAGTTTGGCAGTTACTCAATAAGTTAAATATATAGTCACCATAAGAAAAATTGGAAACTTTATGAGACCTTTTGGGAACTGGTTTAAGGTGAGATTTTTAATGTGGAGGTTTAATTAGAATGGTAAGGATCAGGATGTAACAGTGTAAGACTGGCAACACAGCAAGATGAAGATTTTGAGATGAGGTCTTTGAGGGGAGTCTTAGCATATCAATAGTTGTTTGATGCTCTCTGTATATGCATCTTTTGTTTTCTTGGGCAATTGTTTCCTGACATAGCAGTCATGTTGATGAAAATATAGTGGCAAGTGAAGAGATGCTATATGAAGATGGTCAAATAGTAAAGTTAAGCTGGGCATGGTGGCTCACGCCTGTAATCCCTGCACTTTGGGGGGCTGAGGTAGCAAGACCACTTGAGGTCAGAAGTTTGAGAACAGCCCAAGCAACATAGTGAGACCAGTCCCTGCAAAAAAGAATTTTTTCAAAAATATCTGGGTGTGGTGGCACGTGCCTATAGTCCTAGCTACTTGGGAGGCTAAGGCGGGAGGATAGTTTGAGCCCACGAGTTCAAGGCCGCAGTAAGCTATGATTGCTTCACTGCACTCTAGCTTGGGTGACAGAATGAGATCCTGTCTCTAAATATATATACATGTGCATATGTGTGTCTGCATATATATATATATATACACACACACACACACACACACACACACACATAGCATTATTTATATGACAAATTTATATCATATAATTACCAAAATATTGACATTAAAATTAGATTTTAAAGCAGATTATCCCCCATAATGTAGATGGGCCTCATCCAATCAGTTGAAAGCCTCAAATTAAGTTACAAAAAAGACTCCAAAAAACAAAGTTTACCTCCTCCAAGGAAGAGGAATTCTGCCAGCAGACTTCCTTTGGACTTGAACTGTAACTCTTCCCTGGGTCTTCAGCCTGCCAGCCTACTGTGCAGATTTTGGACTTGCCAGTCCCCACACTTGCATGAGCCAATTCTTTATATATATATATTCCTTTATCCAGCTGTATTTTTCAGGAGATATATATATCAAAGTTCAGAGAACTCTGAGTAAATGCTTAGAAAGGGGCGCTGTATGCTGAACGTCTCACTTCACTCTGCCCTTGTAGGCCTCAGATAGCATCACTCAGGGGTGAAGGAGGCAACTGTCCAGAGCACAGAGCACAGCCAGCTAACCCCCCCATTATTGTTGTATCAATAGCCGTGCTTATCTGTGGGGCACCTCAGACTTCTTGCAGCACCAGCTAGCACGGATGTTAGCTCATAGGATCTTCACAGATTTATTATAAAAGATTTATATTGTGGACATATTTATTGCTATTTTTTCCAGACACAACACAGTTTCCACAAATATTACGTATTCATTCCTTATAAACTCAAATTTATTATAGACTTAGCTTTTTTGCCTCTGCATGGGTTTTATCCCTTTCCTTTCTATGTGTTATCCTCACCTTAAAAGTGCTTCCTCCAAAGGCCTGCATTTGTCCTTACACTTCCTTCCCTTATACCACCTATGCTTTCATTTTTGTTCAAATTTTTAAAAATTTAGTATGAAATTAACAGATGCCTACTGTCAAAAATTTGAAAAGTGAGACATAATGAAGAAGTAGGCAAAATAGTACCCATAATTCTATTAATATTTTGGTCTATTTACTTTAACTTGTAGCCTCTTTATCCAGTTTACTATCATTTTGTACCCAACAATCTATTCTAAACATTTTGATATTAAAAAAATCAAGAACCTTATTTTTAATGTCTGCCCATTTGGCGGTCTACCTTTGGGTATAATATCATTTGCTAAACGGTTCCTATAATGTTGGACATTTGGTTTGTATCTGTTTTTCAAAAAATGATTATGCATAACACTTCAAAGAACATATTGTCCTTAAATCTCAGTCTGCCTTTTGGGTTAAATATTTAGGAAAGACACTCGATCATAACACCGGCTCACATCTCTCAGGCCCTCCCGTGGGCCAGCCCCTGTCTGTGCTGAGAGCTGTGCCTGTGCTTGCCCAGGTGTTCCTAGCAGTTGTCTTAACAGAACTCATACCATGATCCCCATTTTTTCAGATGAGAACACCAAGGTACAGGAAGATAAGGTGGTTGGCCCTTGTCCACAATGGCCATCAGCTAAAAAGCAGCAGAGCTCTTTGAACCTGGGCAGTCTGCTCCTGACACACGTCACCACTCACTAGGTTGAGGGCCTGGGCATCTTCCAAGGCTTCCCATACAGATCACCAAGTTGCTTTCTAAAAGGTAGTCCTGGTAAGTCCCTGTCCTGAGCGAACCTGTCTTGTCATCCTTGTTCACACCCGGGGTTGTTGTGGGAGGATGAACAGGGTCACACGTGTCAAGTCGCAACACAAGCCTGGCACTTGGTAGGTGCCCACAAAAGACAGCTGCTGTCATTTCTAGGGTGAAGGCTGTCACCACACAGGTCTGAGTATGGGCTCATCTTCATGGCCTTTAGGAAGGCTCTTTCCTACTCTCTGTATCTGTGCACCTTCCTGTCCTGTGACCAGAGGACAGGGAAGCAGGAAACACAACAGTGTTTACCTGGGCTCTCTTCCACCTGGGGGCTTCCCTCACACCACCCTCTGTTCTGGCCCAGAACTCTTCCCTGACTTCCTCCATCTTAGCACTGATGGCCCACCTATCAGACCACTTACTCACAGGAGAAGAAAGACTGTCCATTTCTGAGTCCAGGCTGTCAGTTACCAAGTTATTGTACTGTCAGTTAGCCTGCACACCAGTGTGGAACATCGGGCTTCTTTCAGCAGATCCAGAGCTTTCTGCCTGCAAAGCCCCCATAGGGCTGGTGGCTACCACTGTGCATGAAGAAGGTAAGGCTCCCTTCTGTGGAGCTGGTGCTCTGGGAACCTGCTCACCCTCCGTGGCCTCCTCTGCCTGCCAGGCCGCATCATCTCTCCGTCAGGCTGCGTCATCTCTCCATGTGCTTGACACACCCTTCCCCTGTTCGGGCAGAGCAGCCGTGCTGGGCTCTCTTGGGATACACCCTTCTCAGCAGGTGTTTGAACTCTCTAGAGCCTCTAAAAGGGCCTGTCACAGGCAAAGCTGATGTGATGCTCTCTGTTTTACCCTTGAAGCAACAGATTCCCTAGAAGGGCCAGCACTGGCATGGAGACTCACTCAGGTGGTGCTGACTGTGCCCTAGGGCACTTCTGAGCAAAGGCAGGCCCACAACCAGGCAAATGTTAGATAGCAACATCAAATCCAGAACTCAGAGAAAGAAGTTAAATTCATCTCTCTATTCTACTGCAGTCTCATTAGATTTCCAATAGATTTCATGCTTCCAAATGTATTTTCCACACAAAGATGCTTGGGGTTTCTTGGAGCCCTCGCAGACGAGACAGGTGGGAGGGAGGAGTGGCTGTGTGGTAGGAGGCTGGGCTCTGGGAGTAGGGACACTTGTAAGCAGAGCCTGAGGTGTAGGGGAGGCATCCAGGCGGTGAGCCCCAAGGGCTGCCATGCTGGGAGAAGATTCTTACCCAAGTGCGTGTTATTCAGGGCACCTGCTCCTCCCCAGCTCAGCTCATCACCCACCTACGTAGAATGAAAGGACATCTGTTATGCAGAGTGGCAGTATGGAGAGTCCCCTCTGGGCCTGCTCAGTGAACACCCCCCTAATAAATTTGTTGCTGGATTCAGACCTCAAGCACATCACAGCCACATTCTTCCTGCTGCCTCTGCTCCCAGAATCTGGTGAGGAGGGGGCTGGGGAAGGAGCCTGGGCAAGCCAAGGCTTCATGGTTGCAAAGATGAGCTCCAGATGCCATGTTCAGCCCAGGATATCTTTAGAGAGTGTCTTTCCCAGCAGGAGTCCCCGGATAATGAAGGCTTATAGGAGAAAGAGAAGAAGTCACAGGCCTGATGAAAGGGATGGAGAGGAGACTCCATGGGAGGAGACCTGTGATTCCTCAGTGTCCACCACTGAGGCCAGCTGGCTCATTCCATATTCTGCTCTCTGGACAGCAGCACTTGCCTCTCTTCTCTTCTTTTTCCTTTCCCACTTTCTTTCCTCTCATTATTCTCTTCTTCTTCCCCAGTGGAAGGGCCAGGGTCTCTGCTGGGTTCTTCCCATCTGTGATGCTCACTGATGTCCACTTGTCCTGCCTTCTTCCCTCTCTATAGAGTCAGGCAGTCTGGGTTCTGGCTCCCTTGCCCCGCTCCTCAGAGGGGTCCTGTCCCTTTTATCTCCAGTGCTTTGGCTACTCTCACTTTTTTGCAGGTTCTCTGAGTATGGTGGCCATATTTTCCAATCTCGATGTCAGATTCCTTGACTTGTGTGCACATATGTCATAGGTATGTGTATACATACAAGGTACATATACTGCATACATATGTGTACATATATCTGTATGATACATGAAAGCGTGTCCTATGTTGCATTTACTGAAAGTCTCAGAAAACCTAGCCAGCGGGATTGAGCCTCCACCTGCTCAGGCCATTGTGGGAGCCTTTGTCTTTTAGGTTGGCTTCATTTTAGCTCCCTTAGTTTAAGCGAGTTTATTTTTCTCTCTCAACTGGAAAATCACATTTGATCAGCTGTAGACAGCAGTCAGATACTGAAACATTGGGATTTTGCCCAGAAGGCAACCCCTGTAAAGCTGGCGTGGGTTCTCTGAGGCAAGATGGGACCAACAGGGAGACACATACAGACTGAGGGGCCATGAGTCAGGTGGACTGCGGACAGATACAGATGGGGAGACAGGAATGAGACTGGAATAAAGCCAAACTGTGCTGAGCACTGGAGCCATGAGCTTCTGGGTTTGGGATGGTGCATTCTGTCTGCCTCACTGTCTCCCTCATTCCTCTGCTCTAGTCACAGTTGATGAATGTGGCAGAGGGTGAATCAGAGCACTAATATTTGACCCATCTGCTATGGGACATGCTGTGAATGGGAATGGCGGCCCGCCTGGCAGGTGGTGAGCTCTGCCCACCTCTCCTCTCCTGTCCCTTCCCTGCTACGAATGGGCCCCTGTACATCCTGGGGAGGAGGAGGGCCAGGCCACAATAGGGGCTGTATATCTAGCTTGTCTTTACCACCATTCCAGATCTCAAGGTTACTGCTCTCCTGCTGCTGTATAAAAGGTCTCCACATTGTCACTGGGTCTCTGTCCACATAAACCTCTTGGGTACACACCTCAGTCCACAATCCTGAGGGTGCTCCCATTCAACCTTCTCATCCTATCTTCATGGGCAAGTTCAAAGTCTTTAAAAACACTTCACTTGCTAACATCCCCAGCATGTGAAGCTTTACCTGTTCCTTCAACATTGACTGTTCCCTGCAGTACAGCTGGGGCCCAGTCAGAGCATCCTCTGCTCCACAGAGCTCTTCTGCCTCCGGCTACATGGGGATTCTGCAGAAAGGGATTCATGTTCATACAGATGAGCGGCTTGTAGGTGGGTTTCTTCCCTGCAGGGCTCCTCCAACATTTTCTTATTACGGTGTACTTTTTAAGTCACCAATGGAGGGTTTAGTATGAACCCTTTCCTAACCTTAATTTGCCATAGGAAGATTTTATTCTCAGAACACTCAATGACACCTCACAGAATACAATTTGGAGAAGGGGTTTTGGAGAAAACAACTGGTTTTTAAACTACTCACTCAAGCTTGTGAAAATCAAGTGTGACAGATATTATCAAATAAATCATATCAGCAAATATTTCTCATGTGTCTTCTATGTACAGCATATCAAGTTGATCCCCGATGTGCAGCAGATTCTTCTGTACAGATTCTATTCTGTGGTAAAACTGGGGAACTTATGTTCCCCTTCTCAACAAGTTTACTTCTGAAGTAGAAAAAATTTTACTACAGAAGGAGCCCTTTCTGGGTGAAACACAATTATTTACTGCTTCACAGCTACTAAGCTGGCATTTGGAATTCAGGTGTCACTGAGAGTGCCTGAGTACCATGTTATCTGGAATATTATGACATGGGTCACTTTTCTCCTGGAGGGTTGGTCCCTGGCGGCTCACCCCATTACAGGAAGGTCTTCCAATTTGCCATTACTTGAGGAGTGAACTCCCACCTGCTTGAAACAACTCAAGAAGGGGTGAGAGAAAGAGGGGAGGGAGAGGGGGAGGGAAAGGCAGGAGAATGATTACATGGAGAGTGGAATGTGAGGCAACCAGTGGGAGCTTTGGGAAGCAATTGTTGCTGGGTCTCCCACCTTGACTGTTGGAGTTCGTTGACTGTGATGGGTACAGGGTTTTTACCTGTTTCAGGTGTGGTGGATATTTGCTTAATAATGGGATTTGATGCAGGTGGTGATTATTTGGACACAACAAAGTATACATTTCATTCCAAATAGCATCCCAGGGTCTTAAACTCCTGGGGAACTTGAACAGGCCCTGAGACACCCAGAGGTTGGAGATATGGGTTCTGACTCCAGTTCTGCCACCACTAATGCGTGACCTTTGGCGTGTCCCCATGGCCCGTTTGGGCCTCAGCGTGCCGATGTAAGAGATGAGAATCCATCTGGGCCACTGATGCTCAGATACAGTGCCTGCAGGAGCCCAGCCAGCACTGTAGATTAGCAAAGAGAACCAGAGTCAAGGCCAGGGAAGGGATGAGTGCACAAGTGTGTTCATCTTCTATTTCTGAAAGAACAGACAATATTGAAATATATTTAACGTACTGTAAAATTCACTCTGTAAATTGCTTTTTAGTATTATCCACAAAGCTGCGCAATCATTACCGTGATCTTATTACAAAACATTTCTTCAACCCCGAAAGAAAGCCATGCTTGTTAACAATCACACGACATTTCCAGCTCCCCTCAGCCCTGGTGACCATTGATCCACTTTCTGTCCTTATGGATTTGCCTACTCTGGACATTTTATATAAATGGAATCACACAGTATGTAATCTTTTGTGACTGGCCTTGTTCACTTAGCATATGTGTTTAAGATTGTCTATGTCGTAGCATGTGTCAGTACTTTATTCCTTTCTGTGACTGAATAATATTTGATTGTATGGATATACCACATTTTGTTTATCCATTCATCAGTAGATGGGCTTTTGGGTTATTTCTATTTTTTGGCTATTACAAATAATGCTACTACAAGTATTTATGTATAACTTTTTGTAAGGACATATGTTTTTAATTTTGTTTGGTATATACCTAGGATTGGAATTTCTGGGTCACATGTGAACTCAATGTTTAAGTATTTGAAGCATTATCAGACAGTTTTTTTTATGATAGCATTCTTTTTAAAACTTTTTTATTTTTAATTTTTGTGGGTACATAGTAGGTGTATTATTTATGGGATACATGAGATGTTTGATAGAGGCATACAGTGCATAATAAACATACCATGGAGAATGGGGTATCCATTCCCTCAAGCATTTCATTTATCCTTTGTGTTATAAACAATCCAGTTACACTGTTTTAGTTATTTTTAAATATACAATTAAATTGTTATTGACTATTGTCACCCTGTCTTGCTATCAAACAGTAGGTCTTATTCATTCTTTCTATTTTTTTTTTTGTACCCATTCACCATCCCTACCTCCTCCCAACACCCTCACTACCCCTCCCAGCCTCTGGTAACCATCCTTCTACTCTCTTTGTCCATGAGTTCAATTGTTTTGTTTTTAGATCCCCAAATAAATGAGAATATGTGATATTTGTCTTTCTGTTTCTGGCTTATCTCACTTAACATAATGATCTCCAGTTCCATCCAAGTTGTTGCAAATGATTGGATCTCATTTAAAAAAAAATTTCCATAGGTTATTGGAGTACAGGTGGTGTTTGGTTACATGAGAAAGTTCTTCAGTGGTGATTTGTGAGATTTTGGTGCACCCATCACCTGAGCAGTATACACGGCATCCTATTTGTAGCCTTTTATCTCTTGTCCCCTCCCACCTTTACCCACAAGTCCCCAAAGTCCGTTGTATCATTCTTATGCTTTTGTGTCCTCATAGCTTAGCTCCCACTTAGGAATGACCACCCCCCCCGACCCAAGTCCCCAAAGTCCATTGCATCATTCTTATGCTTTTGCATCCTCATGGCTTAGCTCCCACTTATGAGTGAGAACATACAATGTTTGGTTTTCCATTCCTGAGTTACTTCGCGTAGAATAATAGTCTCCAGTCTCATCTAGGTCACTACGAATGCTGTTAATTCATTCCTTTTTTATGGCTGAGTAGTATTCCATCATATATATTTAGCACAGTTTCTTTTTTTTTTAATTATACTTTAAGTTTTAGGGTACATGTGCACAACATGCAGGTTAGTTACATATGTATACATGTTCCATGTGGGTGTGCTGCACCCATTAACTTGTCATTTAACATTAGGTATATCTCCTAATGCTATCCCTCCCCACTCCCCCCACACCACAACAGGCCCTGGTGTGTGATGTTCCCCTTCCTGTGTCCATGTGTTCTCATTGTTCAATTCCCACCTATGAGTGAGAACATGCGGTGTTTGGTTTTTTGTCCTTGCGATAGTTTGCTGCGAATGATGGTTTCCAGCTTCATCCATGTCCCTACAAAGGACATGAACTCATCATTTTTTATGGCTGCATAGTATTCCATGGTGTGTATGTGCCATATTTTCTTAACCCAGTCTATCATTGTTGGACATTTGGGTTGGTTCCAAGTCTTTGCTATTGTGAATAGTGCTGCAATAAACATACATGTATTTAGCACAGTTTCTTTGTCCACTCGTTGATGGGCATTTGGGCTGGTTCCATATCTTTGCAATTGTGAATTGTGCTGCTTTAAACATGCATGTGTGAGAATCTTTTTCATATAATGACTTCTTTTCCTTGGGGTAGATATCCAGTAGTGGGATTGCTGGATCAAATGGTAGTTCTACTTTTAGTTATTTAAGGAATCTCCACACTATTTTTCATAGTGGCTGTACTAGTTTACATTCCCACCAGCAGTGTAGAAGTGTTCCCTGATCACCACATCCACGCCAACATCTACCATTTTTTAATTTTTTGATTATGGCCATTATTGCAGGAGTAAAGTGGTGTTGCACTGTGGTTTTGATTTGCATTTCCCTGATCATTAGTGATGCTGAGCATTTTTTCATATGTTTATTGGCCATTTGTATATTTCTTTTGAGAATTGTCTATTCATGTCCTTAGCCCACTTTTTGATGGGGTTTTTTTTTCTTGCTGATTTGTTTGAGTTTGTTGTAGATTCTGGATGTTAGTCCTTTGTCAGATGTATAGATTGTGAAGACTTTTTCCCACTCTGTGGGCTGTCTGTTTACTCTGCTGACTGTTTCTTTTGCTGTGCAAAGTTCTTTAGTTTAATTAAGTCCCAGCTATTTATCTTTGTTTTCATTGCATTTGCTTTTGGGTTCTTGGTCATGAAATCTTTGCCTAAGCCAATGTCTAGAAGGGTTTTTCCAATGTTATCTTCCAGGATTTTTATAGTTTCAGGTCTTGGATTTAAGTCCTTAATCCATCTTGAGTTGATTTTTGTGTAAAGTGACAGATGAGGATCCAGCTTCATTCTCCTATATGTGGTTAGCCAAATATCCCAGGATGATTTGTTGAAAAGGGTGTCCTTTCCTCACTTTATGTTTTTGTTTGCTTTGTTGAAGATCAGTTGGCTCTAAGTATTTTGGTTTATTTCTGGGTTCTCTTTTGTGTTCCATTGGTCTATGTGCCTATTTTTATAACAGTACCATGCTGTTTTGGTGACTGTAACCTTATAGTATAGTTTGAAATCAGGTCGTATGATGCCTCCAGATTTGTTCTTTTTGCTTAGTCTTGCTTTGGGTATGTGGGCTCTTTTTTGGATCCATATGAATTTTAGAATTGTTTTTTCTAATTCTGTGAAGAATGTTGGAGGTATTTTGATGAGGATTGTGTTAAATTTGTAGATTGCCTTTGGCAATATGGTCATTTTGACAATATTGATTCTTCCCATCCATGAGCATGGGATGTGTTTCCATTTGTTTGTGTCATCTGTGATTTCTTTCAGCAGTGTTCTGTTGTTTTCCTTGTAGAGGTCTTTCACCTCCTTGGTTATGTATACTCCTAAGTATTTTATTTGATTTTTTGCAGCTATTGTAAAAGGGATTGAATTCTTGATTTGATTCTCCGCTTGGTTGCTGTTGGTGTAGAGAAGAGCTAACGATTTGTGTACACTAATCTTGTATCCAGAAACTTTGCTGAATTCTTTTATCAGTTCTAGAAGCTTTCTAGAGAAGTCTTCAGGGTTTTTGAGGTAAATAATTGTATCATCAGCAAACAGTGACAGTTTGACTTTTTCTTTACCTATTTGGATGCTTTTTATTTCTTTCTCTTGTCTGATTGCTCTGGCTAGAACTTCTAGTACTGTGTTGAAGAGGAGTGGTGAGAGTGGGCATCCTTGTCTTGTTCCAGTTCTCAGAGGGAATGCTTTCAATTTTTCCCCATTCACTATTATGTTGGCTGTGGGTTTGTCATACATAGATGGCTTTTATTACATTGAGGTGTGTCCCTTGTATGCTGATTTTGCTGAGAGTTTTAATCATAAAGAGATGCTGGATTTTTTCGAATGCATTTTCTGCATCTATTGAGATGATTATGTGGTTTTTGTTTTTAATTCTGTTTATGTGGTGTATTACATTTATTGACTTGTGTATGTTAAACCATCCCTATGTCCCTGGTATGAAACCCACTTAATCACAGTGGATTATCTTTTTGATATGTTGTTGGATTCAGTTAGCTAGTATTTTGTTAAGAATTTTAGCATGTATGTTCATCACGGATATTAATCTGTAGTTTTCTTATTTGGTTATGTCCTTTCTTGGCTTTGGTATTAGGGTGATGCCAGTTTCATAGAATGAATTAGGGAGGGTTCCACCTTTTCTATCTTGTGGAAGGAATAGTGTCAAAAGGATTGGTACCAATCCTTCTTTGAATGGCTGGTAGAATTCTGCTGTGAATCTGTCTGGTCCTGGGCTTTTTTGTTGTTGGTAATTTTTAAATTACCATTTCAATATTGCTGCTTGTTATTGGCCTGTTTAGGGTATCTAATTCTTCCTGATTTAAGCTAGGAGGGTTGTGTTTTTCCAGGAATTTATCCATTTCTTCTAGGTTTTCGAATTTACATGCATAAATGTGTTCATAGTAGCCTCAAATGATCTTTTGTATTTCTGTGATGTCAGTTGTAACATCTCTTGTTTCATTTCTCATTGAGGTTATTTGGATTATCTCTCTCCTTTTCATGGTTAATCTTGCTAATGGTCTATCAATTTTATTTATCTTTTCAAAAAACTACTTTTTGTTTCATTTATCTTTTGTATTTTTTTTAAACTGTTGTTTCAATTTCATTTAATTCTGCTCTGATCTTGGTTATTTCCTTTCCTCTGCTGGGTTTGGGTTTAGTTTGTTCTTATTTCTCTAGTTCTTTGAGGCGTAACCTTAGAATGTCAGTTTATGCTCTTTTAGTCTTTCTGATGTAGGTATTTAGGGCTATGAACTTTCCTCTTAGCACTGCCTTTGCTGTATCCCAGAGGTTTTGATAGGTTGTGTCACCATTGTCCTTCAGTTTGAAACATTTTTTAATTTCTATCTTGATTTTGTTTTTGACCCAATGCTCATTCAGGACAGGTTATTTAATTTCCATGTATTTGCATGGTTTTGAGGGTTCCTTTTGGAGTTGATTTTGTTTTATTCCACTGTGGTCTGAGAGAGTGCCTGATATAATTTCAATTTTCTTAAATTTATTGAGGCTCATTTTGTGGCCTGTCATATGGTCTATCTTGGAGAAAGTTCCGTGCACTGTTGAATAGAATGTGTATTCTGCAGTTGTTGGATGGAATCTTCTGTATATATTTATTAAGTCCATTTGCTCCAAGTGAATAGTTTAAATCCATTGTTTCTTTGTTGACTTTCTGTCTTGATGACCTGTCTAGTGCTGTCAGTGGACTATTGAAGTCCCACAATATTATTGTGTTGCTCTCTGTCTCATATTTTAGGTCTATTAGTAATTGTTTTATAAATTTGGAAGCTCCAGTGTTAGGTGCATATATATTTAGGATTGTGATATTTTTCTGTTGGACAAGGCCTTTTACCATTATATAATATCCGTCTTTGTCTTTTTAAAGTTTGTTTTGTCTGATATAAGAATAGCTAACCCTGCTTGCTTTTGGTGTCAATTTGCATGAAATGCCTTTTTCCACCCTTTAAGTTTTAGTTATATGAGTCTGTCTGTGTTAGGTGAGTCTCTTGAAGGCAGCAGATAGTTGGTTGTTGAGTTCTTATCCATTCTGCAGTTCTGTATCTTTTAAGTGGAGCATTTAGACCATTTACATTCAATGTTAGTATTGAGATGTGAGGTACCATTCCATTTATCATGCTATTTGTTGCCTGTGTACCTTGTTGTTTTTGCTTTTTAAATTGTACTTTTGTTTTATAGGTTCTGTGAGATTTATGGTTTAAAGAGGTTCTGTTTTGATATGTTTCCAGCATTTGTTTCAAGATTTAGAGCTCCTTTTAGCAGTTCTTGTAGTGGTGGCTTGGTAGTGGCAAATTCTCTCAGCATTTGTTTGTCTGAAAAAGACTATATATTTCCTTAGCATATGATGCTTAGTTTTACTGGATACAAAATTCTTGGGTGATAATTGTTTTGCTTGAGGAGGCTAAAGATAGGGTCCCAGTCCCTTCTAGCTTGTAGGGTTTCTGCTGAGAAATCTGCTGTTAATCTGACAGGTTTTCCTTTATAGCTTACCTGGTGCTTTTGTCTCACAGCTCTTGAGATTCTTTCCTTTGTCTTAACTTTAGATAACCTGATGGCAATGTGCCTAGGCAATGATCTTTTTGCAATGAATTTCCCAGGTGTTCTTTGAGCTGCTTGTAGTTGGATGTCTAGGTCTCTAGCAAGGCTGGGAATGTTTTCCTCAATTATTTCCCCAAATATGTTTTCCAAATGTTTAGATTCCTCTTCTTCCTCAGGAACACCAATTATTCTCAGGTTTTGTTGTTTAACAAAATCCCAAACTTCTTGGAGGCTTTGTTCATGTTTTCTTATTCCTTTTTCTTTGTCTTTGTTGGATTGGGTTAATTCAAAGACCTTGTCTTCAAGCTCTGAATTTCTTCTACTTGTTCAGTTCTACTGCTGAGAGTTTCCAGAGCATTTTGCATTTCTATAAGTGTGTCCAATGTTTCCTGAAGTTTTGATTGTTTTTTCTTTATGCTGTGTATTTCCTCAAATATTTCTCCCTTCACTTCTTGTATCATTTTTTGGATTTCCTTGCACTGGGCCTCGCCTTTCTCTGGTGCCTCTTGGATTAGCATAATAACTAACCTCCTGAATTCTTTTTCAGGTAAATCAGGGATTTCTTCTCGGTTTGGATCCATTGAGCTAGTGTGATTTTTTCTGGAGGTGTTAAAGGACCTTATTTTGTCATATTACCAGAGTTGGTTTTCTGGTTTCTTCTCATTTGAGTAGGCTCTGTCAGAGGGAAAGGGCTGAAGGCTGTTATTCAGATTCTTTTGTCCCACAGTGTGTTCCCTTGATGTAGTACTCTCCCCCTTTTCCTGTGGATGTGGCTTCCTGAGAGCCAGGCTGCAGTGATTGTTACCTCTCTTCTGGGTCTAGACACCCAGCAAGTCTACCAGGCTCTGGGCTGTTACTGGGGGTTGTCTGCACAGAGTCCTGTGATGTGAACTGTCCATGAGTCTCTCAGCCGTGGATACCAGCACCTGTTCTGGTGGAGGTGGCAGGGGGGTGAAATGGACTCTGTGAGGGTTCTTAGCTTTGGTGGTTTAATGTTCTATTTTTGTGCTGGTTGGCCTACTGCCAGGAGGTGGTGCTTTCAAGAGAGCATCAGCTGTGGTAGTATGGAGAGGCACCAGCGTGGGGAAGGGGGTGCCTAGAACTCCCAAGAGTACATGCCCTTTGTCTTCAGCTACCAGAGTGGGTAGGGAAGGGCAATGAGGTGGAGGCAGGGCTAGGCATGTCTGAGCTCAGACCCTCCTTGGGCGTGTCTTGCTGTGGCTGCTGTGGGGGATGGGGGTGAGATTTTCAGGTTAATGGAGTTGTGTACCTAGGAGGATTATGGCTGCCTCTGCTGAGTCATGCAGGTTGTCAGGGAAGTGGGGGAGAGCTGGCAGTCACAGGCCTCACCTAGCTCCCATGCAATCTGAAGGGCCTGTCTCACTCCCACCATCCCCCTCTAACAGCACGGAGTCAGTTTCCAGGCAGTGGGCAAGGAGGGCTAAGAACTTGCCCCAGGCTACCTGCCTCCCAGCTGAAAAGGGCTTTAGTTCTTCCCCTGCCTGTGGAGTCTGCATGCCAGATTCGCACCCTCCCCTGAGTTCTGGCCAGGAGGCTTCTGAACAAGTTCATATTGTTACAAAGTTCAGCTGGAGACTTCCTTCTCCCTGTGGCATTTTCCCAGTGCCTCTGGCTGCCCTCCTGAGGGATCCCTGTGGTGCCAGGCAGGAATTTCCTGCTTGGGGAACCCAGTGGGCTCCCAGAGCCTTTCTCGCAGCTTCCTCTACCCCTGTATTTCGCTCGGCTCTCTAAATTGACTCAGCTCCAGGTAAGGTCGGAATCTTCTCCCATAAGCTAGACCTTCAGTTTCCCCAGTAGTAGGGGTGTGTTCAGGGTCAGAGGATCCCACTGCAAGTGGGAGATCCCTTTCCCACTTCGGCAGTTTGGGCACTCACAGTATTTGGGGTGTCTCCCAGTTCCTGCAGGAGCAGGTCACTTCCTTCAGAGGGTCTGTGTGTCCTCTCGGGATTCCTGGTTTATTCCTGCAGTCATTCTGGAGCTAAAATTCATGATGCAAGCCTCCATCCGCTGCTCTGTCTGTCCAAGACAGAGCTGCGATCTAGCCCTGCCTCCCATCTGCCATGATGATCGGGAACCAATCCAAACTGTTTTTCAAAGTGGCTATACCATTTTACATTCCAGCAATGTATGAAGATTTAATTCTCTACATCCTCACCAATACTTGTTAATATCTGTCTTTTTTTATTATAGCCTTCCCTGTAGGTATGAAGTGATATTGTGGTTTCAATTTGCATTTCCTTAGTTATTAATGATGTTGAGCATCTTTTCATGTGTTTACTGGGGCTGTTGGGATTATCTGTTCTATTTCTTTACCCATTTTTAAATTGGTTTGTTTTTTTATTGTTGTTGTAAGTGTTCTTTATATATTCTGGATACTATTGTCTTGTCAGATATATGATTTACATATATTTTCTACCATTTTATGAGTTGTATTTTCACGTTATTGATAGTGGTTTTTGAGGCACAGAAGTTTTTAATTTTTTTTTTTTTGTTTTTGAGACTGAGTCTTGCTCTGTCACCCAGGTTGGAGTGCAGTGGCGCAATCTCTGCTCACTGCAAGCTCCACTTCCCAGGTTCGCGCCATTCTCCTGCCTCAGCCTCCTGAGTAGCTGGGACTACAGGTGCCTGCCACCACACCTGACTAATTTTTTGTATTTTTAGTAGAGACGGGGTTTCACCGCGTTAGCCAGGATGGTCTCAATCTCCTGACCTCGTGATCTGCCCGCCCCGGCCTCCCAAAGTGCTGGATCAGGTAATGGGGCTTCTTAGATATGACACCAAAGCACAAGCAACACAAAGGAATAATAGGTAAACTGGGTTTCATCAAAATTAAAAACTTTTGGCCGGGCGTGAGCCACTGTGCCCAGCCAAAAGTTTTTAATTTTGATGAAACCCAGTTTACCTATTATTCCTTTGTGTTGCTTGTGTTTTGGTGTCATATCTAAGAAGCCGCATTACCTGATCCAAGGTCACAAATATTTATGCTTATGATTTTTAAATTTTTTTTATAGTTTTAGCTTTTTTCATTTAGCTCTTTTATCCATTTTGAGTTAATTTTTGTATTGCGCTCTCTTAAGTAATCAATTCAATTAAAAACAAAACAAAACCTCTGAGTTGGGTCAAATCAAATAGGCACATGGGTCACCAGTTTTGCAAGTTCTGAGCAGGGGATTTCATAGTGCTCTCTGCTACTCTTCTGTCAGGCTTACAGTCTTTTTTGAGTTATTGGGGAGTAACCCAGGCCCCAAGGAAGACAGTTTGGAACAAGACTTACCGTAGTAGTAGGTACTGATGGGAGCTGTCCTAGGGCAGGCAAATATGCTGGCTCCCCTGATGAGAAAGGCCATATGAAGATGAATGTGCTTGCAAGCCGGCTTCACAGCTGGGTGAGGCCTTACCAGGTGGGATTGAAACTGATCCCAGGTTCTGGGGGTTTCAGGCCTGGCATGCTCACCTATACATATCCTTCCAGAGCCCAAGTGCTGCCCTGGTTTCTGGAGATCTGGATCCCCTTGCTAGTTTACTATAACCAGCTTTGTGATCACAGGCCACTCACTGAACCACTTTGAGCTTTCAGTACTTGCTCTGAAGCTTGACATCAATAACCTTGTGTTCAAATTTTGATGATCACTTGAGTCCCACCAATACATGATTAAAAAAAAAAGCTAGAATGGTTTGATTATGGCAGCATCAAGTAGTGTTTCCCCAAATGTTTGCCATTGAAATGAGAGAAAATGTACTTGTTTGGTCAAATAACTGACACTCACTAAATCAAATACAAACAGATGTCTTTACTGCAGGACTTTTCAGAGCCTTTCTGGGAACACATAGCCTGAATCTATAGAAGGGGGATGTGCTATGCAGCTTCCACAGTGTTTAACTGTGGAAGAGTTATTGTAAAAATTGAATTCTTTCCATTTCAAACACTGCAAATGAAACCACCATCATGGAATGGAGCTGGACTTTCATCTGTGTGTGATGTTGTGTGGGTCACAATCCACGTTATCCAACCTGATACACAGAGTTATGCCTCCTAGAGCTTCACGCTCTGTTGCTGCCTAAAAAAGTCCATAAAGTTGGCCTAGGTTATGGAGAGGGACTCTGGTCCTGTAAGGCTTTCCAGTCTTCACTCCAGGTGGGTCTGACATTCAGGGCTGCCTGCATTCCTCTGTTGGGCAGCAATGAAACTCTGTGAAACCCTAGAGTTTACTTGACCTGCTTTAGACCATTGGGGCTTGATCATGTCAGAGGTAGAAAGCCAGGGTGCCTCTAGACTTACGCACCAGCATTACTTGGAGTACTGACCACTATAAACTGGCCAGAACTGTGAAACTGAGCGCTGGTGTTTGGGAATGAGTCCCAGGTTCAAGGAAGTAAGAAAGGGACTTGCAAGGCCACTGTGCAAAATGACCTTTCTTTTTTCATCAGTTCAGGGCATTTGCTTATTATTATGAGGAGTTTGGGATGGGGTAGGTAATAATCATAATGAAGGAAAAAATAATACACAGTAACAATTTAATTAATTTATACTTCATTAATAATTTTATAATGTATCCTTTTTGCATTCTATTTAACTTCTAGGTTTTAGACATTTTAAGACAAATGTTTCATTGTTTTGCATTCCTAAAGTTAAGTGTTGAGAGTTATGTGATGGATGGTAGGGTCAGAATGAGTATCGGGCATAGGAGAGAAAGCTCTGTAACTGCAACAAGTAGATGCAAAGGGAGATCAGATCATAAGCTCTTATTCTGCACATAGTAAAAAATGATGTGCATGGTCAAGTGTTCATTATACTACAGCGTCACTCTGGCCAGGGAGGGTCAGATGGGTGGTCTCTCTGGTCTGTGTTCCTCCTCCTCAACCTGGAAGCTTTTATGGAATGAGCAAACTATCCTCAAATACTGTCCCCCTCAAGGACTAAGGAGATCCATCCAGCCAGTCTTCCTTTGCTGATCTGATTTCACTCTGCTATGGCACAAGGCTTTTAAACTTTCAACAATGTAGAAGGCTTTGCTGGTAGAACCACTAAGGAGACCCAGGTTCCACACACTGATTTCCTTTGTGCTGGGATGCAAAGGTGAAACCATACAATCTCTACTCCTGGGAATATCAGGGGAGACTGGACCCAGGTAATTTTAAGTTTAGGCTGAGAGCAGTAAGATCTCAGAAAAAGACAGGTACAGATTTGGGAGCTCAAAGGAGGCAAAGATCATTTCCAGCTAATGTGAGAGGTAGAAAGTCTCTGTAAGACAAAAACAAACGTAGGAGTTGAATATGCTGCACTGGGGAAAGGATTTAGGTGGCTTCTTCTGAGAGCTCCTGAAGGCAAGCTGCAGTTATGTGATGAGATAAAGTGCTGGACTAGGATGTGTGAAGTCTTACATTGTGGGCCCTGGGGATAGAAAATTTAAAGCAATTTGACATTCTTTCTGCTCCAGCACCATTTCCTTTGAAGTTCTGGGGGACCTCCCCTTAGTGCTTTATTTTGATGATGAGTGAAAAAACTCATGGCTCTAAATGTCATCTGTACACTAATGACTCCAAAATTTACATCTCCATCCCAGACCTGAGCTCCAGACATACACTCACCTGCTGACTTGACATCTCCCCCTGGGTGGCTAATAGACATTTCCATCTGAGTGCATCCCACACTGAACTCTTGATTTCCTTTTTCACTTTGATTGCTCCCAACTTTTTACCATCTCAATAAATATCACCACCACAGATCCAGTTGCTGAATGAAGAAAAGTTAGGCCATTCTTGATTCCTCTGCTCAACATCTTTGCCAGCCCTGCCCCCAGTCCCCCAGCACATTATTTCACCTCTATCTCCAGAATAAGTTCCAGCTGCCATGTCTGTTCTTGCCTTCTACAGACCACTCCACACAGCAGGCAGATGAATGGCTTAAAAAATGCAAGTAGGGCCAGGTGTGATGGCTCACACTTGTAATCCCAGCTCTTTGGGAGACCCAGTCAGGTGGGTCACCTGAGGCCCAAGGTCAGGAGTTCAAGACCAGCCTGGCCAACATGGTGAAACCCCATCTCTACTAAAAATACAAAAAATTAGCTGAGTGTGGTGGCGTGAGCACTAGTAATCCCAGCTATTCAGGAGGCTGAGACAGGAGAAACGCTTGAACCTAGGAGGGGGAGGCTGCAGTGAGCCAAGATCACGCCACTGCACTCCAGCCTGGGTGACAGAGTGAGACTCCATCTCAAAAACAAACAAACACTCAAGTAAAACAGCCACTTTCCTCTTTAAGCCCCCGCAGTGACTTATTTCACTTATAATGAAATCAAATTTTTTACCAGCCCTCTGGAACCTGACTCCGTTCTGCTCTCCAATGGTAGCTCCTTCCAGTCTGCCCAGTCTCTGAGCTGCAGCCACAGCAGACTTCCCGCCGATCCCCACCACCAGCCTCACTCCTGCCTGGGGGCCTTTGCACATGTCACTGCCTCAGGGCCTTTGCACATGTCACTTCCTCTGCCTCAAAAGCTATTTCCTGATTCTTTTTGTGGCTGGCTCTGACCTTGCTGTCTGGCACGCCCTCTCTTCTCCATCTTTGTTACCACATTTTATCCTGTTTTACTTGCTATAAAGTGAATCCATATATGAAACCTTCTTGTGCAGTTGTTTATTTATTGTTTGTCTCATCTTTCTTCTTTTCTATCACTGGAATGGAAGCTCCATGAGAGTGTTGCTCTTTTTTCTTCTTGATCTGTTTTGCTTGATTTGAGTTGGCCCCTACATTTTCCAGTTGATCAGAGGGGGTACCCATTTATTCTAAGTCTCATCATGAGTTCATAGATTTAAACATACTTCATGCGTTTCAACCAAGTAAATATTTGTTTAATGAATGGGACATTGAATAAATGCAAGTTAAGAACTTTCTATAGGCTCTCAGGTTTTTTTTTTCTTTTCAGACTTTATAGTACCAGATTTTATATGAAAAATCATTGTATGATTTTTTTCTAGGGTTAATTCTACTATTTGAGTATTTTCTTAGTACTCTGGGGTTTTATTGAATAAACAACATAGGCCCTGCTTTTATGGATACTTTTATCCATCTGCTACTGAACACAACAGTTTTAATTAGATCTTGAATTATTTTATTATCAAAACCTGCTGTTGCATCCTCTGCACCTGTCACCTAGTAAGAGTTCACAAAAGTATTTTTAACATATTTATAATGGAAAATTTCAAGCACATGCAAAAGTAGAGAGAGTTGTATAGCAAACTCACTTTTACCCATCATTCAGCTTCAACAATTGTCAAACCAAGACCAATCTGGCTTTAACTAATTCCTTATGTTGAAGCAAATTCAAGACATCCTATCATTTTATCAGTAAATATTTCAGAGCATATCTCTAAGAGATAAGAATTCTTCAGAGTAAATAACCGTAATACCATTATCACATCTAAGCAAATTTATAATAATCTCTGAATATCATCAAATATGCAGAGAGTGTTCAAAATTTCCTGAATGTCTCTGTCTTTCTCTCTTTTTTTTTAAGTTTATTTGAATCAGGCTAAGAAGTTCCTTAAACTGCAGTGGGTTTATTATCTCTTTTTAGTCTCTTTTAATCTATAGTTTTCCCCCTTTCTTTTTTTTTCTTGAAATCTGTTTGTTTAAGAAACCATGTTGTTTGTCCTATGGAGCGTTCCATAGTCTGAGTTTGCTCGTTGCATTCCAGTGGTGGTGTTTAGCGTGTTCCTCTGTCCTCTGCAATTTCTGTAAATGGGAAGTAAAAAAGTTTGATAAGATTCAGGCTTATTTATTTGGAAAGAATACTTCAACTTCATATTCATCCATGGAGGCACATCTTGTCTGATTTTTCTCTCTGTGATGTTGATGTTAGGGATGTTGATTCTCATTGTCCAGATCCAGTCTTTCATTAGGGTTTGCAAAATGTTACTATTCCAATTCTATCATTCTTTCTGCATATATTAACTGAAATATTTTATAAGAAGAAAATTGCCCTTATTTAGTTATGGTTTGTATAAGAAAGGCATATAAATGCTTGATTCTCTGTCTTGATCAGTTTTCAAAATAATGAGTTGTTCTCTACATTCTCCAATTGATCAGTGGAGTGTTTAAATATCATCATGAGCTCATAGATTTAAACATACTTGATGCATTTCAATCAATGGATATTTGTTGAATGAATGAGAAATTGAATAAATGCAAGTTTAGAATTGTCTCTAGGCTTTCAGGTTTTTTTTTCCTCCACTCCAGACTTTGTAGTCCCAGATTTTATAAGGAAAAATGTTGTATGATTTTGTTCTAGGGTTAATTCTACTGCTTGATATGTCCTTAGTACCCTAGGACTTTTACTGAATGAACAACATAAGCCTTGCTTTTATGGATACATTTATCCATCTGCTACTAAACACACCATTTTCAGTTAGATCTTAAATATGTTATCGAAACCTGCTGATGTGTTTCCCACCTGGGAAGGTGTTGGTCACTGATCCACAGGCAATTGCACTTACCTAGTCTTAGCCCCAGCTTCTATACTGTGGCTTTGGGCCATCCCCTCCCCTCTGGGCCTCAGTTTCCCCATATGAACATGTAGGGGTGGCACTATGTCATTATGAAGGCTGTTTCCAATCCTTACATTTTGGGGAGCTCTCCTTCTTCCATACTGCATGTGACCTCTAAGTAAAGGCCATGTAAGCAGCATCAGAGGGGGCAAGCAGAGTATCAGGGTGGTGGGGTGGAAATGAGGAGTGAGACCCACAGGCCAGGGTGAGAGCCTACCATGCACAATCCAACAAGCAGCTCAAAAGGACCCCTCGCTGTAATACACCTATCATTGCCTGTGTGGTTTTTCTTTAATAACTTTCTGGAGTTTGGTGGGAGCAGGAGGTGCCAACCAGGTTAGGAAAGATTTCTGGGATTCTCTGGTAGTATCCAAAGGAGGAAAGACTAGGTGCTGGATACAAGAAGCAGTTTCAAAGTATGAGCCTTTAAGCAGGTTGATTGGATATCTGAACTATCCCCAACCAGCCCTGGGCTTCCTTTTCAGTCATCTCTACCACCTGTCAATGTTGCGCTTTCTGGAGGCTGAAACAACCTTGCCAGCTGCCCTGCCCATCTGAGAATTCAGACATCTAGAGTGCCAGAGTCTGCTGGCATCTCCCTTTTGTCAACTGCAGGGTTAGATTGCCTGGGAATCGATAGCCAGAATCCATGAGCCATCTGATGAGTAGACCTGCTGCTGAGCTGTTGTCTGCATATCACCCTCCAATTACAGGGCCCCCATTTCCCCGTCTGTTTCATCATGCAACCCAAGCACCCAGGTAGAAGGCCTTTTGACCTGTTGCTCCCATGGACCTGCTGAGGTATCTTAAGATGATGAAATGTCTCTTTCTTCTGCCTCCCACACTAGCTGCCAACAGCTAGGAGCTGATGGGCTTTGTGCTTCTTCAGGAATAAGGGCTTGGCTGATGATAGGGTGTGGTGGCTTATATGGCATCATCCACAGCTCTTCTCAGTCCCTAGGTGGTAGAAAGAAAGAAGCAGCTGGCAGGAGGCTACTATCCTGCCTCCACTCCATCAGACTCACAGTTCTTCTTAATCACTGCCATTGCTAATTCTTACTGAGTGTGGACAGTGGACAGGCCACTCTATGAAGGAGGAGAGATGCTCTTTACCTGCAAGGGGCTTGCCTGATGGAGAGTCCCAGAAAATGTCTTGGCACCTGTAGGTAACGTTAGCCCTTTCTCCTATTTGAGGCAGTTGGGGATGGATGAGTAGATGGTCAGTCACATCAGTGGTTGGAAACCATCCCAAGAGATGGCTTCCTGGTGTTTATTTGGAAGTGCTGAAACAATTGGATATCCATAAGCAGGAAAAACAAGATTACCTCACACCATATACAAATATTAACTCCAAATGGATCATAGACCTAAAAGGAAAAACAAAAACTATAAAATTTCTAGGAAAATGTTTTGACCTTAGGGCAAAGATTTCTTAGATATGACTCCAAAAGCACAATCCATAGGTGAAACATTGGTAAATTGGATTCGAGAAAAATATTTGTATATCATTTATCTGAAAAGGGATATATATATATATATATATATATATAACTCTTAAATGCATTAGTAAAAAGTCAAACAACTCAATTTAAAAATGAGCAAAAATATGCATGGGGATTTCAGCAAAGAAGATACACAAATGATTTTTATACACATGAAAATATGCCCAACATCATTAGTCAGTAAGGAAATGCAAATTAAAAACACAATGATATACTACTTTACACTCACTAGAATGGATATAATTTTAAATTCAAAAATGGAAGTCTTATACAATACTGCTGGGAATGTAAAATTGTACAGCTGCTTTGGAAAACAGTTTGGCAGTTTCTTAAGTTAATTATAAGTTTACCATATGACCCAGCAATTCCACTCCTCAGATTTTTACTCAAGAGAATGAAAACATATGTCCATGAAGTGACTTGCATGCAGATATTCACAGCAGCATTATTCATAATAGCCAAAAGGTGGAAACCATCCAAATGTTTATCAACTGGTGAATGGATAAACAAAATGTGGTATATCCATACAATGGAATATTGTTCATCAGTAAAAAGGAATGAAATACTGACACACATTACACTATGGATGAATGCCAAAACATTGTGCTAAGTTATTGAAGCCAGATTTTTGAAAATGTTGAATGAGTCCTAGAAATGTCCAGAAATGACAAATCCACAGAAACAGAAAGTAGATAAGTGGTTGCCTAGAATTAGGGGGTAGGAGCAGTTATGGGGCCTGAGGGACATTTACGGGGTGGTAGACATGCTCTAAAATTTAATTGTGGTGAGAACTCTACAAATTTACCAAGAATCATTGAACTCATAAATTTACTCAAATTCATTGAATAATTTACAATGAATTTTATGATATGTTAATTATACCTCCATAAAACTGCTTAAGATAAAAAAGAAAGAAAGAGAAGTAGATTCCAGAATGTATTTTGCCAAAGGAACCATGGACAGGGAGAGAAGGGGAGAGTGGGCTTTGGACCCCGTGGGACAAGTCTCAGCCTCCAGGGAAGGCTGCAGGCCACTGGTGTGAGGACCTGCCATTCCCTTCTGCAGGAGTGGCAGTCTTGGGCAGCATCAGCTTACAATATCCTGCTCCCAGGTTTGTTCTCTCTTTCTCACCCACATATCTGGGACCATTCCTGCTCTCTGAACCCCTCAGCCACCATGCCTTTGACTTGCAGTCACAGACTTGCCCCTCTCCCTGCTCTGATGTCAGCCGTCCCTCTCACCCACTCTGTTTTTCTGAAGCCTAGGTCCTCTGATGAGCATGCCCTGCTTTCTAGTGTACATCACTGGGCCATGGATGGCTGGGCTTAGAGTTGTTGGGAGATGGTCTCAAACCTAGGTAGGAGGAAGACGTGGTAGAAGCAGCTTACTGAACAGAGAAGGGTGGGGTAGCAGGAGCTGAAGGAACAACATGTGGGACATGGGTGGAGGGGAAACATAAAGACCCTGAGATGCATACATGGCACATCCTGGTGCTACAGGAGGGACTAGAGCCGACCCATGAAGGCCCATTCCAGGGCCACAACCCAATGACTGGAAGTAGGAAGCTCAGGAGCTGCAGAGGCATTTGTGGTTGACTTTGCTGGATTTTGAGAATCAAGACACACTTTGCTCCCCTCACATCTCCCATACCAGAAGGTTGATCTTTGCCATTGGTTTAGTTATTTACTTCCATGTATAAACAGCCCTAATTTTGGAGCCCTTATTATGTGGAAGACTCTATAGAAAGCATGTGATAGCATTGATTTGTTTAATCTTCACAAAATCTTTTGAAGTAGGTGCTATTATTACCACTCCATTTTGCAGATGATGGAACTGCAGCCCAGAGAGTAAAGTCAGTTATTCAAAGTTTGAGATTCAATCACAGTTATCTCAGTTCCTGCATTCCCCCAGGTTCCTGCTCAAGGGTAGATTTGATGGGGTAAGAGGCCAGGCTCTTAAAGGCCCAGTGTGAGAAGACTTCAGGCCTTCAGACAAGTGTATCCACTGTGCCTGGCAGGGGGAGGAGTATGGAAAGGAGTAAGAGAAGAAGCTGATATCTCCTCCCTCAGAAGAGAGGGATGGGTCTTCCCAAGGAGGTGTTCTGAGACCCCAAGGGGCCTGAGGCTGCCTGTCTGCTGGAGGGAGAGGAACCATGCTGGGCAGGGCACCCCAAGCCCAAACCCCAGCCCCAGATGCCAAGAAAGACCAGCTGCATACCCAGATCCTACATTAGTAATGTGCAGACAGGTAGAAGCCTGGGCCAGCAGGTCTGTCCACCCTCTTGCGCCCTCTGCCCTGAACACTGCAAAACTACCACCTTCTCTGGCCACAGCGAAATGGGTGGGATCTTTTGAAAGAATGATCTGTAAGACCTATGTGCTGATGGACAAATGGACAGAGAAAGGCATTGCCAGCACAATCTGTGAAAGAGAGAGGAAGAGGGAGTATGGGAGCTGGCACATGCTGTGCCCAGAGAAACCTAGTCATGCATCTTTCTTAGGGATCATAGCAAAGAGCGGCCTGGGCCTAAAAAATTCCAGTGACAAAGGAATCTCAAAATTCCAAAGAAATTTTAACATCTCTCATATGCCTTGATATTCAACCTGCACTTTTTGTGCACGTACTATGTGCCTAGCTTCCTGGACAGAGAACTTTGCGTAGAACTTGGCAGGCTCATGCCCTTTGCTGAGTCCTCTTTCCTTTTCTCTGGTTTCTATAACTGTAGTAACCTCATTGGGAGGTCATTGGGATAAGAGTTCTTGTGAGCAGACAGCACAATGCTCCAATATCCAGCACCCAGCATTACAGTGTTAAGCCCAAATAGTTCTGGGTTAGGAGTGTATCAGAAATCATGGACATACGTAAAAACAAGCAAAAAAAAAACAAAACAAACAAACAAGCAAAAACCCCCAAAAACCAAAGAAACACTAAACAGTTACCCATGATCGCATCTTCTCAGAGGATTAATGCCTCTCTTGGGCTTAGACAGTAATAACCCAGAAGGCTAGAATGAGTTGATCATGGGGCGTTGAGTCTACAGAGTGATGGTGACATATTTCTGGGCCTATGCCTACATCCAAATGGATAACCATGCCTGCATTCAGTGGGTGCCATATGAGGAGACTTCTGCCTTCATTCAAACAAAATATATGCCCGTTTATCCAATTGAGGCCCATACCCTTCCTCAAAAAGGGGCTCATGCCTCAATTTAAATGGAGCCCATGCCTCCATCCAACTGGTTCTTGTAGAGACTTCTGCCTGCTGTTGCTGCCACAGATCCCCTGACCCCATCAGTGCAAACACTCTGAAAGGCTCTGCTCTAAAACCTGGTTTGGGAGTAGGCCTCCATAAGCACGTCACCTCCTTGAGCCCAACCATCATCACATAGTGGAGTCCTGCCGTCCTGAGCTCCCTCGTGGCAGCTCTCCTTCTCTTTCTCTTCAGCTTGATTGTTATTCCAAAGGCCTCGTTATGGAAATTACAAAATAATGGTTCTGCAATTTGTGAGTGTGTGGTTGTATGTATGCTAATTATCATTCCTGGGTACCCTGTCTCAGAGGCACTGCAGAGGAATCCAGAGACGTGGCTCTCTCTTCACTGTAGCTTTGCTGTTCTCCCCTTCCCTGCCTCCCTTCACCCCAGCTATCTCCATTCTCTAATGCATGGGGGCAACTGGAGTGTTGAGTAGACATGGCCATCCCAAGTCCATTTTCTGTGTCCAGCGGGGTACCTGGAACTTAGGAGTGCCCCTGGCTGGACGAAGAGGTGTGACAGTGCATCTCTGTAGCAAGTGCACTGTTTTAACAGAGATCCTGTTTGTTTGAGGTGGCTTTAGTCAATAATGAGGGATGGGCTAATGTTCCACACTTCTTGGGATTGTCACTGTAGCAACGCTGCCTCCCTGGCCTGCGCACTTCTCCCTAGCTGTTACTTGTAAGATTGGGAAAGGGAGAAAGGGGAGAGAGGAATCTCCTGGGGAAGCGAGGTATTCCTGCAAAGCCTGGTCCAGGTGTGATGCACTCTGCAGGGCAAAATCATGGGCTCAGAATGAGGCTTCACAGAGGAGGTAGAGTGTGCCCAAGGGCAAGATTTCAGAAGGGAAAAAGTAGGGCCAGAGAGAAGGGGGAGGGGTGCAGGAGGAGAAATTCTGCCCCAAACCAAAACTCTTATGGTTAAGGACAAGGTTAATCAGATTCTTTTGAAAGGGAATTGTTTCTGGGGTAAGTGAAACCTTCTTAATGATAAAGGGTGAATTGCTCCAGTCAGATTACCCCTGGGGACACTTGGGGGTGGGGCAAAGGTAGCATCGTCAGAGGTCCAAGATTGAATAGTCTGAGGAGAGAGTGGTCCTGGAGGAGAGGGGGGACAGCAGGTGTGAGAGGGGTTCAGAGACTGGGGTGGTGGCAGTGGGACAATTTGACATCTTTAGGATTTGAGTGCTGTTGAGAATGGGTGGAAGTCATGGCAGGAAGCTTCAAAACACACCTTCCCTGTACTTTGATCAGGCTTGGGTGAGCTACTTAACCTCTCTGTAGCTTGGGTCCTGCATCTGTGAAATGGTATAATAATAGCACCTACCTCATAGTCTAGTGGGAGAATCCAACATGACAATATGGCTAAGCCCTTAGCGCAGTGCCCACCCAGAGCAAGTCCTTGCCCATGATGATTATTCACTGTTATTATTGTGCACTGCTATTGTGTTGTTTTGAGAGTTGAGTGATATAATTCCTGTACAGCCTCTAGCACAGTGCTTGGAACTTAACCACTGAATATTCACCACTGCCTGTTGCTTTTACATTCAGCCTCTTCCAGTTCAGACAGGCATCCTCTATTGCAAATCTCCATCCTATCTCCATCTAGAGACACGAGGAGAATCAGGTGAAGGAGGGGAGGGGAGGTGGAAGAAGGAGGAGGTTAGCTCAGGGTTCTACCTTACCTTCTCCTCTATCATCACCAGAGCATGTGGAGTCTTTGAGGAATTTCATAGTCTTGGTACCTTTGAATATGTTCCTCACAAGTTCTCAGAATGTGTGGCTTAAGTCTTTGGGGATAATTATTTTAAGCTACTTTAGAAAAAAAACCTGTGTATTAACCATATGTATGGAGGGTGGAGGGTGTTTATGTAAAAATATTCCAGGGTTTTCGAGTAGAATCAGATTTGCTAAAGGGGCTTACAAAACTCTCACGAGGATGGAGAGACAAAGGTTAGCATAGGCCACTGAGGACTTTTAGGTTGGCCACTAATTATTAGGGAGCCAGTAGCCAGAAGACCCTGGCAGGGATGGTCACTGCTTCTAGTGCTGAGGCAAGTAGTACATAGAAAAAACCTGGAGGTTACTGCAAAATGTCATGTCTGCCAAAACCCATGGGCTGCTCGCCACTGCTGCCCAAGGAGCTTCTGCTCTCTTCACCTCCTGTGTCTGGTAGGAGTGCTTCTTATTGGTGGACTGTAACCCAGACCCCTAGAGGCTGGTGTTCTGGGAAATATGGCTTACATGTTTCCAGCCCCTCTGAGCCTGAGAGGAGTATAATGGGGCTGATTTGCCAGCGGACAATCCACTCATGTGGATGTGACCCCTTCAATACCTAAATGGCAATGATCATGGATGCAGAGTCAGGGCCAACATCAGGAGAGCAAGAGGGCACAGAATGCTCACCAATTTGCTGTGGGCAGAAAACACAGAGCTGCATAACTTCTGCAGGGAAAGAGGAGAAGAAGAGGAGGAGGGCTGTGTATGCTTCCCTGTGAGGCAGATGGAACGGCAGCAGGAGTGGGGAGATCCAAGCAGAAGGCCCAGGCTGGGAGGCATGAAATGCAGGCTCTTCCCAGCATGAGTGATTGGCAGGGTAGGCAGGACTCAGAGGCTTACAGGAAATGTGGCTTGTCCCCAGAGGACCCTAAAACTGGGTCAGGACTGATAGAAGAGACTGGGGAAGCCATGTTCCGTGGGAGAACTGCAGGGGCACCACGGACAGACATGAGAGACAAAGAACCATTGCAGATATACAGTCTTATAATTAACTCAGTTCAACAAGTACTTGAAATAGCCACATGGGCTGGGCAGGACCTTGGACACAGAAGTGTGCAAAGATAAACTGGTTACAGGCTGTGCTCTCAGAAGAGTTTCTTGAGAGACCAAATGATGATGACGATGATAACGATGATGAAGAACTAACTCTTCTGAGTACTTGCCATGCAAATCACTGTACATGCATTATCACATTCCTAATTTACAGATGAGGATCCTGAGACTTAGAGGTTAGTGACTTGCCTGTGGTCACCACATAAGTCTTGAGAGGATCTATACCTGGGCTTCCAGACTCCACATCCTGTAGGGACAGTGCTAAGGGGATTCTGGAAGGAGACATGCCAACTGGAAAATGAGGAATACTTTCATGGATAGGGTGGAATGTGAGCTAAGCTGTAGAGAATAGGACACATTTCAGGTTTAGAGATGGGAGAGAAGGACACCCCAGATAGTGAGATTCATGTGAGCAAAATATTGGAACAGCATAAGTCACATAGTAGGGAAAAGTAAAAAAGAGCTCTTGAAAGTCTCACTTGTCTAGTCCCAAGCTTCCGCTTATTTAATACAAGTCCACGAGTATTGTCTAGGTACTGGCAGGCTGATTCATAGAGTACTGGGGGCAGGGAGCAGTTTTGCAGGGGAGGCAAGCAGGTGAGCAGACAGTCATACCCAGCATGGGACGTTCTGTAGTTGAGGCATGTGGAAGTCAAGAGCTGGCACAAAGCAGGAAGTGCTTCCGTGCGAGGGGCCTGAGCAATTCTGCACGTGGATGGGAACTCCTCAGGCAGCCAGGCAGAGGAAGCCAGAAAGCCATGTCCAGCTGTGTTCACCGGGAGCCAGTCTTCCATTTGCCTGGAATTCTAGATGGTATTTGGGAGGCTGGGACAGGGAGAGACTGGAAAAGTGAGCAGGGCCTGATGACCCCATTGGAGCAGCTGTAGAAAGTCATGTCAGGGCATTGGGCTCCATTGTGAAGGCTGGTGAGCCCTCAGGGTTTTAGACAGGAAAGGGCACTGTCAGATCTGTGTTGTGGGATCTCTGGCAGGTGTACAGAGGAGAAAGCAGCAGGGGGGAAATTAGGGAGCTAGTGACAAGAGGAAGGCCTGGCTGAGGCAGGTACAGAAAGAGGGAGATTTAACAATAGCTCAGAACGTAGAGATGACAGGACCTGGTGACAGTTGGATGTGGGAAGGGAGGGAGGGTTAGGGAAGCAACAGGCTTTGAGACATTTGCCTTAGGCTGTCCACAGGAAAAGTCCAATAGACAGGTTGAAAATACAGAAGAGAGGATGAAGGCATTAGGGCAAGGCTCAGATCCCAGCAGAAATGGCATGAAATGAGACTGAGGGTGAGAGTAAGGGGAGTGTATGGAGGGGGGATTAATTTCTGTCACCAGGAGCACCTTCTCCCAGGCTGAGGAGGTGCAGGTAGGAGAAGGTGGTGATACTCCCACCTGCTGTTCTCCTATTTTTCTAACTGGAGCTTTTAGTTATGTGCGTAGTATGTAGAAGTTAGTGCTACATATGTTAATTGAGGCCTGCATATTAAAAATAATAGAGGCCAAATGAGTCCATTGAATCCTCTGTCCCTCTCACTCCATCCCCAAGCTGCCCAGAAACACAGACTAGTTCTTGAGCCCCTGGTTTACATGAGGCTCCAGTCTCACCCTGGGGCCCCCTCCCTTCCCAGGAGCAGGTGATGATGACAGTTCAGTAGGTGTGTTTGTGGTGGCAGGATGGTGAAATCGCTACTGAGGCAGTGGGTAGAATCTTTGTTGGAGTTGGCTCTCCCTCTGCCTGCCTTTTCAAGAATAGATTTTTTTTCTTTTCTTTAGCTCAGGGATATGCCAAGAAAAATGAAATAAAAGTAAAGGAAAGAAAGACCAAAGTGTGTTTAATTGGAATAGCTTTTTGCCATGTGAAAAAGCGACAGTTTATTGCAAAATATTTATCTTCATTATGGTTGGTATCATTATTGATGGAGATGCCCTGCACGCTAATGGGAAAATCTCTCCAGGAGGCCCAAATCCTGATGAGCTGAGTCTCCACCTTACTTCTGACATGCTGGGTGAGCACATCCTTTAATTTCTGGGTGCCTCAGCTCACCCACCCGTACAGCCTAGAAAAGACAGTGCTCATGGTTAGATTAGCCTCGTGGAGCTGGAAGAAGTCTTTGAGGTCAGGGCATGAGAAGCTCCTTGTGGCAAGGACTGCACCTTGCTGGCTGTTGTGTCATATAGGTCCCTTGCTTAACGGAGGTGTGCGCTGACTGGCTGCGTGATGGATGAATGACAGAGAGCGAGCCTGTGTTAAAGGAATGGCAGATCGATGCATCTAATCTAACCATTCATTTCACAGAGAAGGCAATTGCAGTCCAGAGAAGGTGAGTCACACTCATTTGCTGCAGAGCTGGCTGAGGTTCAGCTCCCTCATTCCCAGGGGCCTCTCCGTGGTTATACCCAGCAGCTCCACGGTCCTTCTATTGTGAGATATTGTAGAACATGAATGAGAATGTACACTTGCAGTTGTTTTTGCTATTCATAATAAAAGAAGCTTACAAAAGTCAAAGTATCACTTATCATGATGGATGTTTGATAGGCCCAGATAAGCAGACGTAGGAGCTGTAATGAACACTAAAATCAAGCCTTGTATGTGTTCACCAATAAACAGCAAAGGTGAGGGAATTACTCTTATTTACCCTCCTTATCCCCATTTCACAGATGAGTTCTTGCTGTGGCTCAGAGAGGCTACAACAGAACTTGCCCGCAACCTCACAGGTAGCAAGGGTTTAGGAACTGATTCTGGAAACTGGGTATTCAGAGTCAGTATTCAGGGTGAATTTCATTGACCCATTGCTGTCTTCTGCAACATTCTGGGCCACTGGCTTTAATAATAATGACCCTTATCTGTGCAGCCACGAGCAGACCTGGCCTAGGGCTCACCTGTGTTCTCCAATGGCTGAGTTAGTTGATTAACACAAAGAGGCAATGAGAGCAACCCTGACTTTGAGGAATTCCTAAAGGGAAGCTAAGCGTGTCTTCCCAAGTGTATTACCTGGTCTCAGAAGTTTATAGCCACACCACATAAACTGGTGCAGTGAGACATTTGGCTGTTCTCTTGGAAGAGACATCAAGAGTCATTTAGAACTCCTGCATGCAGGTTTCTGGTCGGTGTCAACACATGGAAAGCTTCTGGAGGGCTGAAGCCTTTAATGAGTGGTTGCTTCCTTCTCCCAACTGGAATCACCCACCTTGGAGCCCAGGTTTACTGCTCTGAGATTGTAAAGATGCCAAGGAATGGAGACAGCCTGGTTTTTTATTGTGCCTGCCTCAGATGGAATCTGCCTCTCTGGACAAAGATAGCATCACAAATGTTTGATGCGGGTGTCTCTTCTTGTCCTGAGGACCCGGGCCTCTCAGCATTGCCCAGTGTTCCTCAGCACACACAAAGCTCACAGCCATGAGGCAGCTGGGCCTTGCCCTCCTTGCCTCTGTCTTTCCCAGGTGACTGGCATCCCCTGCCACATGTCCATCTCAGCATATTATTAACACCTCCTTCTGTCTCAGACTGCTTCTCTTCCCCCAGGGAGTGCTGTGGGTTTGAAATGATGGTCTTTAATCATTTCTTAAGTGACCAGCCCTGAAATCATTTCTTAGTGCCATACACACAAATTAAATCATAAATCCACAGTGGGCTCTGGAAAGAACTGAAGTGCAGCCCCTGATTAAGAGCTGAGGGGAGGCCTCCCCAGGAGAAAGGCGTCAGTGTGTGCCTAGAGGAAAGGCCAGGGCCCTGGAGAGAAGAAAGAAGCTTCCTACTAACTCCCTTTCCACAGAAGGGCCTCTTTGCATTTCTGTTGTTCTACTCCACACAAAAGAGATATGAGAGGATGCAGACAGATATGTGGGGGGTGGTAGGAGGGCATCCATGTTAGGGTTAGGAAGTCCGGGCAGCCCCTTCCAGGACCGAGCTGCCTTAAGAATCCAGAATCAGCCAGGCCCAACAGGATCCTTAATGACCTCTGACGGTGGGATGGAGGAGGACCAGAAGAGTGAGGAATTGGTAGGCACACCTCAAGAGAAACTCAGAAGTGGGGGTGGGGGAGGGTGTTCCTGAAACATGTCCATGCTCCCTACTTATTTCAAGACTCAGTTCGACATCGTGCCCCACTTCAAGACTTCCCAGCTTATTTGGAACACTCAGTCTCTCTCCTCACAAACACAAAGTCTTCTGCTTGATTAGGTTGGTGATGGGTATATGACAATGACACTAGCAAGCTGCTAAACATCCTTGACTCTTTCCACCACCATGCCTTTATGCATGACATTTTCTCACCCTGGGGTGCCTACCTTCATTTTGCCTACCTAGTAAACTATGAATGCTTCAAAGCCTGCATCAGTTGTCATCTCCACCAGGACCCTCACTCTCCAAACTAATATAGAGAGGAGACTGCCTGTTCTCTCCCCACCCCTCTATATGCTTCTCTTTTCACACTCACATGCTGTTTTATAATTCTCATTTTTAACATTTGGTTCTTCCACTGAGTTTTGTATTCTTTGAGAATGGGGACTCCAGCTTACTCTTCTCTGTAAAGTCAGAGTGGCCAGCTCAGGGCTTGAATTCAAGGAGTGATGTTGCTGAAGCTGTATAGTCAAGTGGTTGGAGCTTCACAGTGAAAGAGCTGTTCTCTATTTTTTGCCTCCAGCATGCTTTGCTTATGTAAGTCACTCAACTTCTGAATTGAGAATCTGAGTTTCTTCTGCAAAATGAGAAAAATAAAACCAGTACCTTTACTATTGCAAAAGCCTACAAAGAAGATAAATCTGAGAGTGGGTTGTTGGGGGAATGTGTCAAAACCCTTTAGCTCCTGAAAAATTCCATTAGAAAGTCAAGGTGTTGGTATTGCAATTATTATTTGATTCCCAAATGGTGAGAGTGCTTCCAGAAATGTGCTTTGCTTGATGAACCGATACATTTTTAGCCCCCACTGATGAATTTGGGAATCGAATACCTGTCATCTTGAAATAATTGACACATCTTGGTGAAGCACTTAGATTCCTCTGATGAAAGTCTGGATTCTTACTGAGAATGAGAAGGAAGCTGTGTTACATGGGAGCAATATTGTTTTATGGACCTTTATCTTAGTTATTAACAAATGAGTGTTACATGTGGAAATGGTAAAGGGGGAATTCAATAATGAAGTTTCATAGGATTATAATGATTATTAGCCTAATGATGATGAAATCCAGGTTTCAATGCATGTGGTTTCCTTGGCATTCACTGTTCTGTGCCCTTTATGCTGATGGGCAGCAGCCTGGCTGCATCTGTCCCTAACATCCCATCCTGAAGTTATATGGGAAGTGGGCATAAGTGTAGTCGGCTCCTCTAGCAAATCTGGATTAGGATATCCATGCACAATAATATAATTATTATTGTAGTAATTGTTATTGCAATTAGTTGCCCATATGTCATGCAAATAGCAAAAAACTTATATTCTAGGGAGCCGACACCCACTAGAGGTAGGAAGAGTTCGCATCAGTGAATGCTCACTGCCTGCCCTGCTGCTGAGCTGCCCAAGGGTCCTGTGGAAAAAGCAGCCAATCTCACCAGCATTTACACTCTATTCATTTTTCTCTGTGCACCAGAAGCCACTGTAAGGATGAATTTGCCTTTCAGAGCAGGTCTCTGTAGAATACCCAGCAGCCACATCCATGCATCACGTTTTTACATCTGGTCAGGAATTCAGGCAGGCAGGAACTCAGAGGGACTGAGAGCCAGCATATGACATAGACCATACTTATTTTTTTTTCTCTTCCTTTAGAGGCAGGAAAAGTAGGACAAGATGCCCTAAGTGAGTAGAAAAGATATTCATCTTGTCCCTTTCCTAAGCCTCTCGTCTGAACTCATGTTGACTTGAACATGTGACTTTTTGAGCCTGAGTACATATGCCCATCGTTACAGAATGTCCCCACCCCCTTAGATAACTTACCATAGTAAATAGCTGGAAAGGGCATCAGCTGTGAAGCCAGACAGACCTGGTGGTGAATTATACCTCCATGACAGAGTAGCTGGGAAATATTGGGCAAATTGTTTTATCTCTGAGCCTCAGTATCACTGTCAGTGAAATGGAAATGCTACTATCTTCTCATATAGTTTCATCGAAAAGAAATGTTACGATTACATTTGTCTGTAAGGAACATAAAAATGAAAGATAATTGTGGGTTTTAAAAATACAGGGTTTTTTTTCTCATGTAAAATAAGTCCGGGTTGGATGGCACTCCATGGTGTGATGTTGGAAACCCAGGTGCATTCTACTTCGTTGCTTTGACATTCTTAGCACACAGTTTTCACCTCATAGTTGAAGATGGCTGCTTGAGTTCCAACCATCATGTCTACTTTTCAGCCAGCAAAAATGAGGAAGGATGGAAGAAGAGCTAACTTTCTCCCAGAAGTCACATAGGATACTACTTCTCCTTGTATCCCTAGATCTTAGTGATTCAAGCCAATACTCATGCATTATCAAAGCTTGATGGGAATGTCCCATATGGTAGGGGAAAATGTTGACTTTGAAAAATAGAAAACATTAGCAAGGTGATGACACATTGTCTATACTCAACATATTATCATTTTATAATAGAAAATATTAACTGCTATTAATACTTTTAATTGAGCAGTTATTTCATGCCAGATATTGTATCAAACATTTATATTTTCTATCTCATTCAATCATCAAAACAACTCTATGAGACAGGGACTAATTTTTACACACGAGGAAACTGAGGCTTAAAAAGGTTGTAGGACTTGCTTTCCATGGCTCTAAGTAGTAGAGTCTGTAACTGAAGCTGGTACTCCTTTCTCCAGGAAGTTATGTTGGCATAGTTGATGTTTAACATAAGTAGTTATACACAATAGTTTTTGTTTATTCTAGGTAAATTTACTTGGTATAAAAATACTCCAGCCAGTAAGCTATCAAGTCTCTGGAGTCAGCAGCCTGCATTCAATTCCCAGGTGTACCACCAGCAGTGGGACTTTGAACAAGCTACTGGACTTATTTGAGCCTTAGTTTTTTAATGTGCAAAATTGGAATAATTGTAGCACTTGTTTCTTGGGGCTGTTGTGAGAATAAAATGGGATTATTCTGAGTAACATACCTGGCCTGTGCCACATGCTTAAATTCTTATTGTTGCTCTTATTAATAAAACAATTGTTATTAATACCAACACAACTTTACAACCAATTTTAACACGTGGTGGGTAGCTTGGCACATAGACCTTGCCTTGGAAGGGTGAAGTGAGACACATCAGGTGCCGAGGGTAGGAGGGCCTGGCCATGCTTCTCATACCAGTCTCTCATTTATTAAGAGGGCTTTGCTGGCCTGACCGTAAAGCCTGAAAGGTGAGAGTGGGCACAGGAGAGCAGGACCCTTCCTGGGCATGAGAGGGAGCAATGTCGTGTTCACCTGTCCAGCTAGGCTCCTGTCATTCCTTCAGCTCTGGGTTCGTGTCCTGCTGTTTGCTTTGGGGAAGTCCTTTCTCAAGTTGCTCAGCAGTGCCTGCTGCTCCTTTGCCCCATTCCTCCCTCTGAGCCTTCCCTGAGTTCCTCACCTGCTGCTCCTTCTCTAGGTTCTTCCTGACGTGCTGAGCCTTCAGTTCAATGGCTTCCCTAAGTGTGCATTGAGATCTAAGTGCTAAGTGTATCCTTAACACCTCTAATCTCTGCTGCAAGCTTCTCCCCTAATTGTGTTTCACTGACAAACCTGAAGGCAGTTGGTGATACTGATGTTCATCCAGGAAACTGAAAATAAGGAGGACATAGTGCACTCTGGAAATTACCTCTCAGCACCTAGGAATAAATGATCTCAGGAGAGAATGTGACTATCCAACCCTTCGCTGCCTCTGTTGCAGTGGGAGGCCTCACCCAGATGATCTGATTTGCAACATCCACTGGTCCATTCACATGATCTCCAGGGATCCAGTGCCTATGGCTGGCTCTGCTCAGGTGCTCAAAAGGAGGGTGTCCTCCCTATTCCAGAACCTGCAAGCCCCACTTCTCTTTCCAAAGTCTGCATCAGAGTTGGTGAGGTCCTGAGCAAAAGTCGCAGGTCAGACAAAATGAATTCTGCCAAATCTCTCTGCCTTCAGCCTTTTGGATAAATCTCATGCATATATTCTGCCTTGTCATAGTAACTCTTACTTGGAGAATCTTTTGGAATGACTATAACCTTATTTCAATATTGGTTATTACTCATGGTTGTTTCACTTTTTAAGAATTGACTCTAGACTTGCAAAGTGCTACATCCACTATCACTGCAATTTAGGAGCTGAGCTCTGACTGAACAAACCCCCCTGGCAACATTGTGGCAGAGCCAGTTAGACCTGACTGATTCCTCCATGACCTTGGACAGGCCACTTTCCTCTAAATAATCTGCTTAGGGAGGTCCATGCCCATGTCTGCAGTGCCACACTGGGCAGACAGGCAAGGACAGGGCAGTGTAGGGGGAAGGGTTTCTGCCCCTTATCTGTCAAGACAGCTCTGATAATTTAGGCTGAGAATTTCAGCCTCAAAGCTTTTGCTCTGCCATTAAAAGAAGTAAAAATTATTTCTTTTGCTTACTTGTCCCACTTGAATGCTGCGTAATATCATTATAGATTTATGTGTTTATGACTTCGTGACCTGGGGAGAAGCTGGAAATTCCACTGAGCCCATTTCTACTCCTGGGTTTCTGTAAAGGTCACAGCAAAATTATTTTATCAAGTACACCACAGAAAGGGAAAATCTTAATCTTAAATTATACATATGCAGCACTTGACCTTCTCTTGAGATGCAGCACCTCTTAGCTACACTTACTTAAACAGAATGCAGCTCTTCCCTGATGCACACAGAGAGAATAATTAGATGCCCTTGCATCCCAGTTGGAGAGGAGGCTGTGCAGTGGGACCAACTACAAAGCTGAGAAGGAGAAAGAGTTGAGGCAGTTGGGATGGGGGTGGGGGTGAGCTCCACAGAGCTGCAGCAGGCTCATGCTTATGATGGGGCCATCTGGGCAGGTGGAGCAGACATTGGCACCATGACTTGTTCTGGTTCACCTGCACCTCTGGCCAAGTCATTGCCTTCTCTGGGCCTCATTTTTGCCATCATAGGTCTGTGATGTGGCAATTCAATCACAGGTAGTTTGTGCCTGGAACATTGTGTTAAAGTCTCAGCACTCTGCTGTGGGTTGAGTGGGAATGAGTGCCGGGATTGATTAGCAATGTCTGCCACGGCAGGCATGGAGAGGTAGTGACAGTATCTGTGCTGGGTATTGGTGGCCCCATTCTAAAAGGTATTTCTAAGGTCTTTTCCAGCCCTGTCTGTCTGTAATTTGTGGGCTCACCAAACTCTGGGGTGAGGAAGCCTGGAAAGGAAGGAACAATAGCAAGCTTCCCTAAGAGAAGAGTTGTATTTGCCTCGTCAGAGTTTGGAGAGTAATGAGATTTGTGTGATACATCTAAACACAGTTGCTTGTGTGTGTGTGTTTCCTATTTGCTCTGTGAAAAGTAGAGAGAGCAAGTGAAAGCAGTGCCTGTCCTCGGTGTGACCACTCAGCAGACCTGGCTGACCTATGTGTGCCCTCGTAGCCAGCCTGTGCGTCTGGGGCTCTGGAAAAAGTGAGAAACTCTGGGTGGCTTCTTGTCATTGTCCAGCCTTTAGATAGAAACACAGTGAGAAGTCATCTTCATTTATCTTAAGAACTTGGTTATAAATTTTTTTTAAACGGAATCCATTAAGGTCTGTGTCAGGGAGGAAAGTGCTTAAAAAATAAGGTTTTTCTCAAAAGAAAAACACTTCGGTTTGAAAACGTGGGAAGCAGCCTGACTGCCAGCATATGTCCTGCTCATCCCCTGCCTGGAGCTACCAGATTGATGGTGTTTTTAGAACACTGGCAGCCGGGCACTGAGAAGGGTGGAGACTGGGCCTTGGGAGGGGACAGTTGGGGATTCCCCTGTCCTTGTTGATGCTGCAGAGACCTAGGCCTAGCACCCAAGAAGGATAAATGACCTGGGGCTCTCAGAGTGACCAAAGTGATGGGACCCTCCCTTCTGTTGGGTGCCAGGGGCCCCGTGAAGCATCTCCCTGTTGGTTGAGAATGAAGTGCAAAGGGGATACCTCCCTTTAAGGAGTCCATCTTGGCTGCTGGTAGGGTGCTTCTGCTCTCTTCTAAAGCACAGGTTCCTCCCCGCTGCCCTCTAGCATGGGCTTACCACTTCCTTTACCTCCCTGCTCTGCCCTCTGAGAACTGATACTGTTTCCCTGTCTCCTGCTTAGCTGTGACATCACATCTTCTCAAGGAGGGCACAGCCCTGACTCTGGAGTCCAACAACTTTCCCTCCCTCCCTCCCTCCCTTCCTTCCTTCCTTCTTTCCTTCTGGCAGAGTCTCTCTGTCACCCTGGCTGGAGTGCAGTGGCACAATCTCGGCTCACTGCAACCTCCACTTCCCAGGTTCAAGCGATTCTCCTGCCTCAGCCTCCTGAGTAGCTGGGACTACAGGCATGCGCCACTACTCCTGACTAATTTTTTGTATTTTTAGTAGAAATGAAGTTTTGACATGTTGACCAGGCTGATCTCGAACTCCTGGGCTCAAGTGATCTTCCCGCCTTAGCCTCCCAAAGTCCTGGGATTACAGGCGGGAGCCACCAAACCTGGCCTGGAGTCCAACATCTTAAGAATTCCACCCCCATTTAGCTGCTTGCTGCCTCTGCATTGGGGGCTCCTCCAGACCCCCTTACACTTCTGATTCCTGCGTATCTGGAATTCCTCACTCCGTGTCAATGGACTTCTTCTTACCCAATATAAAGGCAGTGACTAGCTGATATCTATCTCAGAGCACACAGAAAGTGCTCCCCAGATGTGTGTTGAGAGAATGAGAGAATGTCTATAAAAGGAAAAGAGCTCATCCTTCAAAAGAGATTTTTAGGGTACACTAACATGAGTGAGGAGGTGGAGTTGGGGACACAGAGACATGATGGTTCACAGAAAGGCTGGACTTGACTGGGGTCCTTCTGTGCCAACTCCCAGGCCACTCCCCGCACTCCACTGCCCTCTCTGCCTTGTCCTGCTGCCAGTGGGGCCTCACTTCTCGCCTTCTTGCCACACCACTCACACTACTCCTACCTACTATTTGAAAAAATCTTCCACTATTTGAAAAATCTTTTTTAGCCAGACACGGTGGCCCACACCTGTAATCCCGGCATTTTTGGAGGCCAATATGGGCAGATCACTTGAGGTCAGGAGTTCAAGACCAGCGTGGCCGACATGATGAAACCCTGTCTCTACTAAAAAATACAAAAATAATTAGCCAGGCCTGGTGGCACGTGCCTGTAGTCCCAGGTATTCGGGAAGCTATGGTGGGAGAATCACTTGAACCCTCAAGGCAGAGGTTGCAGCAAGCTGAGATTACACCACTGCACTCCAACCTGGGTAACAGAGTGAGACCCTGACTCAAAAAAAAAAAAAAAATCGTTTTCCATTCAAAAAAGTATAAGTTCACTGCATAAAAATTGGAAAATATAGATCATAAAAGATTTTTAAAATGTGCATAATCTCATCACTATAAGAAAGTGAAATCTTTAAGAACAATATTTGTTCCCACTATTTGCCAATATTTTTAGATGTCACTAACCACAGGTTTTCACCATCTTTCTTGATGGGGTCATGATTTTCCATTTATGGATGCACTATAATTTATTGATCTGACCCCTTATTTTAGGGCTTTTAAGCTGTAATTAATTTTTTCTTGCTATAAACAATATTGCCATGAGTGCCCTCATAGTTAAATCTTTGAGCTATGTGTGATTATTTCATTTGTATAAATTCCATCAAAAGAGGAGCTTGAGCACCATTAGGCCATTTGCCTCTCTGGGTCCTACTTCTCCATCAAGCCCTGGGAAAGAGGGCAGGCCAGCACACAGCGACATCAGCCTTGCTGGTGTCTGGCTGCTGTGAACCTGCTCTGTCCCACTCCCCTCCATGCTGATCATTTCAAGGTTGTAAGAGCCTTGGAGAGTGAAGGACCAGGCCCTGCCCCTTCCCAGTCTCTGCCCACTGGTCCCTTACTTCCCTGTTAGCTGCATTATTGCCTCCTTCCCCAGAGTCCCCCCATGTCCAGTGTGTAGGCTCCAGAATGTCGGGTGTCTGTGGGGGCAGATCGACATGTTTATGCTGTTTCTCCTGGGGCTGGGCCGTGGACAGGAGGGGCCTGTCGGCTGCCTCCTCCACAACTCCTCCCATGTCCTTCCCTTGCCATTCTATTCTGAGGCAGGCAGGGCCAAGGAATAAGTTCAGCTGAGCCCCTGCTTCCTGGGTGACCTAAGAAAGGCAAGCACCTTCTCCAGCCTCAGTTTCCCCCTGTGTAAGGAAGTACAGTTGTTCCCAGCTAAACCTTCTCCCTCCTGCTTTCCCTCTTCTCTGCTCTCTCTGTCTTCCTCAGTGCTGCAGCATCGTACCTTTCCTGACCCCTCTGTTGGCTTAAAGCTAAGGAACCAGCCCATGGGGCTCTCAGCAGCTACTGGCTGTCCAGTTGGCCTGCTATAGAGGAGATGCAGGTAATGCTGCAGCTTCAGGGGCAGGAATCTCTGGTCAGAGGTCTGTTCCCTGTACCATTCCAAAGTCCAGAAGGCTCTTCTGGCCACTCTGCAGATTCCTGAGTCTGAAGATTGGTTTCTCTCCCACATAGACACAAATGTTGTTCCTCTAGCTTTGTCTGCAGGCCAGCGGTCAAGGGACAGACTTGGGGTGCAGATGCAGCTGCTGCAGGAAGAGCCAAATCAGTCCTAGTCTCTGAGTGAGACTCTCACCTTCTCTGCTCTGGACACTTCATACTGCCACTCCCAATATTCCCCCCAAAGTTATAGGGACAGGGAGCCCACTGCCAAAGTATTGGATTTCTAAAAGAGGACTCCAGAAAGAGGAAAATGTCTAGCCCTAGAGGATGAAGTGTAGAGGGCAGGCTTTCTGGGGTCAGCAGGACAGCAGGGACACAAGCGGACAACAGGTTGCAGTCTTTGACTCCTTGCACCCAACCCCGTGCCTGGCATCTAGTAGGGGCTCAGTGCTTATCTGTTGAATGAATGAGCAATCCCCAATCAATTGCCAGACACTTCTCTTCTAGATAGCTCTTGAATCTATCTACTTCTCTCTGTTCCCACTACCCTAATCCATTATCACCTTTTGTGGGCTGCTGAATCTTCCTGTAAATGTCCCCACTCCTCCAGTCCATTCATTTCCCAGCAACCAGTGTGATCCTTTAGAAACAAAATCTGATTCTGTTTCTTCCCAATTTCAAGCCTATCAAGTGGCTTCCGTGGACTTCAGGGTAAAGCCATGGGCCGAGTGGGTGACATGAGCTCAGGCTGCCCCTCCAAGCGCTCAGCCTCCTCACTTGCCTATGGATCCCACCCACCCCACACAGGAACTGTGCCTGAGCCTGAGCACTCAGGGCCCCTGAAGGCACTGTGCTCAGGTCCTTGACTGAGTCATTTTCATTCTCCAGGGCCTTTTCACAGGCTGCTCTCTCCACCTGGAAGCTTCTCTACCTTCTCTCACTAACTTACCTTACCTCTGCCTGTTATAGGGGGCTTATATCTTCTTTATGCCTTCACTTAGATGTCGCTTTCCCAAGGCTCTCCCAGAGTGGGTTAGGTCCCTACTGTGGCCCTTCTATGCCACCTCAATCCCATCCATTGGAATTTCCAGCTCAAAGTCTGTCTTCCTCCACCAGGATGTCAATTCCACGTGGGGAACATCTTTGTGTTTTTCCTCCATTGATATATCACAATGCCTAGCACACCTCCAAGTATATTATAGGTGGTCAATAAATACTTTCAAGTGAATTGTTGATGAAAACATTCAGCCTGGCTCCTTGTGGAAAACATCTTGAGGATATTTATTGAGGAGATACTATATTCCAGGAATTTTACATGTATTACACTGATCTTCACAATAGCTATGGGAAGGAAGTCACCTTAGCACCCCTTTTTACAAATGGGGGGCTGAGGGTCAAAGTTTAAATAACTTGCTTAAGATCACACAGCTAGAACGTGGAAGTTTTTCAGACTCCATGTTTGCATTCTTCCAGATGGCCTAGAGCAGTGGTCCTCAGACTAGAGCTATACCAGAATCGCCTGGTTGGCTTGATAAAATTCAGATTACTGAGTCACATCTCCAGATTTTCTGGTTCAGTAGGCCTGGAGGAGGATCTGAGATTCTGTGTTTCTATACGTTCCCAGGTGGCACTGATGCTATTTGTCTTAGTTCAAGTTGCTGTAACAAACACTGGGTGGCTTAAACAACAAACATTTATTTCTCACAGTTCTGAATACTAGGAAGTCCAAGATCAATGTGCCAGAAGATCCAGGGTCTGGTGAGGGCCCACTTCCTGGTTTGCAGATGACCATCTGCTCATTGTACACTTACAGGGCAGAAAGAAAGCTCTCTCGTATTTCTTCTTATTAGGCCATTAATCCCATTTATGAGGGCTCCACCCTCGTGACTTAATTACTCCACAGAGTCCTCACCTCCAAGTAGTATCATATTCGGGGCCAGGCACAATGGCTCATGCCTGTAGTGCCAGCACTTTGGGAGGCCAAGGGGGGCGGATCACGAGGTCGGGAGATCGAGACCATCCTGGCTAACACGGTGAAACCCCGTCTCTACTTAAAAAACAAAAGTTAGCCAGGTGTGGTGACACATGCCTGTAGTCCCAGCTACTTTGGAGGCTGAGGCAGGAGTATCGCTTGAACCCTGGAGGTGGAGGTTGCAGTGAGCTGAGATCATGCCACTGCACTCCAGCCTGGGCCACAGAGCAAGACTCTGTCTACAAAAAAAAAAAAAAAAAAAGAAAAAAAATTACATTCGGAATTAGGCTTCAACGTATGATTTTTTTTTCTTTGTTTTTTTTTTTTTTTTTTTGAGGGGCAACTTTTAGTCCATAGCACTGCTGACTTGGAGACCAATTTGAGAACCTGGCCTAGATCACTACAAAACACCTGGGCTTGCTTTATGGCTATCCTCACTCCCTAATCACTGACCTTGGACCAGGATTTTAGGATCCAGGCCTGGACTCTCTTCTGAGAGAAACCGATGCCTAGCACAGCCTCCTACAACCAGACAGGACCCTGGCTCTGAAGGTCTTGGCTACGCTCTGGGAACAGGCTGCCATCAGGACCTCAGTGTCTGTCCCTCTCCCTTGAGACACTGCTCTTCTGTTTGTCACCCTTCAGTCCTGACCAGTGATCTCCCCATTTTATCAAGGAAAAGCACCCCCACCCTGGCCCACCTCTTTAACAACTTCCATGCGGATGCATTCTAGGCTTGCTACTGCTACTGCTGTCTGAACAACTTAATAGCACAGTAAGTTACAGTCTCTTCTGTGTCATGGTGCCTGCAGCATTCATCAACTTCAGCAAGTGTCATCATGAGTGATACAAGTGTATGACACAGCTAAGTGTCTCCTCTGCACAGGCCATTACAGCTGGCAGCAGGCCCAGGGAGGCAAGAACTGGAGACTCATTTGGCTCCAAGTGCCCAGGATGATGTAGAAGTAAATGCGCTCCAGCCCTCCTCCCACCATGGCCCACATAGATGCTTCGTATTCTTGGCACCTTCTACAACTACTCTCAAAGTTTCCCCAGGTAAGCTAGGGATGGTCTTGGTGCAATCTTTTCCCTTTGCCTCATCCTCCCATCCTCCCTCTGTGCCAACTTTTACACATCCTTTGAGGCCCTGTGCACGAACCACCTCCTCTAGGCAGCCTTCCAACGGCAACCCACTCTCCCCTTCCTCTAAAGACCTCTGTCACAGAGCATCTCCACCTCTGCTGTAGAAATTTTATTGGTAAACACTTCACCCTGACCTGCTATGCTCAGCTCAGCTCCTTGGAATTGGAGGTTGTCATTCATATTTTTGTGTCCTCTGCAAGATTTTTAAATGTACTGGATGAGAATTTCTTTGATTACTAAAGTCATGTATATGTAATACAAAACATTGATAAAGTACAGAAACATAATAATAATGTCACCATTCCCAGATTTTATTTTCCATTTTGCTGAGTATGATATGTTTGAGTGTGTGTGTGTGTGTGTGTATAAAATGAAGTTCATAGTCTCATACTCTATAGTTTTAGACCACACTTTTATAATATTTTTCCAAGTCACAATTTTAACTGCTGTGCAATATTCCATTATATGAATGTTGCATGATTTATTTAGTCAATACCTTATCATCAGACTTTTAAGTTCCTCCCTCTCCCTTTCTCTCTTCTTTCTTTCTTCCCTATTATAAATAACACTGTGATGAACATCAATGAACATAAATCTTTTCCCACACCTGCTTGCTTTTTTTTTCTAGAATAAGTTTTTAGAAATAAGATCGTTGAATCAAAGCTTTCAATATTTTGAAGCTCTTAATACACATCAAATAACTCTCCCAGGAAATGATAAGAATCCACACTTTGACCGAGCATGTTGGCTTACTCCAGTAATCCCAACACTTTGGGAAGCCGAGGCGGATGGATCATTTGTGGTCAGGTGCTCAGAACAAGCCTGGCCAACACGGTAAAACCCCGTCTGTACTAAAAATACAAAAATTAGTTAGGTGGTAGTGGCGCTTTCCTGTAATCCCTGCTACTCGGGAGGCTGAGGCAGGAGAATTGCTTGACCCTGGGAGGCGGAGGTTGCGGTGAGCAGAGATCACGCCACTGCACTCCAGTCTGGGCAACAGAGTGAGACCCTGCCTCAAAAAAAAAAAAAAAAAAAAAAAAAAGGGAATCCACACTTTGTGTGGGAGTGCTCATTATCTCACATTCTCTAATATTAATATCATATTTGTTGTTGTTATTATTATTATCATCACAGCTTTTATCTTTTGTGTCTTATCACAGCAGTCCTTCAGTGAACACTCACTCAATTAGCCGTAGAATGTGTATGCCTATGTGTAAGTTTGTGCTAAGCGCTGGGGAAAGGGAAATACAAAGATGGCAACACCTATTATCCATCTTCAGAGAGCTTTCAAACTAGTACATTGGATGGATGGATGGATGGATGGACGGATGGATGGACGGATGGATGGATGGATGGATGGATGGAAGAATGGACAGATGGATGGGTGCTTGGGAAATATTTCCTTGCCATCAGTTTTCTCAACACATTGCCATGAATATAAGGGGAAATGGGAGCTCCCATAAGGCTTTGAGTCCCAGTGGAATGTCCTGGGGCTGTTCAGGAAAACCCATTCTGGGAAAGCAAAGACTGCTTTTGAGAATAGACAGAGGAATCCCAGTGCAGAAACCTCATGCCACTTCCTTCTAGGGAGTTTCACCAGGCCTGAAATTTCAGAGCTGGGAACCTATTTGTTCAGCCACCAGTAATGTGAAAGTAATGGAGACATTTGGCCACAGAAGTGACTTTAAATAGTGGCCCAATGTGGGGCCACAGGACCTATGGAAGGAGCTATGCAGAGCTGTTTGCATGACCCACAGGAATTTCTTGCCCACCAACACCACACCTATCACACAATTCTTAGCAGCTTCTGAGAGAGGCTTTTCTGCCTCTCTTACAGAATGAGAACAAAGCGTAAGATAAAGGAAGGGGAGGTTGTAGGAGCAATGAACTCTGGGCTGCGAACCTCCTTCTTCCTGGCCAGAAGCATGTACCTTGCCTCTCTCCCAGTTGCCCCATGAGGCAGGCTGACTTCCCTGAGCCAGCTGCTGAGCTGCACCTGCCTTGAGAAAAAGGCACCCAGTTCTTAAGCAGGGGATGAATATTCATTGGCATGAACCTTTGCAAACTCATTTGGGGAAAAAAATAGATCAGAAGAAGTAATCAGATTATTAAAAAGAAAGAGCAAGGACAGAAGGTGGCAGTGGAGGGAAGAATCACATTTAAAATGCAAGGAGAGACTTCCTCCCTGCGGTGTAGCTCTGACCCCCTAGACCATGCGCTGAGAATAGTTAAGCTCTCCCACATTTATGCTGCATAAAAATGTTGTTTTTGAGGCCTCATCTGAGAGGGGGAAGGGCAGAGGTAACACGCACCCTCCACATCTGAAAATTATAAAATAATATTTTGAGGTCTCCATTTTATCTTCCTTTGATATCAAGAAAAATTGTGAGAGCTAAAGAGGCTCTGGTGAGTGCTGAGTGACAGGTTAAAGGGCTCCAATAAAGATTAGATGGTCCACTATCTCCTGAGGAAATTGCATAAAAGTGGTTATTCCCTCTTGCTTCTATTAATTTCCTCTTCCTGGCTGCTTGGAAATGCTTTGTAACCTGATGCTGCAGATGGGGATGAGAAGCGCTTTCCATTATCTCAATCACTGCACTGTTTATGAGACACTTAATCTGTTTCTTTATAAAGTAATAGTACTGTGGGTGATGGACTCAGTGTCACTGGAAGTCTGTGTGCAGGGACAGGAGGAGAGGAGTGTCTCGAGAGTATGGTAAGCAGAAGGTCATTTGTCATATCACTGAGGTGCTGAGAAGTTGGGTGGGTGTTTCAAGGTGACCTTCTGGATACCAGCCAGAGGTGACATGCACCTATCCCTTGGCACTTGAACAGGGAGGCAAATGTGTGTTTTGTCTGTTGAATGGAAAATATATACACGTTTAGGCATGGGGTGCTCAGATCTTGTCTCCTCCCCTTTTCTGAAGTTGGGGGTGGGGAAAGAGATGTGTGGTGAGGTCGGGGAGAGGGGTGCCATCAAAAAGCCTCGGCTATGCAAGTTTCTAGGCCTTCTGTCTGAACTGCAATCACTTACAATGGAGGAAAGGGAACCCCTTTCTCTTAAGGAAACAAGGCAATTGTAGGCTGCACTGGTGTTAGAAATGTCCAGCCCTCCAAGTTACCTTGTCCCATTGACAAAGGTCTTAATGCGAATACACAGCAAGGTGTCGGCGGCTCTTCTCTTTCTACCCACCTCCTGGAAATGTAATGGAACTCTCCCCTGCAAAGTCCAAAGCTGGGCACTTTATGACCTAATTTCCGTTCCTACTTCTCCTGTTCTTCCACCTCTTTTCTTCTCCCTTTGTCTTTTCCTCTTCTTCTGAATTTCATCTCCTAACCATCACAATAAACTGTTTAATCACCATTGCCAAGAAATGACACTTTTTTTTTTTAATGCGACACAGTCTCACTCTGTCACCCAGGCTGGAGTGCAGTGGCGCGATCTTGGCTCACTGCAACCTCTGCGTCCTGGGTTCAAGCGATTCTCCTGCCTCAGCATCCTGAGTAGCTGGGATTACAGGCACATGCCATGACGCCCAGCTAATTTTTTTTTTTTTGTATTTTTAGTAGAGACAGGGTTTCACCATGTTGGCCAGGCTGGTCTCAAACTTCTGATCTCAGGTGATCCACCCGCCTCGGCCTCCCAAAGTGTTGGGATTACAAGTGTAAGCCACCACGCCTGGCCTGAAGTGACACTTTTAACCATTGTTTAAAGCATGAATTCTATGAGAAAGTATAGCATAAGTGTGGTTACAAATTACAAGCTAAAAGGTTAATAAATGAACTCAGGAATACTACTTCTTTTATAAAGTTTCTTGTGACTCTCATCTTATAAGGAGACTCTGCAAAAGGTGTACATCCATCCACCTGGTCCCCTGTGTGCACACAAGCATAGCACAGATCCTGCTGTATCAGAAGCAGCATTCCATTGTCCACCTCCCTCACCAGGAAGGGAGCTTCCTAATGTTGGCTACCCCATCTGCACCCTGCTCTATTCCCCTAGCCTGGTGCCTGGCTAGAAGTCAATCCACAATAAATATTTGTTGAATGAGGGGCTCCCAACTGCAGCAGTAGTGCTGACCGTAATTCTGTAAAGGAACTCCTGAGTTTTGAAATGATACGAAAGCAGAGAACTCTGTTATTTACCTTAAGTTGCCTGAAAGTGCTGAAATGTGTTTGGTTAGGCTACCGCTGTATTTAATTATTATTGTTTAAAATTGTACAGTCTTTATGCAGGTGAGCAGTCTCCAGGCTGCCAGGGTCTCCACCACTCTGCACTGTGTGACTCCCGGCTGCTTTATATTCTCAAGTGACTGACCTGGCTCCAAAGGCCATTTGCTTTTGCTTCTCATGGCCTGAATATTCTTCATCAGAAGCCACCCAGAAGCTTTATTTATCAACCCAAGTTAAAGCTGCTTTTTCTCAAGTGACAGCGTAGTTTTCTTATTTATTTTTCTATGTTAAATTTCTAGTGAAAAAATATTGTTAACTTTTGTTTCTGATTAATGGCACCTGATACAAGATAAGTTAAAAGGGCTTTGTGGATTAGCCTGGCACTTTCACCCTTGTTTTAAGCATGAATTCTATGAGAAAGTATAGCACAACAATGTAAAAGTTTAATAAATTACTGAGCATATACCCAAAAGATTATAAATCATTCTACTATAAAGACACATGCACACGTATGTTTATTGTAGCACTATTTACAATAGCAAAGACTTGGAACCAACCCAAATGCCCATCAATGATAGACTGGATAAAGAAAAGTGGCACATATACACCATGGAATACCTTGCAGCCATAAAAAGAATGAGTTCATGCCCTTTGCAGGGACATGGATGAAGCTGGAAACCATCATTCTCAGCAAACTAACACAGAAACAGAAAACCAAACAACATATGTTCTCACTCATAAGTAGGAGTTGAACAATGAGAACACATGGACACAGGGAAGGGAACGTCACACCCTGGGGCCTGTTGGGGGGTGGGGGCAAGGGGAAGGATAGCATTAGGACAAATACCTAATGCATGCAGGGCTTAAAACCTAGATGATGGGTTGATAGGTGCAGCAAACCACAATGGCACATGTATCCCTATGTAACAAACCTGCACGTTCTGCACATGTATCCCACAACTTAAAGTAAAAAAAAGAAAAAAGAAAAAAAAATCTTTAATAAATGAATTTAGGAATGCTGCTTCTTATATAAATTAAGGCATGCCTAGACAGATTTTATGAAAGTATTAAGTTATAAAGTCTGAGTATTAAGGAGATTCATACATTTTGTAATTATATGTAAAATATATTTTGTAGATATGATTCACCCATTATACATAACAGAAATAATATATGTAGAAACACATTCTTCCATTGGGTTCCAGGATTTATTTGCCCACTTTGGGACTTGAAATTTATATTCTGACCCTGAATTCTAAAAGTCCCTGCAAAGAAACCTTGCTTTTGTTTTTTAAAGGAGTGGGTAAGTTGGGATGGAGAGGAGTTAGCATTATTTAGCACACATTGATGCTAGCGACATTTCATATTTGAGTTTATTAATTTCTAATAATCTGTGGGAGTTATTGTGAGAAATTTACAGTTCTTTTTCATACACCTTTTATGCAGATGAGCAAATTGAGGCTCTGAGGGATGATATAACTTGCCAGTGTTCACCAAGCTAGGAGCTGGCAGAGCCAAGAATTGAACTCAGGACTGTCTGACCATTTCCAAATGCTTGTTTCTCCGGGGAGAATGGAATCAGACCCCCTCCTGGAACCTCTCTCTTCAACCACTCCCCAAGCTTCTCTCCCTGATGTCCAGCTTGGACCTCCTCCCCTCCACTTCCTCCTCTCATGGACACCTTGGAATTCAGAGACTCAGTCACCCAGAGCTACTGTCCTCCATCAGAAACCTCAGAGGAGGCACTTTCCACATCCCCCTGCCACTTGTGGATATCAGGACAATTGTTTATGCTGTTAACTTATTAAATGTAAAGTGAGGAGGCTTTTACGTGCTGGAAAGAAAGGGAAAACACCTTGTTCTTGTTGGACTGGTACATTAAGAAAATTACAGCATGGCAGGGGCCAAATATGAATGCTTGAGTCATCACCTCTACCCCTCCCCCACTCTCCAGAGACAGAGCTCCTGCCGAGTCCAGGCAGCACAGGCCTGGGATTTGTCTGTATTCACTGGCTGCAGAACTGAATGGGGCCAGGAAGGCTGGGGATTTATTAGGAAAAGAGCCAAGTGTTTCTCACAGGAGATGAGGAGAGATATGGAAAGAAGAAAAGGAAAGAGGGAGAAATACAGAGAGAGGGACCGTAATGAGTGGGCTGGGAAAGATGGATTAGTAAGCCAGAGTCTCCTCGGATACTTTTGCCATTCAGAGCTTCTCCCTTTCATGTTTGATGTGTTAGATCTTTAATAAAGACTCAAACAGTACTTTTTTTCTTTCTACAGAGAAGTTTCTTCTGAATGTGCTGAGATGAGTCAGGAAGTGGTCCCTTTTTACATGGTTCGCAACTGACATTGTTTCCCCAAACCTGGGAAACAACATTCACTCCAGTGTCTTCCCCGATCCCAGGGGATGCTCTGCAAAGTAAGGCTTCTTGGTGAAAAAACATAGCATTTTAAAAAGTTTTAAAAGTTCTCAACAAAGAATAAGATGAACTTTTAAAATCAGCATTTCAAAATATCTGGCCACAGTACCCTTTTGTCATAGGTGTTAACAATCCAAAGAACGTGGATCCCATGGGACACATTTGGGTTGTGCCATTCCAGAACATTGTGTTTTGGAGATTCCTTCCTGTCCAAAATGGCACCCCACCCAGCACATGTCTGGAGAAACTGAAACCTTTTCCTCACCTTAAGTGATCAATGGAGTGAGATAACTTTCACAGCATAGGAAACAATTCTTTCTTCTTGTCTTAGCAGAAAAGCAGTGGATATTTTTCAAATAGTTTATGCGTACATCATCACTATCATTTCTCCCACTGTGTGATCCTTGGTAACTTTTGTAACCTCTCCGTGTCCCAGTTTCCTCATTAGCAAAATGGAGATAGTAATAGCTACCCCATAGAGTAATGCATGGAAAGCACTTAACAAGACAAGTTAACAGATGGTGGCTACTGCTATTATTAAAGAATATGCTGCACTTTCCAGGAGGGAACAATACATTTGAGATTAGCTTTCTATAAGTAGAAACCATTATAATGGCACTTCAATTATATGATGATCACATTGTATTAGATTTATATGACTTCATTGGATCAAGAGCTCCTTGAAGGCAGGCTCTATTCTTGAATTCCCTATGTCATGTTTTCAGCAGGAACAGTAAATGTTTGTTGAATGAAGTAATGAGGTGTGTAAGAAAGCCAAACAAGTTGACCAGTCAGTAGGTTTTACCCAGTCTCAAAGGAGGATGAGCCAGAGTAGGTTTCATGGGGACAGGAAGAGTGGGGGCTGAGATAATAAGGAAGGGCCTTGGGGAAGTAGGGTAGGCAGAATCAATCTTGTGAGGGATCAACAAGGAAGAGACCAGATGTCTGGGCTCAAAAGTCTTTACAGATGAGACAAAGTTAAGACCCGAGGGATAGCTTGGAGCCAGACTTTTCAGAGAATGACTCATTATAGGCTGATCCCACAGGAAATTAAGAGGATGTGCTGCACATATGAGGGCCCCTCCAGTGGAGATCAGGTAGTATCAGGTGTTCCCAACCTTCCCCACTGCCATGTGCATGATAGATGACACCAAGTGTGTGACACGTTCCCTGGTGTGCTGTCTGCAAAGTCATCCTTTCCTTGCCCCACCCCCGGAAGCATATCAAAATGCAATTAAAGGAGAATGATGTTGTTAAGGCATTAACCTTGAAATCACCCTAATTTAGTTTTAAAGAATCACTTATGAATTTCAGCCCTTTGCCATCATTCATAGCAAGAGCTTGTTAATACATCTCATAGTGTGTTCCTCATGTGTGCTGCAACATGGCATTGAAAAACCGTGGGTCCAACATGTCATTGAAAAACCTGGGACCCCTTTCTAACTGAGGCCATAGGATGAGATGTCTTTAGTGAGTGGCTCAGGGAAAGGCCATGGATGTTAACCAGGTAGACAGAAGAGGGAGTAACCATTTATAGAGCACTTATGTCCCAGGAACTGAGCTACACTTTAGATTTGTTTTCTCAATTAAATCTCTTGACACACCTGGAAGGGAAGAATTATTATCCATTTTGTTCAAGTGAGAGAGGTCATTGGTACCAAGAAGATATATTTCACAAAGGATTTTTGAAGAATTGGAAGTGTTAAATATGGGTTTCCTCAACCTTAGATCTCCCTTGGTACGAGAGGGGCATCTCAATGTTCTTTTTAGAGAGGAAGACACTCCTTTTCCGGTTGTAGGGAAGAGTTTCTGGCTGCCACACTTCCATTAATTATCACATGGTCTCTTTGTGTTCTAGCTTGCCCTGCAGGGACATTCAAGGCCAGCCAGGAAGCTGAAGGCTGCTCCCACTGCCCCTCCAACAGCCGCTCCCCTGCAGAGGCGTCTCCCATCTGCACCTGTCGGACCGGTTATTACCGAGCGGACTTTGACCCTCCAGAAGTGGCATGCACTAGTAAGTGTCTAGTAATGGCTCTGGGCTGGGGAGTTTGGTTCCCTGATGGTGCAAGTGGTGGGTCTGGGGCAAGGAAGAGAAGACATCATCCTTTGATCCCAGGGCAAAGCAGAATTGCTGGCCATGGTGCTGAAACATACAACTCCTATGCTCGGAGTTCAGAGGCCTTGTCCCTACGTAGCACTGGGTGAAGATTACATTTTTTCTTTCTTCCCCCTTCTTCCCATATAAGAGGACCTTCTCCCACCCCAGCAAGATAACTTCTGTTCATCAGATGTCAGACTGGAGAGTTCTTTGGATGCAAAATCATGATCTATTATCACTTCCTCCAAGAAGTCCCTCCTGGTGCCTATAGCTGAGAATCTCCTATCTCTTTGCTGGGTTTCCTGTATATTTGTAACCAGACTCCCCTCAGAGTGCTCATCATTTTATTAATTGTTCAGTCATTCTGTACTTATCTCAGTTACCAAATGAAGACTATTGTGTGCCAGGACCATATATTCATCTTCTTGTGTCCCTTCAAATGCCCAGCCTGATGTAGCATTTGTGCTCCTGTCAAATGACAAGACCAGTGGCCTGACCACAGAATGCATCTCCAAGGCAGAAATTCTAGGGACCGGAGCTAATGCATTGGCTACATCACTCTCCCATTATATAATATAGAGGGAAGAGCAGTCTCCCTGCCAAAAACGGGGAAAGGCAGCTACACTCTCTGGATAGGGATGTGAGAAGGGGTGCATTTCTCCCAATATTCTCCCCAATAATTGTGGAAGGAGGCAATCACTACTGTCCCTGCACAGTACTTTGGATAATTTGCTCCTACTCCTCTGAGCATTGTAGCCCTGAAATGTGGATGACCTCTCTTTTAAGTATCCCATTGTATTTGGGAGTCAGTGCTCCAGGTTAGCCTCTAATGTGTTAGAATTTTCTTCTTCATTGGATAATGCTTCCTGGCTCCCTGTGAGCAGGGACCTTTCTTTACACCTGCTTGGACCAAATCCCTTCCATCCATCCCCATCACAGAAGAATATTTCATTTATACTTTCTGTTTGATGAACAGAAAAAGTGACTGGACTCTTAGTAGAAGAATTACTTAATTCCAGCCTTGTAGTGTATGTAACCTTTACTGAGTAAAGAGGGGGAATGAAAGTACCTTCTAGATCAAGTTCCTGAGTTCAATCAATGTGTATAGATTTGAACTGAGGAAAAGCTCATCCTGTTGTAAACTGATTTTCTACAGACCTCTCTCTCTGTGGGTTAATATTAACAAAAATGATTGTTTCTGCTGACCAGAAGTCCTGTTTTTCTGTTGTGCTATCTCCTCCACTGATTTCTGAGGTTGCCCTGGGGGTCTTCAATAAGCCCAAAAAGCATTGTTTAATGTACTTCTTTAGAAATCACTTAAGGATGCTGAATCACTGCTCCCTGGATGTTCAGACCAAAGACTAGTCTCCATGATTGCCGAAGTATACGCCCAGGGACTCACAGTATTCCTCCTGAAAACGCTCCTTTCCATTCCTTCTCATTAACCCCTCAGGTGCACCTGGAAGTCTGGAGGGGCCTCAGGTTTAGTGTGCAGCCGTTGACTTTAAATGGATTATATCAGTAGTCACATTCATTCACTGGCAGTATTGGAAAGTTTATAAAGAGTTTTAGAAATTTAAAATGTGTCATTTGACAAGGCTATAAAACATATAGTGCACTAAGAATTAATATTTTTAATGAATCCTGTTAATCTCTTGGGGCTGGCACACATGTAGTCATTGTATTTTTGTAGTGCTACAAGTGTTAATTTATTTCATGTAAACATTTGCAATGCATGTTACCTTTTGCAGCCCTGTTTAGGCATTTGTTTCTTTTATTTTTAATCTACTGGGAGACCCAGGGACCCCTCCACCCTTGACCTCTGAGATGCCTCTGTGTGTCCAGCCTTGTCCTTGAATTTTGTCAGTGGACTGCACAGGGATGCAGGTGCACCTCAAGGTGTCAAAGGGGCTGGTGTGGTCTCCAAATGAAGTCAGAGGAGGGTGGCTTAGAGAGCTCTGTGTTTTGAGTCTGCAGTCACATCACTGCTGCTGGTCTCTGGACGACTAGCTCCCTTCTTCCTTCTTTTCTCTCCCCCCTTCACTTCTACCCAGGCCTGCAGCTCTAGATCTTCCCAGTACTTGCTCATATCCAAGAAGATGCCTCTTCCCTCAAACCTAGGCCAGGTATGGAATGAGGTGGGAGCTTAGGGGATAGCTAGAGGCAGGTGACAAGTGACTCCTCACCACTCCCTGCTCACGAAACTCCCTGAATAAAGACAGACTACCAGGACAGTGGGAATCACCTTCAGTGAGGAGTTACTGAAGGGCTACTGACAGTAAGGGGAGGGGGTCATATGAAAAGACAATGGGAGGGAACAAGGGGAAGGTGCAGCCCCACCAGCAGGGAGGGGTTGCGAAGGTTATGGACTGAGGAACCAGCTCTGAGCTTTGGGCTTGCTGTGCTTCTGCTGAAAAAGCCGCTGCCTTCCTCCCTGTAGTGCTCCCTGAGGCACTGCCCAGAAGCCCTCAGTTTACCTGGTGAATCCTGGCATCCCCAAACTGCCTCAGTCTTGAGTGGGTTCTGGGAAAGCTCATAGAATCATTGATTTCATTTAGTGGGTGGAAGATGGGCTTTGGCACTTCAGAGACAAAAGTTTCAAACTTGATTCTGTCTCTTGCCTTCTCTGTGACCTTGGTCTAAATCCTTGGTCTAAGCTTTCTTACATTCTGTCATTTTATTCTCACGACTTCATAATAATGTATGCTTTTCTGAGTTATTATGAGGATTCAGCCAAATAGTATTGTAGAGTCCTTGGCACAGTGCCTGGTTCATAGTAAACTCTCAATCGATGTTAGAACTTGCTTTGGTTACATCCCTGGAAAGTGTGAAGATTGCAGCAGATATTGAAGCTTCCAGCATGAGAGGATGTTGGATATCTGAAAATAAAAGTGATGTTGTTGGGGGAGCCCAGGCTTGACGCCATCACCGAGCATCACAGCAGAATCCATGATATGGTCCCAAACCACACAGTCGCCTTGGCCTAAAGAACCTGCTGAAAACAAATGAGAAGGTGACTGCCCTACCCTGCGACCTGGTGTGCAGTGGGAGAAGGAAGGAGGCACAGGCAGAGCTTCTGAGAAGCTGCCGAGCTCGCTGTCCCTGGATGAGAGGTGCCAAGAAGCTGGGCAGGAGCAATGGCTCACAATACTGGCTTTCAATTCCCAGGCAGCAGCGGCCTAGCAGCTCCTCACACTGAGACACACTTCCTTCCACAGGAGGGCCAGATGGCAAGGGAGACATGGTGGGGTCAGCCGGGCAGAGGGACAGCCAGGAACACACTCGGAGGTGAACAGCAATGTGAAACCCCGCACCATGTTGCAGGGCTTGGCTTCTGTTTTAAATAATTTCTAGTTTACTGGGGGACGAAATGGAAAGGAGGAATTTATGAAGCAGGTGAAAACAGATAATTATGCCTTATAAAATTGCTGCCTGTGAAAAACTATACAGAAGGACTGGTGTGAAAATAATTACCTTGTTACATTGCTGACCACAAAAACCCCTTTTCTGTCACTCACATGGAAGAAATTTTGATGGATCACAGAGGCAAGCTAGTGCTTGCCTTGTTTCTTTTATTTCTTCTTCAAATGCAATGGGCTTCCCTCTGCAGTTTTGATCATAGAAATGGAATGAAAAAGGGGTCATTGTGTCCCTTGAGCCCACCAGCCGACCCCTTAGATGAGGGACACAGTGCCTGCCAGTCTTTCGGGGTTTCCCTGGAGGCCATCCCTGTCCTCCCTCCTGACTGCCACTGAGAGGCAGGGAAGCTTAGTGGCAGGGGCAGGGGTTTTGAGTTTGGCTCCTGACGGTAAGACCTGGGGCAAGTTACTTAGCCTTTTGGAACACGAGCTTCCTTCTGGATAAAATTGGGTATGCTGGAACTCAAATTACGAGGTTGTGAGAATTAAAAGCCAGCAAGCAAATGAAGCTCCAGGATGAAAACTCAGGTCTGTCTGACTCTAATTCCATGACCTCAGTGATGTTGCAAACCATCGTGGCGATGATGGTGATTGGCTGTTATTCTCACTCATGAATCTACCTTGCTTAGAGAAGGATAAGAATCTGCTCTTCCTTCTCCCATTCCTGCATAGTCTGGTTTCTCTCCTTTAAGTTCATGTTTCATCTTTTAAGGTGCTGGCAGTTGTTTCCCTCTTTTATCCCAGGCACGACAGGGCAGTGGTGGGGTGGGGGGGTGGTGTCCCTGTGGCATAAGGATCATGTCCCTTGGACAGACTGCCCAGGAGTGGGACATTCCCAGGGCCTAGACCCTGATCTTCCCAGGGAAGCAGGGTGGATGGAGAAGAGTGCATAGGGTTTAGAGGGTAGAAATGGCTTTGGTATGACAGAAACAGAATGACGTCCTCTGCAGGTGGCCTCTGCAGCCAGGTTTGGTGGCCATAGAGCATTGTGGGTCTGTAAGGACATGAGCTTATAAGCCCTCTGGTCTTGGGCACAGGATCTGCTGCATCATGCTCAATAAGATCCCCACTGATGGTTTCCTTTAGGTCAGTGGTTTTAAAATGCAGTCCCTGGACAAGCAGCCTCCGTGTCACCTAGGAACTTACTAAAATTAAAAATTCTCAGCCCCAACCCGGAGCCACTGAATGAGAAGCTCTGGAGGTGGAGCCCAGTGATCAGAGTTTTAACAAGCCCTGCAAGTAACTCTGAAGGCTGTGAAAGTTTGGAAACATTGCTTTAGAGTTGGGTCATATTCCTCTGTCCTTTGCTTTATGACTTCTGAGGAGAAAGGCCATTGGGTGAATTCTCACAGACTGGAACCACAGGGCCTTCCCCTCCCCATCAATGTCCTGTGTGCCAGGCTAGAAAGCTGCAGGGAGGGGGGCTGTGAATATGTATGTGAGAGAGAGGAGGGGTGGGGTCTGATGTGAGTGTGAATGTACGAGCGCATCTGTGTTTATTTGAGTGGTTCAAGGGAGGGTCTCACTACTTCTCAGAATAATCCCCACCTGTTCTGGCTCAATTTCTATTTCATTTTCACTCTTTTTTTTTGAGATGGAGTCTCACTCTGTCACCCAGGCTGGACTGCAGTGGCGTGATCTCAGCTCGCTGCAACCTCCACCTCCCAGGTTCAAGCGATTCTCCTGCCTCAGCCTCCCGAGTAGCTGGGATTACAGGTGCTCGCCACCAGACCCGGCTAATTTTTGTATTTTTAGTAGAGATGGGGTTTCACCATGTTGGTCAGGCTGGTCTCGAACTCCTGACCTTGTGATCTGCCCGCCTCAGCCTCCCAAAGTGCTGGGATTATAGGCGTGAGCCACCGCGCCCAGCCCATTTTCACTCTTGAGTGGTCAGAGCAGTGTGAAGACCTGCAAAGGACATCGTTAGCTGGGGCTGGGAGCAGTGACCAGGGAGAGAAGCGAATGGAAACCAGGAAGCACAACGTGGCTGGAGTGAGCTCAGCGGGGGCTGAAGGAGAAACTGAAACAGAAGGAAAGTGACTGATGGGCACCATTTGCCTGAATTCAGATAGAGGATCCAGAGGGTAGCCAGTGTAAATGGGTGATGGGCCCCAGCTCACCTAGGAGGAAATCAGACCAAGAGGAAAACTCTGAGGCTGCTGCTGCAGGGAGGAGCTCTTCAGGCCAATAGGGCAATAAGCATTCCACATGAGACAGGAATCTAGTGTTGTAAATTGGGGACTGCTTGCTTGTCTGCATGTCTACACAATGAGGGTGATTTTTTTTTAATTTTATTATTATTATACTTTAAGTTTTAGGGTACATGTGCACAACGTGCAGGTTTGTTACATATACATGTGCCATGTTGGTCTGCTGCACCCATTAACTTGTCATTTAGCATTAGGTATATCTCCTAATGCTATCCCTCCCCCCTCCCCCCACCCCACAACAGTCCCCAGTGTGTGATATTCCCCTTCCTGTGTCCATGTGTTCTCACTGTTCAATTCCGACCTCTGAGTGAGGACATGCGGTGTTTGGTTTTTTGTCCTTGTGATAGTTTGCTGAGAATGATGGTTTCCAGTTTCATCCATGTCCCTACAAAGGACATGAACTCATCATTTTTTATGGCTGCATAGTATTCCATGGTGTATATGTGCCACATTTTCTTAATCCAGTCTATCATTGATGGACATTTGGGTTGGTTCCAAGTCTTTGCTATTGTGAATTTTAAACAGTTTTCAAAAGTCGACCTTTTGACAAGTGTTTACTTGGGTTAATCTAGGGCTTGCAAAATGGTAAAAGAAGGCTGCTTTGCTCCAGCTGAGCTTTACCCATCGCTGACCAGGGCTTTAGTGTAAGTCACCCTGTGTGTTCTATTTGATAGGTAAAGAGACTGATATTACCCCGATATGTAATCCATGTTGCCCGTTAAAAAATACATTTGTGTTTTTGAAGGGGAGGTAGTCTGTGTTCTCCTTGAGGTGAACTTCAGACAAAGGTCAAAGATCAATAAGAGTCAGAGGGCAGGCCTAGATTTGGGTCCCCGCCCCATGCTGGCCCCCGCCCCATGCTGGTAGATGGTCTATACATCTGGATGCAAAAGAAAGGAGTGTGACTGCAAGCTGGAAGCTATCTATAACTGTCACTGCCACATCAGGAAGGGTCAGCGTTGCCTGTGTAAATGTGCTTTCACACTTCTGTAATCTACAATTTCTTTTCATAGTTGTTTGACCCAAGTGAGTATAACCTTTTTGAGGAATTGTATAGCTCTAAGTTTTAAGCTAAAAGCCAGGCACACAAGCTAACATGTTTGTTTCAGAATTTCACAAGAGCATTTGGAGTCACAGATTGTTGACACTCTGAGCACTGCCACCCCAAATCCTCCCAATGTTAGCCTTCTCCCTCCAGTAACCCCGAGAGGCAGAGGCGGTCATGCCACTTTTATTGTTCTGAGCATTTGTCATGACAGCTCGTGTCTTGTGCAGGGCAGCGTCACTCCATTGCCAACAGCAGTAACCCATCGCTGGGGGAGAGGCCTTCTGGACTTCAGATTAGGCACTCCTTCCTCACTCCTGGCCATTGGTCGGTCCTTAAGGACCAATGCTCAGCAGGCCAGTGATTTTAATGCTTAAGGACAATGTTCCCATCTTTTTAAAATTATCTCCTTGAGGCTAAACACTTGTTGCTTTAACTGTTCCCCAAATCTCCTGACCCATGCCCCTGCCCCTCTGCCATTTGTCCAGGCTCCTGGCTGGCCTTTTCTGAATCTCTCACATTTATCGATAAGGCTCTTAAAATATAGCAGCCAGAATGAGACTTGTGATCCTCACTCCAGAGCAAGGTTCAGTAGAAAAGTCATGGATTTTCCTTGTGATTGGGATATTGCAACCTTGTGTTCACTTTGGTTGCAGTCACTGAAACTGTGAGCTCCCACCACATGTGGCAGCCACTAAACAGCCAGTGCTTTTGTTTGTCCCCTCAGGAAATGCTGTCTGTTTGGGTCTCCCCTATGTGCACTTATCAGTACGATTTCAGACATTTTACCTTGTGGATTTAGGCACAGTGCACTTTCACGTACAGATCATTTTAAATACTGATTTTTATCATCTTTCAAATAAGCAGTGTTAGTATAATTGCTAAGAGTGTGGGCTCTGGAGCCTGTGCCCAGGTTCAAGTCCTGCTCTACTACTGAACAGTGATGTGGGGCAAGTGACAAAGCTTTTCTGTCTTCATTTCCTATTCCATAAAATGGGGATAATATTGGAATCTGCCTCACTGCACTGTTGTGGGAATTAAATGCAATATACTATTTAGGTTGGGCACAGTGGCTCACACCTGTAATCCCAGCACTTTGGGAGGCCAAGGCAGGCAAATCATGAGGTCAGGAGTTCGAGACCAGCCTGGCCAATATGGTGAAACCCTGTCTCTACTAAAAAAAAAAAAAAAAAAAAAAAAAAAAATACAAAAATTAGCCGGGCGTGGTGGCATGTTCCTGTAGTCCCAGCTACTCGGAGGCTGAGGCAGAAGAATTGCTTGAACCTGGGAGGCAGAGGTTGCAGTGAGCCAAGATCGTGTCACTGCACTCCAGCCTGGATGATAGAGCAAGACTCTGTCTCAGATAGATAAATAAATAAATAAATAAATAAATAAATAAATAAATAAAACAATATTTGGCATACAGGAATAATTCAATAAAAGTAAGCTATTTGATTTTATTACTATTATCAGAGTTGTCTACCCTACTTTGATGTAATTTTCAAAGCAGCTAAAATCCAAGCACAGGCACTATTATTTAGTTAACATTTCTTCCTTCAATATACAAGTATTTGTATACTTTTAGAAGTTACTCTTGTGGAAATCTAGGTTTACTCTATACTCTATACTCTTTTTCTTCACAGGCTAATAAATTTTTAGAGAAAGAAAGAATGTTGACTGGCCTGACTTACACATAGAGAACACACACAAGTTCTTGTCGGTCCTTCCTTGAGGCTCACAAAGCACTGATTTACTTGTGAAGTTCCAGAAGGAGGGGATTAACGTGAAGTGCATCCATGTAATCTACTCCCTTCTCTATTTTAAAACTCAGAACAAAGCTGTCCTCTCCATGACTTTAGGGTCCCCTCTTGCCAGGAATGCTCCTTTGTGGTCTCAGGCAATTGTCTTGGTGTCAAATTTATAGGTTCTGGTCCAAGGCAGAACTGGCCTGGAATGGATGCCGGAACTTAATTGTTGCCACAGCTCAGCTTCTTCAATATTCTCTGCTCCAATTGTTCACCTCTAAGGCGAAGGCAGTCAGGAGTGAGTGGCTGTGCGTCCTCTGTCCTCTGCCAGCCTCTCACCTCCTCCCCCAGGCAGGAGGAGGCCTTGCTTTGCGCACCCTGAGCATTCTCAGCTATTCAGAGCTATTCTGGTACCAGAATCATGCCTGTTCACTGGACTGGAAGCTCTTTGACGTGCTGATTTGATTTTTTTTTTCTTTTAAATCTGCTTCATGACCTTACAGAGCAGGTGTGTCCGATGCAGTCAAGTGGTAAGAGCCCTACTGTGGAATCAGGTAAACCAGGGTTGACTCTCAGCTCCACTCCTTCCTCACAGTGTGGCCTTGGGTAGGTCGCCTAACTTATCTGAATCTCTATTTTTATGTCCCCCAGAATGAGGATATTGTTTATTATTGTGTCCATTGTGAATTGTATGTAAAATGCCTAACTCAGTGTTAGACACATGCACAGTGCTCAATAAATTGTTGTCTTTGTTTGGGTTTTTATGAATCATGTTTAAGAAGTGGGTTTTGAGTCTCTAAGATATGCAATTAAAAATAAGAAAACATGGCCAGGCGCAGTGGCTCACGCCTGTAATCCCAGGACTTTGGGAGGCCGAGGCGGGTGGATCACGAGGTCAAGAGATTGAGACCATCCTGGCCAACATGGTGAAACCCCGTCTCTACTAAAAATAGAAAAATTAGCCAGGCATGGTGGCACACACCTGTAGTCCCAGCTACTCAGGAGGCTGAGGCAGGATAATCGCTTGAACCCAGGAGGCAAAGGTTACATTGAGCCGAGATCGTGCCACTGCACTCCAACCTGGGCAACAGAGCGAGACTCTGTCTCAAAACAAAAACAAAAACAAAAAAACATTAAAAGTATAAGTGCAAAGGCTTTTAGATCAAATTCTCCTGGAGAGCCATCCTAGGTTAGCTAAATTCTGACCCCATCACTCCCCTGTCTCTACCCCATCACAATGTGATTACAAATCTGTGTACAACCTGTGCTACCATCTTGGTCCCTAGCTTCTCACAGGTGGTCCCCAGATGGCCTTTTGGTCCCCTTTGTCTTCCCTCTTCCATCCATGATAATGGCACCAGATCCTGATTTCATTTGGCCAGAGACCAAGCCCAAATTTCACAGTGGGATCTGAGCTGTGTCTCACTCCTAGACCTCTTGCCAGTGCCTCGTGGTGGTCACTTTTCAGAGTCACCACTGCCAGTCAGTCCTGGAACCTGTATTGATCCACTGGACCCTCTGTTGATGACCACTGACATTGTCCCAAAGCCAGGTTCAGAATCTACCCTGAATCCCATTGCACTGGTGGGCCCCTGTCTGTACACCCACCTTTCGTCAGTATGCTTCTCAAAGTCTGTCCCTACATCTGAGCTTGCAGCCTTCTACCCTCTCCAAGGACCAGTATATTTCCTGACATGTCTTGGAGACTACCTATACTCTCCTTCATTCTCCAAGTCTCCAGCTGCCATATTGGAAATCTGGTACCAGCCAACCTTTCCCAAACCAGGACCATGACTTTCCAGATTCCCTGGTTTGGTAATACATGTGGATGTCGCATGGATGCTAAAGCCAGACCCACACACATCACTGATGGCTTCACTTGGGTGTGACAAAGACCAGGGATCCCAGTGTCTTTGACTCTGATCAGGTATTTAGAGGGAAGCCACTTTCCACTTGGCATAAAGGTAGATTCTGAGTGATATCCACAAAGAGCAGAGGCTGCCTGGCTAGGGATCTCTCCATAACTGGAAGTGTACAAAAAGGTTCTGGTGATGCCTGCCAAGAGGGTTTCTGAATAATGTATGAAGTTAGGTAAAGTGGACAGGAATGAGTCTTATAGTCAGTATGAGCAAGTCCATGCTTTCTGGATTATGTGTGCCATAGTATGTGAAAGCCAGCATTTTGTAGTGATTTATTTTGAAACTGTGTGTTTGCTTTTTCTGAGAAGCTTTCCCCACAATTGGCTGGAAAATTCCAAGTCTGAGCCAGACACCTGAGAACTGCTATGATATGGGATTGGCTGTGGGCTTAAAATCTGGACTTTCCAATGTATAAATAATCACTGATGATTTTGAAGACACAGAGCAGTCTGCAGTCTGAAGTCAACCTATAGAAGGCTTATGATTCCCTCTACCCTGTGCCAGAGACTACCTCCACCCCATTAAATAAAAAGTGTTCTGGCTCTGAAGCCACATCAAGAAGGGTGGCTTGTCTTCAAGAGGCTGAAGGATAGAGAACTAGAGGCTAGTTGAACACTAAGGTCAATCTGTCCCCCCTTCCCATTCTGGAGACTAGTAGGTTGTGGCAATGGTACTAATAGGAATGGTGTGCTGGCCCCTCCTTGGCTGTGTCTTAGACTTGCAGGAGATGCCCAAGGTGGCCTTTTAAGCAACTCCTCTGAGTCACCTCAGAGGTTTGCCTTTCCAGGCTTACCTTGGAAATGGCAATGAAGGGTGCTCAGTTGTGCAGGTTGGAGTGAACTTGCATGGCAGCTGTGTAGTGAGATGAAGCCAGGTGCAGGCTGTCTCTTCTGGGGCAGAGGTGCCCAGAAGGTGAGGGCTGGGGTGGGGTGGGGGGCAATGGTCAGTGGGAACCCATGGTCACTGCCATGCCCTGCCAGTACTCCATGAGCAATAATGGAAAGCCACTCAGTTCTCACAAAGAGATTGTCATCTACTGGTCAGCAAAGGGGAACTGAGCACCAGGTAAGAATTGGCTCTCCCTGTAAGTGAAAGGCAGGCTTTGCGCCCACACCCGGGGACAGGGTCTGCATGAGGCTCCATGAGGTCAGCCGTGCCCATACCCACACCCGTCTGCACAGGTCAGGTTGTGAAGCACCAAGTCTTCGGAGACAGAGACCATACACCATTACCATGCTGTGTGCCATGGTGCTCCACTACTCAGTGATAGCTGATTGGAATAAGAACACATGTGCATACCTCTAACACTAATAACTGGCATTTATTAAAGTGTTGCTACAGTTTAGGCCCTGTGCTAAGCCTCTGACATGGTTTTTCTCAGTTAACCTCAGAGATTATAAGACAGGTATTACAACTGGTTCCAATTTATAGATGAAGGATTTGAGGCCCAGAAGGGCTAAATGACTTGCCCGAGTTTCCACCTTATTGAGCAGCAAAGCCCGTATTTCCTTCTACGCCTGACAAGGTTCAGGTCTCCAGCTCTTCACCCTCAGTGCTAGTCTACTTCCCTCGGGAAGGAGGAGGACTATTGCCTCTGATGTGACCTGGCACAAAATTAATGGTAGAATCCCAGCTAAGATGGGGAAGGATCACATTTTGTTGATTAGAACTAGTTATGTGCTCTCCATGCAAGGCGGCTGGGAAAGGTGTCTTCTGTGAGACTTGAGAAGAGAACAGAATTGCACAGGGAGGCCCTAGCAACCCCTACCGAGTATACAGTTCCCCATGGGTGAGTGTTTGGGCCCATTCAGTGTTTCATTAATATAAACAATAATACTGCCACAAAAATGCATATCCCTATATTTGTGGAGGAAATTCACCTAGAAATAGAATTGCTGGGCTACGGGGTGCATGCACTTAGAACCAATCAATATTACAAAGTGTTTCCCAGAGGCCTTGGCCAGTGTACACTCTTCACAGCAGTGTGCATCAGGCTTCTCCACACACTGGCCTGATGATGCTATCAAGACTTTTATTTTTTGCCAAGTTGGCTGACCTCCTAGTCATTTTGATTAGTATTTCTCTGATTATAAATGAGTGTGTATTTTTTATATGTTTATTGACCAATTTAGTCTTCTGGGAATTGTCTGTTTATAACCCTTGCCTTTTTCTATATTTAAAAATTGATTTCTAGATGACAATTAATTATATGTGACACCCTGCCCTCCAGCCCTCCATTTATTTTTAACTCTGTGGATACTTGTTTTGTCATATTGAGGTTTTAAATTTTTGAACTCAAATCTGACCATCTTTTTCTTTCTGGTTTGGAGATTGGTGTCTTGAGCTTTTGACTACATTTTATATATGTCCTTCCCACTCTAAGGCATGAAAACACTCTCTTATACTTTCTTTCATTTTCTTTTTCTTTCTTTTTTTTGTTTTCTTGAGTCAGAGTCTCGCTGTGTTGCCCAGGCTGGGGTGCAGTGGGGCAATCTAGGTTCACTGCAACCTCCACCTCCCGGGTTCAAGCAATTCTCCCACCTCAGCCTCCTGAGTAGCTGGGCTACAGGTACGCATCACCATGCCTGGCTAATTTTTGTATTTTTAGTAGAGGTGGGGTTTTGCCATGTTGGCCAGACCGGTCTCAAACTCCTAGACTCAAGTGATCCCCCTGTCTTGGCCTCCCAAAGTGCTGTAGTTACAGGCGTGAGCCACCAAGACTGGGCTTTTATACTTTCTTTTAATTCTCTGTATGGTGTTTATGTTTAGTTCCTTCTTCCATCTGGAACTTTATTTTGCATAGGATGTGATATCAGTATTCTTTTTTATCTTATTAAAAATAACATCCCATGAGCTCCACCTGAATTGTCCACATTTTGGTGAGATGTTTCTTTTATTATATACTAACTGTTTGTGTATGTTTGTCTTTATTCTTTCTAATTGGTGGTTCTGTCTGTTCTGGCACCAGTTCTAAACTGTTCTAAAGATGGTAGCTTTCTGATATGTCTCAATGACTGGTGAACTAAGTCTCTGTATATTATTCATTCTCAAAAATAGCTATCCCATTCTTAAACGTTGTTTTCTTCAAGATGAATCTTACAACCAGCTTGACAAATGTCATTAAACAATCCTGTTTAATCAGGGTTGGAATTGCATTGGATATATAGATTACTTTGGGGATGATTCTCTTCTTTATGATATTCTTTATTCCATCCAGGCATGAGGTATTCAAGTCTTCTTTTACGTTCTTCGGTAAAGTTTTGTAGTCATCTTCACAGAGGTCTTGTGAGATTTAATCCTAGGTATTTTATGGTTTTGTGGCTATTGTGAATAAATAATTTTTTATTATATTTTCAAACAGGTTATGATTATTAACAGATGACAGTGTAGTGGTGGGAATAGTGAGCTTTCTTCTGCTGGGCATCTTGTGTTAGTGGACATCTAACAGAGGCTGGCCAACAGGGAGGGACTGTAGAGGGTGTTTGTCACCAGAGATACACTGACCACCAAGGTTTCATTGCATGCCGTGAATTACTGTGTCTATGAAATGTCAAAATCAGGACTTTCTCTTGGGTGACCTATAACACCCTGGAAAGTATACTTACCTTTTTCAATTTCTTTTTTGTTCTCTTGACCTTGAATTGTTGTCTTAGGAACGAGGGCCTTTTCTGGATACCTGGAGAGAGGCAGCACATGTCTCTTTTACAGCTGCGTAAGCCAGTGCCTGGAAGTTATCCATGAATATTTAACCCACAGTCACTTCCCAGCTGTTATCTTGATGCCAGTCTGATCTGCGGTCTCTAGAAAAAGATGGAAAATTATGACAACTAGAAAAAATTGTGTCATCTAGGAAGGGGGCTCTTAATCATTTTTGATGGACTGTGGAGATGCAGGACTCCTCCCCGGGCATCCCCATCTCTCAGGAATGGTGGAGAGATAGGACTTCTGACCATACAGTAGCCCAGAGGTTCCATCCTATCTGCATGCAGCAGGGACTCCTCCAGTCTGGTCCAGGTGGTTGTCTTCTTGTAAAAGAAACACCTTAGAAGTCCCATACCCTTCCCTCATCAGTGCCTAGTATCCAAAAGTTCAGCAGAGTATGTGTTGTGTGGAACTAGCCAGGTTCTGCACTCCTGAGAGTGGCTTGCGAGGAGCTGAGATCCTTTACCTGCAAGGCTTTCATCGTATGTGACCTCCATGCCTGATGGACTTTGGCCCAGTGGCTACCAACCAGATCTCCAGATGCAAAGCAAATTCCTATCCAGATCTGAATCTCCACACTTGCATCTGCATGGAGAGAATTACTGAGCTCTGGGCTGTATCAGGATATGCTAAATCAAACGAGTAGTTTTGGGTGGTTCAGGGCCTGAGTGCATCAATTAGAAATAATGTCCAGAACAAGGAACTCTGTAGAAGTTCTGTCCTGTAAGACCTATTCCTCTGTTGTGCCAAAGACTGAAGTGTGTGTCAATGTCTTTTCACTTCAAGAAGACTCTAACCGGCTTGCTTGGACTGTTGCCTCCAGTGACAGCAAATGCCTTGGAGCCTGTCCTGGCAGGATGTGGCCTGGTATGGTGATCTTTCAGCAGGAAGTGCTCTGGGGATTCTTCCTCTGAGACACTAGATCAGAGGTGCTGTGAGCAGGGCTTGGCACAAGGACCCTACCTAAAGGCCTGGGAGAACCTATACAGGAGGTCTGCTTGGGGTCTCAGGGGCCCTAGGCAAGGAGATGTTTTTCCTGCTTCACAGGGCCTTCAGGTCAAGTGTTCTGCACAAAGTCTTTTTTTTTTTTTAATTGTACAGGTGTGCACTTGGTCCCTGTTTCCCTTCTAGAAAGTGAATAGATGGAAAGGGACTCCCAGATAACTATATCAGGCAGTCCCTTATGCATATGAAGTACACTAAGGATCACAGAATGCTTTAACCTATGTTATGCCATTTGATTCTCCCATAAAGAGGGCAGTGTTCCCTCCAAGTTCCCGTAGCACAATGCCTGGCCATCTCCAGGCTCAGGGGGATAGATCTCCACTAGCTTTGTCAGTCAGTGGTTTGTGTGGCTGTTGTGCAGGTGCCTGTCTCCTTTGCAGACCTTCAGCTTCTCAGGGTAGACATCGGTGAACTTTTCATAAACCCACATACACAGCACAGCACACAGGAGGGTCTCAATAAACACAGATGGATTGATCTGTCAAGGATCAATGAATGATTAGGCTGAGAGAAGATAAGTGACTGCTTAAGGTCACACTTTGGCAAGGCTAAGACTCAGCCCCAGTTTTTTCTTTGAGTCCAGTGCATCTTTCCTCACTGTAGAAAGCTTTTGATGCTGCATTTCAGGGGTATGAAAGGGGTCTTGAAAGCCATGTCTTTAAGATGACATGACCTATAGTTCTTGACTTGGAGCATTTCCAGGGGATTTTCAGGGGTGGCAGCATATTGTACCTTTCCACTCTTTGGCCCCACCTTGAGCCACAGCTAGAAGATTCAACCTTCTATCCATCTCCCGCATGGATAGTAACCTGAGACTAGTCATAAATACCTCCCTACTGAGGTGCACTGCCTCCCAGGATCCAGGGGCCTCAGCCATCCTCTAAGGGCTTCTGCAGCCTCAAGGAAACCTAGACTCTCAGACTTGAGCTCAGGCTAGGTAGAGGGGCTGTCTCTTTTCCCAGAATGTATAATCTACTTCCTTTCTTCCAGACAATTGGCTCCATTGAAGCAGGAGAAACAATAAGTACTTTCTACAAACACTGGTTTTGGTAAAATGTGTAGCACTAGGCTCTTTGATGCTCCTGAAATCCCTCTCAGCAGGGTCCCTCCTTGTTTTGACTAATCATTTCTTCTTATTACTAACTGTTATGATTAGGAGAATTGCCTGAGTACAGGCCCAGTGTTTCCAAGACCCTAATGAGCAACACGTGCAGACTCGCTTAGCATAGTCCTGGAATCATGGTTGTTCTGTTTCCTCAGGGAAGCTGCTGAGATGCCTCAGGGACAGGAGCTTTTTCCTGCCTCTGTGAAATCTTTCCCCAGCCCCCAGAAAATGCTTTGCATCACAGCTGTGTTGTACAGCATTAGGTGCCTCTACCCCAGGTGGAAGAGTTGTTAAGGATGAGATTTGGAACCTGCCAGCCCTGCACTCAAGTCTTGGTTCCACCAGTGCATGAGTTGGGCAAGTTTCTTTATACTCTGAGCTAGAGTTTTCTCATGATTAAACTGTAGACAATAGTTCCTACTTCAAAGAGTGTTGGAAAGATAAGATTACATTAAGTAATCCACAAAATACCTAAGACAGTACTTTGCATACAGTATTTATCAATAAAAGAAAATTCAAATTTCCATGTTGACCTCCACTGCTTTCAGATGCACCTAGTATCCAAAAGTTCAATTTCTCTTTCTTGGTTCCAAAGACAATTCAAGGGCAAGTAGAAATCTGCTCCAGGGAAAGGACCCAAAATTGGTCATTTGGGCAGTGATATGAACAAGTTTCATCAAGTCAGAGCCATGTCCACAGGAAGGCAATGGGACAGGGAGCCCTTTTGGTCACCTAGAAGGCAAGCACCATGCCCAGCACCAGTGCTGGGCATGCATACCCATGTAGCAAATATGCCTCCGCTAGTGACTGTGTGACCACAGACAAGACATTCTGTCACTCTGGGCCTTTGTTTTCTTATTGTTAAGTTGGGGATAATAATGCCTCATAGAATTTTGAGAGAAAATAGTGACATAGTATCTGTAAAAAGACTGTTCGTGCTGTTCAGAGATGTTACAAAGTATTCAGAATCTGCCTCTTCTCATCTCCTCTGCTGATGTCATTCTGGCCCAAGCCACCATCACCTCTCCCCTAGATGACTGCTGTGTCCTCCTGATTGGTCTACCTTCTTCCACCTTTATCCTCTTCTAGCCTGTCCTCCACAAGGCAGCATAAGTCTAAGCATGCCATTTCTCTGCTCAGAGCCCTCCTTACAGTAACACCTCATTTACAGTAAAATTCCTGGCAGGCTGAAACCAGGACTTATGAGTCTGCCTCCCCCACTACCTTTCTAATCTTTATTATGACCCCTCTACTTCTTGATTGTTATATGGCAACCATGCTGCTTCCTTGATCTTCCTCAAAGAAGGAACCAAGTACATTCCCACCTCAGGGCCTTTGCACATGCCGGTCCTTTGGGCTGGGGAACACTCCCTCTAGATATTTGCATTGCTTCTGTCTCATCACACTCAGGTCTCTGTCCAGATGGCCTCTGCTCTGAGAGAGCTCCCCTCACCACACCAGCATGCTGTCTCCCCTCCTCCTTCTCTGTGTATCATCAGAGCCCTATGACTGCTGATACTATTCATTTATCTACGTATTGAAATGTTTTCTGACTCCTTCACTAGAGAATAAGCTCCATGAGGGCAGTGTCTGTGTCACTGTCTTCACATTCATCATTACCATATAACAATGAGTTAAAAATTACAGCTGCCAATAGAGAAGCCATCCTAAGTGACTGGCACTGTTCTAAACCTTTACTTACACTGCTCAATTGGTAGTCCATTACAACACTCCTATGGGTTGCTGTGATCATCATGCAGATTTTACCAGTGAATATGCTGAGGCTTAGATAGGCTATGCCAAAATCCAGAATTCAACTCAGTTCTGTCTGTATCTGAAGATCTGTGACCTCCCATCCTTAGTAATTTGCTACTGGGGTTCATTTAAAGCTGATTTCAAAGGTGGTATAAAATTTTCTCTGATAAGGTTGTGCTCACATGGCTGTTAGAAAAAGTAGACCAACATGATTTCCCTGAGCTTTAATGCCCTCTCCTCCTTGCCCCAGTGAGATATCCTACACTTTGAGGACAGGAGCCTCAAAGGATGCCTGAGCTTGCGGTGAGACAGGCATCAGCCAACCTTCTAGCCAGCACCTGCTGCTTTGGACCCTCAGCACAATTCCCTCTCTTGAAGGGACACCTCAGAATTTCAGACACCACTTATTCCATATTGAGCAAAACCATGTCCCATATGTCTGGTATTCATTGTCGGCAGATTGCAGACAATGCTTGGTCTGTTTTTTTCTGAAGATCCTGAGCCCTTCCAAGCTTCTGCTATTGAGAGGTGGATGTCTTTGGCATCCTTTAAATTACTTACCAGTCTGTCCACTTTGGTGCCACTAGTTTCCACAGGCCCCTGGTAACTTATTCCTCGTTTCCCATATTGCCTCAGTAACCTCCCTCCCCTATGGTAAAACAGGGCAACTCTTGCACCACTGACCTCTGTTATTGGGATCTTATTATGATGCCTGACATAGAATCTTTAGAAGCACCCCCACTGTTGGCCAGAGAACTCAGTGAAAGGGACAGAGAACACATAGGCTTATGCCACTCTCCAAGGTCCTGAACCAACATGCTGCAAAATATCACAGCCCTTTCCTCTATGATGCTGGTCATTCCTGTCTGATGTGCTCCTGTTGAGGGAATGATGGAAAAGGAATTACTATCATACTTAGGAGGAGCAAGAGAAGGAGAGGAAGAGAGCTGAACTTAGGCTAGAGAGTGTCATAACCACAAATGGTACTTAGAAAGAATAAAGGTTTGGTGTTGTTTTCTTTTGTTTTGGCATTGTTTTCAAATAACCATTTATCAAGAAGAAACAACCACTGCACATGAAGCTGAATTCATGTTTATTTGATAATGGTCTACATCCCTGACAGTTGAAACTTTCCCTCTTTTGGCTTATGTTATCCTCCAATCCATCCTGCTTTTAGCCGTGTGTGCCATACTTTGGGCTAGGTATAATAACCAGCCTGACTTTTTTCCCTGCATATTTCGCCCCCATAGAAGACCTCTTCAAACTTCTACAGCCCCCATTTCCCTGTCTGCTTCTGCTTCTTGAATTCTGCTTCCCCATAACATCTCAAAGACCCTTTTACCTTCTCCAGGGCGCCTTCCAATCACTCAGACATGGTTCCTTTAAGTAGCTGTGTCACAATAACCAATGGAGAAAGAAACACTCTGGTAGAATCCTTATTTTGAAAATTGAATTCTGGACCATGCTACTTTCCCAGTCACTCACACCACAGTCTCTCCCACCATCCATACGCCTGATATCATTTTCTGGTCACCCTCTCTACCACCTCTTCACCTTTATTCTATATTGAAGAGTGCTAAAGTTGATATTGAAGTACATATTCAATATTGAACTTCATATTGAAGTAATTTTTCCAAACTACAATCTTGAATCTTCTCAGCCATGGAGAACATTACATTTGTTGCTTTCCTGACTGATAATACCTAGGAGTCTTGAGTATCAAGTGTCCTTCCTGGCTTATTCCCAGACCCCACTGCAATTCTTTCACCTAAAGAGAGAAAGAAAAGAGGGCACAGTTTGCTGTGGGAGTAAAGGAAAGGTTTCCTTTCCCATAGGTCAGGGGAGGACAATGAATACCAGATACCAAGTCAAAGTCAGGCTACCTCTAGGGAGGCCAGGAAGCAGAGATACAGGTACAGACAGAAGTCACAAGCCCAGTACCTAATAAGAACTGGACCCATTCTGGAGACACAGCCCCATGCTCAAGGCTAAGGTTCTGCCCCTTGGTAGAAGTGCTTGCTGGGGCTAGGTGGCCAGGAAGGTGCAGATTGGGGCAGGCAGACTCCAAGGTGTTTCTGTGACAGGTACCAGAGATCATCTCTGAATCTATTGATTTGCACTGGTCATGTCTTTTCCCAAGCATCTGTAACACCTTGCATCTGTACCACTTTGATCCTTTACTGTATGTGTTCACAGTTTCCAGCACTCCTTAGGTATGGGCTCCTACATCAGGTTTCCCCAACATAGGTTCCATGACCTCACGGCTTTCACAGTCTTTAGCATAATTCTGAATGAGAGGTCTCTGCTCAAGAAAGGGTGGCTGAATTAGGTCAGTCTTAATTACATGAGCAGGTGAAGATTCCCGATAATCCAATAATGACAATACAAATACTACTACTACCACTAGCCTCTGATGTTACTCAATTTCTCTGTGGACCAGCTACAGTTAAACTCTTTAGGCATGTCATCTCATTAAATTCTCTGACCTACCATCTTTCAGATAAGGAAACTGAGACTTAGAAGTTCACTTTCTCAAGGTCAACCAACTAGAGAATATGTTTTAACTTGGTTACTGTGAACACTTAGGAGGATCATCGGTTGGTTTCGGGGGACTAAGAACCCCCTCAGAGTCTGAAAAATCATGTGTTGCAACACGTGTTCACTTTTCTGGGGGAAAAGCTTTGTTGCTTTTATCAGATTCTGTAAGTGGTCATGCACAGAGTAGGGAGGGCCCCACCTCTGGCCTGATGCAGAGGAGCATGATCCCAGCCTGAATGTGGGGTTTTCCAGGGGAGTGTTTCTCCCAAGTTATAGCTCCAACCTTGTGGACAACCACTGTGGTTGCCACCTTCACCATCACCCAATGGGGAGGGATCCCAGGACACAGACCCTGGCTTCAGCAATGCACAATGAGCTAGACCCGACCTGCTTGGCACCTTGTACCAGCCTGAAATTTACTACTAAATTCTGAGACCAGAAGGTTAGCCTTATTAAGATTCCTGATAAAGGAATTGGCTTTGGGGGCTTACCTGTCTTCAGCAGATTTTCACTTTGATTACTCAGGAGTGCTCTTATTTCCAGCTTAATGCCTGCAAATAAACTCACCCGCTCTCTCCCACACACCCTGTCTCACCATTCTTTAAAAAATCATCTGGCCCAAATCACATTAAGAAGCAGGAGATTCTATCTTAATATGGTAGCACTTGGGCTGGCCCTGTGGGTCTAGAAGGATCCTGTTTAACTCCAGTGACAACCGTGCTCCATGCAGGCTAAGCCAACCTCTCAGGCACATCCTGGAGGACATCGGAGACCCATCTTCAAAACTCATGACCAACCACACTCCCTCCTCACCCAAACAGAAAATCACAGCTCAACACTTCTCCCATCCTTTAAAAGGACTGAATTTCCTTAGCCCTTTAAACAGAATGCATTCATCAGAAGTAACCGTGGCAACAGATCAGAGAGGCTTCAAAAAGCCTGTCTGTATGTAATTAAGAAAAATGAGGAAGAGCATGGAGCTTAGACGGGGAGACCACGGTGCTGAGCCCTGCCACTGCATTCACTGAGGGCTTTTGCGGAAGGAGATGGCAGATTTTCTTTCTCTGTTCTGGCTTCCCTCTCTGCTCCCCCTTGTAATGTTTTTGTTTAGTGGTCTCAATTGGCCTCCTTCCTGGAGATGTTGCTGGGGTCCCAGATTCTGGATGAATACTCCCTGCAAGAGTAGGGCTCCAAGCCAAGGAGGCAATGCCTGGATGGGTAGGGAAGTGGCTTAGCATCTTCCTCCAGGGAGGTTTATGCAGACGCCAAATCTACCCTGGTCAGACTTTCATTTGGCCATAGGGAGACTGAGCAGTCTACCTGCAGGAATATGCCCATCTCATCAGGATGCTACGGCACAGACACCTGGGGCCATCATCATTTTAACCACCCAGACATGAGGCCCTGGCTTGCCAGCCCTGGAGCGGGCCTCATGGGAATAAGAGACAGACAGAACCCAGCATTGTTAGGAGGCCATCTGAGCCCTGGTGCTTTTTTTTTCATAACACTTATTCTTATTTAAAATAATTTCATTTATTTCTCTGTTTCCTTCTATTCTATTAGTTTTCTCTCACTGGAATATAAGCTCCATAAGAGAATAAGCTTGCCTGTCTTGGTTTTTCTGCCTCTCAAGTGCTGAAAAGAATGCCGGGAGTATTAGTTACGGGAGTAAATGAGTGAATGAGTAAATAATGAATGGTCATTTTTTTGTGGCCCAGATTCTGTTCACCTCCACAAATATGCACTGGCACTTGCTCTGTGGGAGGAAGAAGACACACCCCTGCCCTCAAGGAGGCAGGGGAATGATACACCGCAGGGCATGTCTGGCTCTCCTAGCCCTCTGAGTCCATTCTCCAGGGAAGGCCCTTAATGTCTGTTTCTGCTCCTTGGAAGGAAGGGATTCAGATTTATGTACTCCTGCACTCAACAACCATGACCTTCACAAGCCCCTGTTCATGCGCCACAGATGCATTTGCTCTGAAAAGCACACATGAATGGGAAGGGGGCAGTGGCTGCTTTATATGAAGACGTTTATTAAAACAACATGGAAAAAAACCCTTCCCCTGGAATGGGGGGTGGGGGTGGGGGAGGAAACTCACTGCATTTCCTCCTGAGCAGCTGGGAGTAAATGAACAGACATGGAGCAGCATCGACAAGGGTGGGTCTTCCCAGCTGTCAGGGAGGCCACTAGATGAGAGACTGGGCAAAACTCTCCATCCAGCTCTTCATTTGCCACCTTTGCCTCACCAAAGCCTCTGCCACTCAGAGTAACAAGCAGTGGGTCATCACTGATTACTGCTGCTACTTCAAGGCCTCTCCAAGGCCCCTCCATCCACCTACAGCAAGGCATCCTGTCTCACGCTGGAGAGGGGTATATACATGGGACCTTTTCCATGCACACTGAGCAAAGGTAGAAAACCAGGTGGGAGGGCAAAGTGCTGTCTGGGGATAGTAATTACAGAAACAGACCAGACAACTGCCCCTGTCTACCAGGAGGCTACAGTGTGGTGAGGATGACAAAGAGGAAGAGACTATCACAATGCAATGATGGAATCTGACTTAGGCACCTGGAAATGAGCTATGGAAGCCCAGATAGGGAGATCATGACTGCTGGGCCTCAGGGAAGGGTCCTAGTGGAATGGGTGCTAGACCTTGAAGAGTGAGCAGGAGTTCAAGTTGATACAGAGGGAAAAGAACTTGTGACAGAGGGAAAAACATTGTGTAGAGGCTCAGAGATAAGAAGAGAGTTTAGTGTGCACAGGAAATTTCAGGAACATTTCTATTAGCCAAAATATGAGGGGTGAAGGTCAACTGCCAGGGATGAGATCAAGAAAAGCAAGATCCCACGGGGGCTTGAATGACATGGAAAGGAGGGCAACCATTTTGGATAGTCAGGAAGCAGGGGGGAAATTGTGCAGAAGAACGCTATGACTCCATGTGCAATTTAGAACTCATACTCTGGCAGAAGAGACTATATCGGAGAAATGCAGAAGCAATGTTGGAGAATTAATTAGGAGGCTTTTGCAATAGGGTAGGAAAAATGATGAGGCCCAGAATTCTGAGGCCATGAGGATAGAGAGGAAGGAACATGTCTAAGGAAAAGTAGAGGAAGATGGACAGATTGTGCTAATGGTCCATGTGTTAGGTGATACAGAAGATGTGGCTCCCAGGGCCTGACTGGTGACTACACAGGTATCAAAGAAGGTAAGGATTGAATTGTGTTCCCTGGATTTGTCACATAGAAAGCCAAAGGAAAAGCAGTCATGGCAGAGAAGTGGGGAAGTAATCAGACTTCAGTTGGCTGAGCAGGGAGAGAGGAAAGACAGTAAGTGTAGGCTCTTGTTTGCAAAAGCTTGGCTGAGCCAAGAGTAAAGAAGAGAGGGTGTGCAATGTAGATAGATGCCAGGTGATGATGTTTTGGTTTGAAAATGGCAAAGACTTGTATGAGTTTACATTGAGAAGCTGGAGTCAGTGGGGAGAGTGTAGCTGAAGCTCAAAGGAGAGAGGAAATAATTGAAGGAGGAAAGTCTCAATGGGTGAGAGGGATGGATGATCACTCTCTTGGTCAGTGCCTGCCTCTGCCCCTTCACCCGAGGCTGCTTTCTGAGTGATAGCCTCAGGATGTCCCAAGGATGCAGTGAGATAAAAAGATTCACCCCACACCTAGTATAAAGCAAGCACTCAGTGAATGCCTTTACTTTGAGATGAGAAACAGGGGCCCGCGGGTGAGTCTAGGCTCTCTGCTATAGAAGTGAGACTAACAAGAGTTGCGTTGACTGCTGAGAGCTTGTGGTATGAGTCCCATCAGTCAGAAGCAAACAGATGTGTCCAAGACAGGCAGTGACCAATATGGATGGTAATGAATTGTGCAGTGTGTGTCAAGGTTGGCCCAGCCCTGTAAGAGCCTACCTGGGACAGTACTGACTGCCTTCCCAGCACTAGCTATGTGATTATTTGAAAAGAGATGGATGTTTATTCCTGGGCAGATGGGTGGGGAATTCTTGAATGCTGTTTGCAAGACTTCAGTAAAAATGCTCCATGAATTCTGCCCTGTCACATGCGTGCATGAACGCTGTGCTTTAGCTCAGGCCTAATGGGCTTTATATGGTACAGTACTGATTTTCTTTCAAGTTTTAATAGAACCCGATTTAATATTTGCTTTCTGCTCTAGCTGCTTGCTGTTGACTGATTCAACACAGAATCCTTCCCTGGTGCCCCCCGACCTTATTGTTATTCCCTCATTTTTTGTGTTGGCATTTGATTCCTGTCTCCAGCATGAACCACTTTACACATGTCTTCGTTCAGCTGGTGACAGTCACGTGCATGAATTCTGAATGCATTACTATCTGAAGCGGCTGCTCCAGCAGACCTGCCATTCGAAAGGGGGGCTTCCGGGCAGGATTCATTTTTATCAGTTAGACACTGAGGAGATGCAAGGCTCAGGCTTGGGAACCTGAGGCTATGATCTGTTCTGGTTTTGGGCAGCAGATTCTCCAACTTAATCTCAAAATGCCCAGCATTGTGGCCGTTAATTCAGCAATATTTTGCTCTTCTGTGAAGCACCAGGATTTCCACAGTTTTGCAACAAGGCATTTCAGTTTTTGCCAGATTGTGAAAAGTAGCCATAAACAGAGCTTTCCAGAGGAAAGAGGCTGCCCTCTGTGAGTCCCAGTGAGCCTGTCTGGTTTGTAAGAGAAGGTCTGTTCAGAGCAGGGCTATAGTTGAGAACGTGAGCTTTGGAATCCCGCAGGTATGGGCTTTCACACTGGCTTCAGTTCTTACAGAGCTATGCGATCTATAGCCAGCCTCCTTTCTAAGCTTTACTTCCCCTTTCTATTAAATTGAGATAATTATTTTATCTTCCTGGTAGGGGTCTTTGGGGGGAATAAATAAGGTAATGTATATAAAGCAGCTAGCAGAATGTCTAAACACATTCCTGTGTTTTCTTACGTCATGGGGCCCAAAGTGACTACATGAACCTCTTCCACTCAATTCTGCTTCTTTTCTCATGTGCCAAAGCTGGTCCAATGTAAATATACATCTATTCAGGTGCTCTGGAAGCCTGTCCCTACAGAGATGCATCCCTGCTACCACGCACACACCAGATAGATCCCAAATGTGTGAGATTTTGTGCAGAATTTCAGAATATGTTAGGGTTTTTGGAGGGGCCACTCATATCCTTCTACCCTTGAGTTCTACACCAATTAAGATTAGACAAAGAATCCAGTAAATGTTCAATATATATACATTTTATTAACCCTAAACCTGGCTGGAGGATGTGGCTTGATCCTGAGAGCAAAAGGCCTTAAACCCAGGTCCTGGAACCGTCTTTCCCTTGGCACACATGATTGAAAGAAGAAAAGCCTCAGTGAAGATGACTGAAATGGGAGCTAGGGACAAGTTGTCATCTCTGTTCACCTATTCTTCTTTTAAAATGAATTGAAGCATAGCCATTTGGGGTTGAGGAAGGAGTGGGAGGCGAGCGCACTGATGAGGTTGGGAATGCACCAGAGGCAGACAAGAGAGCTGCCGGACAAGGAAGCTTATGTCTAGCCTCACTGGACCTTCTTTGTCTCCCTGCAGGCGTCCCATCAGGTCCCCGCAATGTTATCTCCATCGTCAATGAGACGTCCATCATTCTGGAGTGGCACCCTCCAAGGGAGACAGGTGGGCGGGATGATGTGACCTACAACATCATCTGCAAAAAGTGCCGGGCAGACCGCCGGAGCTGCTCCCGCTGTGACGACAATGTGGAGTTTGTGCCCAGGCAGCTGGGCCTGACGGAGTGCCGCGTCTCCATCAGCAGCCTGTGGGCCCACACCCCCTACACCTTTGACATCCAGGCCATCAATGGAGTCTCCAGCAAGAGTCCCTTCCCCCCACAGCACGTCTCTGTCAACATCACCACAAACCAAGCCGGTAAGTCTGGAGGCTTCTGTGCTCCTGTTTGGATGTGTGGCTGGCTCTTTGTCTCTAGGCAGGGACACAGCTGCAGCCACACCCATCCTGCCCGTGTACTGTCAGGCCTCTGCCCAGGAGTGAAGGTGTCAGGTGATGGGCATTTGTGATCACATAGAGCAGGCAGGTGTAGTGTTGCGCTTCTGAGAATGAGCTGCAGACTAGGGGATTTTCTTGTGCCCAGCACAAAAGCAAAGAGGTATATCCAAGCCAGAATAGGACCTAGTGCTCTTCATCCAGCCTGAGCTCAACAAATCCTGTTGGAAAGATGGATGAAGAGATGGACAGACAGGTGTGTGAGTGGACAAACAGAGGATTGTGTAAATGGATGGACAGATGGACAGAGGGCTAGGTAGGTGGACAGATGGATGGACAGACAGATGGTGAGTGAGTGGAGGCACTGAAAGACTTTGAGAACAGGACGACAAATGATGCTTTATGGAAACCCAATGACAGAAATTTTCCAGAGATCATATGATAAAATCAATATTACCTTCATTTTCCAATTAAATCTATGTAGTTCAAAAGTGTATTCTCCTTTATAGCTTGCTCTGATGAATGATATGCTGCTGTTGAGACCTCAGATAGATGGCAATAGATCGCTCCTGATAGCCAGCACATCCTTGTGGGATGCATAGCTCAGAACACATTTTCTTCCTCTTTATTTCTGAATCTTACACTCTTCTGATCTTTTCTCTTTATTACTTTTCACAGCTCTTGCAAGAATCTGTTTATTTTTATATCAATTTAACGAGTCCGTTCATGCACTTATTTATTCGTTCATCATTAAGAGACAGTCATTTAGCATGTACTGTGTGCCACGCTGTGGATTAGACACAGTGAAGGATGCAGTGATACTTGGACACTATTGTTCCTCCCATGAAACTCATTAACTGAAGAATTTAGAGGATATAGATACAAAGCACAAAGCTGCAAGGTAAAATGCTATATGCATGCAGTAAATACCAAGGGAGTTAGAGAAAAATGAGCAATCTCTCTCCCGGGGTTACCGTGCAAGGCTGCAGAGGGGAAGTGAACATCACATGCACAGGCAATGGGGGTCATAGGCAGTGGACCGTGATGCTATTTGGAATTATAGATTTTTCTCAATTAACAAATTCTAAAAGGACAGCTTGTTAGTAGAATAGCAGGAGCCAAGCATCTATCTCTGCTCTCTCTTCCTCTGTGTATCTCCCCCTCCCTGACCTCCTCTTTTCTACTCCATCCTTTTCTACTCACCTCCCCACCCTCAGACTCATTCTGCTTCTTTTAAAACCAGGCATCTTAGGCATCTTTGATGGCATATGAATCTTGAGTTTAAGCTGTCAGAACTGAGAAGAAAAAAGGTGTCGTAGGAGAGCATGTCTGTCCAGATGGCTGTGTTGCTGCTGTGTGTGGGTGTGTGTGTGTGTGTTCATGTGGTGTGTTTGTATGTATGTGTATGGTCACGTGTTTACATGCATACGTGTGTAGTGAGAAAATAAGAGTGGAAATGTAGAAGCCTCCAGCTGGTGACCACAGTGTTGGTGCCGTAGAGACAAAGGTTGTGACATTTTGTCTTACCCAAAGAAAGGAGAATGGTAATTTCTGCATTATGTTAAGCATGTAACATGGGCAGCCTTTGTTAGCAGTATTTCCCTTGAAGAGTTTAGGCAGAAAACTGGCTGAAATATTTTAGTGTCCCAGCTTTTGGGAATGACAATCCTGCCAGGCTGTCATGTTACACTGGGCTTGGCTGTCTTTTCTCTCTCTCTAAGCATGTGCGAACAAACCTGCCACTTATATCGGTTTGCTTTTATTTCTGCCCTCCCTTCTCTTACCCTGCTATTCCCGAACCTGCCCATCTGCTTGTCTTGCCATCTGCACCTTCCTAGACTGCAGTGGAGCTGGGGGACCAAGGCTCTTGCAAGGGGCCCTGCATTACCAACATGCAAAATATTCATTTGTATCCTCACCCTTTTGCACCTCCATGAGCACACTTCTCATGTGCTTTGTTCCCCCTCTGGCAGGCCCTTTAATCTTAATCATCCCCGATTTTGTAGTCCTAGCCTCCATTATCACCTTCCAATCTATGATTCCCTGTTTGGTAACTCTGGAATTCTGGTGTCAGAGAGTTTACACTCGCTGAGAGAAGGATGCAATTTCTTCTTGGTAGCACATGGTTATTGTAAAACAAATATCAAGTTGACCAGTGGTTCCTAATCTATGGGCTGTGGACTGAGGAACAGGGTGCCATCGCACTGATTTGATGAATCTATGTGTAAATACAAATTATTTTCAACCAACAGATAGTATTTTTTTAAAGATGAGAACCATCAAAGTAAACATTCAAACCTGAACTTCTGTGAGAACAGTTTAGAACCATGAACAGAAGCTATGCATTTTACCAGAGGTGGACAAGAGACTAAAAAGTAGGCATCATAAAAACTCTAATGACTCAGATCCATTAAGGGCTGAGGTGGGTGGACCCATGTGTTACCAACAGGTCATGACATGTCTAACCTTCCCAGAATACCCCTGAGCTGGTCCACTCTAGCTCACACTGGGTCAGATCTAGCTCAGTCTTCCTCCCCTGGCTTCATGGTATGGTATGACCCCTCTCTGTGCCTGTGGCCACCTGTCCTACTGTTTGAGTCATGAGTAGCTAGATGGCAGGCAAAGAATTTGACCAAGAGGAGTCCTGGGATCAATCATTAAGTCAACCTGTGTTTATTGAATGCGTACTCTATGTCTGGAACTGCCCAAACTGTGAAGTGGCTGGGGACTATTGAGTGGGTCCTGATTGAGAAATAGATGAGTAATAATTATTATAGTTAACACCTCATGTTTGTGTTTCTTTTGAGTTCACAAAGAATTTTGGAATTGTGTGGACTCATTTAATCCTCATAATTACACAATGACTTGGGGATTATTGTTCCTATTTTTCTAATAAGAAAGCAGAGACTTAAAGGGATTTGGAGAATCTAGGATTAGAAAGAGATCAGCAGGATGTCCCTTGTCTGTGTCTGCCTTGTGGTGTTCTGTCCTAAAAGTGGACAGTACCTCTGGGCTCCCCATTTCATAGTCTCCAACAATAGGCTCTTCTTGATTCCAAGAGCTGTGATCTAAGAAGAGACCTTGGAGATTTTTGCTATCATTTGTTTTTTGGTCATTGGGCACATGGTAGATACAGTTTTTCACTCAGAGACAGGCTTGTCTGTTGAGTTCTGAGATTCAGAGAGCCTTCATCTTCTCCCATCATGACCCCAATTATGTATATAGTCATGACTATTCAAGGACCAGGTATCACTTGGAGAGTTTCAGGACTGGATCCTTACCCAGTCCAAAGGCAGTGGCAGAGAACTGACATCTTTGAGCACCTCCAATGTGCCAACCCCTACCAAGTGTTTTGTTTTTGTTTTTGTTTCTGTTCTTTTTACAGAGAAGGTGGGTCAGATGAAGAAACTTAGGTCAGAGCAGTTTTGAATTTGCTCAGCATCTCACAGCCAACAAAGGATTCTAAGAAACATCATTTGCACCTCCCTAGGCTGCAGATATTTCTGAGAAACATCATTTCTTGGCTGTGAGATGTTTTGTGGCCATTTTATCCTCAGACTGATGAAAAATCACATTATAGTGGACTGTGTAAGTCGTAAGCTCTCTCTAAGCTGTTGCCACATTGCTAGGCCATTTTAGCTGTCAAAAACTGTCCATCATCTTTGGTCAGGATTGGTCATGAATTATGCAAGCTCAGATTTATGTGAGGTCTTCAGGGATACATCCTTGCACTGAATACAGCTGCCATGAGTTTAAAATAGACCAGATCAGGTGCAACTCTCTCTGTTCCAGTGGCCAAGTGATCTGCAGAGAGATTGTTATCACCACTAACTCCTGCAGTCACTCTCTGGCATCTGGCCCCAGATTCAGACTGATGGCCGGATCATCTGGCTGTCAGAGAGAATTAAGTGAATGACAAACTTTACTTCTCTCTTCTGTCAAATAGACTCGGAGTGTCAAAGTTGGAAAAGAAGACCTCAGAGGAAATCTTGGGGGTATAAAAGATGAATCAGACCAGCACATGAGCTTGGGACCATCTAAGCCAGAGAACAAACTCAAAGACCCCTAAGGCCAGGCAGGTAATGGAGAGGAGCAAAGCAGAGCCAGGTACAAGGCAATAGAGAGTGGTGGGGACTGCAGGGAACTTTAGAGGCAGCCATTGTTCAGCTCCAGCAAGAGTTGCATGCCCAGCACTGCCTGATTTTATAAGCTGAAAATCCAGATTTAAAATGTTGACAACTGATTAGAAAATTTTAAAGCACTTGAGAGCCAAAGAAATCCAATTCTGGATTTAGCCTGTTGGCGATGGTTTGTAACCTCTGATTCAGAGGGTGAATCTGATTAACCCAAGTCTTACTGCCAAGCATGCTCTGTTTTCCATTCTCATTCCACCACGGGGCAGTCATCTTCCTCACCTCTGGGCTCATGGTGGCAGAGTGCTGTGGGGTATTCCTGGGGTTGCTTCCCCTCTCTGCTCCTCACATGAATCATGCAAGTTCATTTAACTGGCAAGATCCCTCATTTCTTGCCTATAAAACAGGTGTCATGATACCTGCTTCCTAGTACTATAGGGACAAGCAAATGAGAGAGCAGATAGAAAATCACTCTGTAAACTATGCTATGGACTGAGAGATTAGCATCATTTCTGGGAATATGTCTTCAGCTAGAGAGCAATTTGCCGTATTTTTTCTCCCTAGACTGTTTCCTTCCAAGCCTTCACAGTTTCTTTGTTTGGGACTGATGTTATCTGTATCAGATACATAACAGATATTGGTTTCTCCAGTCTGTGCTGGGAGGGGTAGGCACCAGAAACGAAAGTAGCAAAGTCTGTATCCCAGTGAGCTAATGATGAGGTAGGAAGTGGAGCCCAGAACCTAGGTACCTGCCATTGGATGATTCTGATGCTCAGAGGAGCCTCTCTATCTTTCCTCATTGTGTATTTGAAGAAGCAACAATTTTCCCCTCACTTGCATGATCTTATCAGCACAATTTATATCTGACATTTATATTACATGCAGTTCATGTATGGCCTGCGTGCCACTTCCATGTGGAATACTATCCATCATGCCCACAACACAGACACAACCCATTATTTACTTTTCTTTTAAAAATGCTGCACTATTTCTGTTAATAGTTACAAGCCCCTATAGTTTGTCCATTTTTAAGGCACTTTTGAAGTTCTTAGACAGTTAAAATCACTCAGATACACTAATTTTCTTACAAAAGAATTACCTAGCCCATCAATTCCTCTGAATACATCACCTAATTTGCATTATTCCTTGGTTAAATATAGTATTTGCATGCATAAAGAATAATCTTTGAATATGAAAAGGAATTTTATGATATTGCAATATATTGAGCTCTTTGGAGGAAAGATATTATGTAAATCTCAAAATTAAATATTAAAACAATATTACACTGCTGCCTGTAAAAATGTGGAGTGTTAAGATCCATATGCTGAAGCCAGTTCATTTTTAAGGGCTGTGCTTATTGGAAATTAGCAGGCAAAATTTGCTCCAACACAGAGAAAAGATTGAGTGAGAACTTTAAAGACTAGAAGGACTTGAAAGAAAACTTTCATCGAAGTTAATAAAGAAAAGTTAAAAAAAACTTAAGCAAATAAAATTTTCACTGTTCTTAATTCAATTTCATAGTTTGTTTCATTGCTTTCTTCTCATTGTTAATTCTAGAAAATTTTGTTTTTATTGTTTCTTAAGCTCTGGCATTGGGAAGGAACTTCCAAGTGGCCTCAGAAAGGCCCTGGCCATTTGCAAACAATGATGTGTTCTCCGTTGAGCTCAGAGGGTCGGCAGATGGCACTGCCCCTGACCAATGTCCTGGCTTCTATCCTTGGCAACCTCGCAGTCCTCCACCAGATGGTGAGCTATGTGGAGAGTCACACTTTCTCACCTACCACCAGTTTCCTGAGAGAGCAGCCGCACAATGCCAGGCACAGAGAGCCTTGATAAATATTTGCCAGATGGCTTCAGTCCCCACAGATGAGCATTAGTATGTAAGTGTTTGGCTGGGGAGTGGTGATGAGAATGTGTCCTGGTGACCCACAGGTAACATCTTAATATCCCTCCCAGATTAGTCATGTAATCTGGAGTCTTCCTCCACTGTGGCTCCTTGCAGGAAAACTTAGGGAATGTTGCTTAGGATGATGCTACAAGCCCTGATCCACTCAGAGGAACACAGAAGAGACTCAACCACTCTCAAAGGGATTGGTTTGTTTGGGCATTTTAACTTTGGAAATGTATTCATTCACTTAACACATTCTTTATGACTGCTCACCAAGTACTGCTTGCAAGTACTGGCTCAAGGGTACTGCTTTTTAGGGGCTCCCATTTATTCGCCTACTCGTCAAATATTTTTCAAGGCCTTTCTGCATGCCATATACTGCTCTAGACACTGGGAACACAGCAGCAAACATAACAGACAAAAATCTGTGCCTTTGTGGAGCTTGCATTCTAGTCGACAGCACTCACTGAGACTGGGATCAGAGGCCCAGAAAAGTCACAAAGTAAGCAGGTGACTGATTGGGAAGTGACTTGATGGGGTGCAGGACCCTCAGCTGGGCTCTTGGTACCACCCTCTTCTGTGGTGCCCATTCTTACATTTCAAAAGTTAGGATGGAACCACGTGTCGTTGCCAGAGAGCATTTCAGTTTGTGGTGGATGTTGCTATACAGTGACAATGTGTTTGATGGGATATTTTATTGTTCAACAGACCAGTTTGAATGAACTCCTTGTGGATGGATATCACACGCTGGGACACACAGTGGTTGGGTATGGGAATTCTCCTTCCAGGTTGTGAGCAGTGGCTTGTGATGCTGCTAATAGCTCCAGAACAGCCTTCACTCTGCTAGGAGTACCAGAGTGCCCACAGGACTCAGGGACCTATTTGCTTGTTTACTCCATCTTGGTCCAGGCACTCCAAGTACATAGCTTCAGGAGTAAAAATGGCTACTGACAATGAGACTGGAGGAAATTTCTTACCCTGTAAGGATCTCATATCCACATGAGATTGTTATAACCCTTATTGGAGAGGGGACACCAGTTGGATTATTAGATAGTTGCTGTTCACCTTGTGAGCTATCCCATAAAGAGGCATCTCATAAAGAGGCAAAGAGGATGGGAGGGAGGAGGGTGCAGGTGATCCATCCTCCATGCTCCTGTGGCAAGTCAAGTCAACTCCATGAACTGACTGGCATCTCCAGGAGAGAACGCCCTGTATCCATCCTGTTGACTATTGTGTCCAGATAGGCGTCTAGTTGGGTACCTGAAATATAGAAAGCAATCAATAAACGTTCATTGAATGAACTAGTAACTTGTTAAATAAATACATGAATGAATGCTTCAGTCTTTCTTAAAGTAATCTCAGGCATCAGCAAATGGTGCAGCTTTAGCTGTCTCTGTGATCTTTCCTTTATCAGGCACCTTTGGGTGGGGAGCTGTGATTGCAGTTACCCCTTACATTCTCCCAGATGTTGGTAAGACCTCAGGCTTCCTGTGTGCACTGCACCCCCAAACCATAACCATGTTCTGTGAGAGTTGCTCTTCTATGACCTGGCCTGTCCTACCTCCCCCACTGGCAGGGTCCCAGCTGCTTGAGCAATTGCAGGGAGGGTGGTTGGGATGGCATCCCAGCACTGTTGTCTGTCCCCCTGCATGCCAGCCCCGCGCCTATCATTTTCACAGTACCATCCATGTTAAACAGGCAGGAGCACCAGGGGTTTCTGAATGCAGCAATTAACAAAACAGTAATCAAGCTAAGTGTTTAATTTCAGAAAATTAACATCTTCTCTGAGCGGATGTGAAAGATGGAGGAAAAAGGCACATTGAATGTTCTGGGTAAATAAAGGCAATGCTGGACCACAAATATTTTTCAGTGCAAGGTAAACTCTTTGCCAATCCCTCAGGCCTCGGGATCAGTTTCCTTCTGGTAGCCAAACTGCAGGAAAACCTTTGCTGTAGAATTGAGCCTTAGGATTTTAAAGCGTGTGCGCTTCTTTCCTTTCCTTTTTTTTTTTTTTTTTTTCTCTTTTTTGATGGAAGAGCAAACGCTTTCACCATTCAGAACAGCTTGGGGGAACAACAGCCCAGTCATGCCCCCTAAGAGCGCATCTGCCCTGTAGAAACGGTGACGTATGTTGCCCTTCTCTGAATTGTGCTTGTTAAAGGGACAATACAGTGATTTCTTGGATGTGCATTTGTTGTTTATGTGCTTAGGCTCTATTTCTCTTGGCAGACTGAGGGCTCCCAAGGGAAAAGGCCATGTCTTTCTCCTCCCAGTAAACCCTGCCCCTCAGCAATGTGTCCTCTGCTATAAGGTGTCCTGGCTGACCTTACACCATGTCACATGCTGGTGCTGCCTCCTAAACCAGCGGGCTGGTCTTTGTTTGCAGGAAGGGGCTTGCATGTAGGGAAGGAAGCTTGCTAGGAGGTGGGTGTGCAGGAGACTGGGTCCCTAGAAGGACAGTGAGGTCCTGCTACCATCTGTTTCATCATCTGATGGCCTGGATGGGAGTGAGTGCCTAGGATAGAGGATTGGGAGGGCAAGGAAAGTAGCTTTGTGTGAGGCATGCTATGAAGTTTGAGGCACAGACAGGCAGCCTTGAGACTGTGTGATGAGGTACCACCAGTAACCATGGAGGCAGGGCTCTCAGAGTGGCATTGAGCCTGGTGCTGCCTGAGGAAGCACTGAAAACCATGTTCCCACAGGACCACAGGTCCTCAGGGAGGGGCCTGGCCATCTGGCTTAATAAGCAGTGTTCCTTGAGGGGTCTTGAAGGCAGCTGACATGGAGAACAAAGAAAGCAAAGCAGGAGAATGAGAGTATAGTTTGCGAGTACAGAGGAGACCTCCCCAGGGGCTCCCAGAAGTATTCAGGGACTGCATCAACAGAAGACAGGTTCGATTCTGCACATGCATAATTTGTGGAGAGTTTGAGTACTCAAATCAGGATATTACTTATGCAGTTGGATATTCAGGCTTCTATTTTCTCTGGAAGGTGGGAAATAAGATTGGTTGCTGAGAGTGAAGGGGGAAGTATTGGGGTTGAAAGTTTGAGGAGAATGGAAAAGGCTTGGCAGTGCTATTGAAGAGAATGGGAAATGGAACTACCCAGGTAAATTCAATATTTCTGGAAAGTATTGAGAGCTCATTTGAAGTTGGTGATCACACGTTTAGAAAGCCACCTCTTTTTCCTCTTATGTGGCTTTCTCAGCAGTATATGGTTCCGGGACAGCAGGCCCTACAAGAAACAGATCACAAATATACCTCTGGTTGAGTTTTGACAGTCATATGCTCTGAAAAGATAAAGGCAACATATGCCTAAGGTTTTGAGGAGTATTGTGAATTATGTTATTGCAAAGATGGAGCCTAAGATGGATAATAATGGATATGAATAAAGGAGAAGGCAGATGCATTGGGTGGAAGTAAAGGCCAAGAGTGCCAGATGAAGCCAAAAAGAGTTGCAGTGGGCTCATCTGAGGTTGTGGTGAGGAAGCAGAATATTTAGACTTGTGATTTTGAAAATCGAGTGACTTTAGGCAAAGCAGAGTCTAAGTGTGCCATGGAAATTGGCAGGCATGGAAGAGTTGTAGAGGCCAGGGAACCGAGATTATATTGTTTAAGTGGACATTGAACTCACACACAGGAGGGCAAGGCTCAGGGTAGAGAGGAAGACAAAGACTGAAGCTCATGCCTCCGATGAATGGGGGCGTGACGGTGGGAGGGAGCATATGGTGGTCCCAAGACCTGGAGAGTGGTGGTCTAGCCAAATGGCATTTTTGCAAAGGGTGCAGGAGATGGCGAGTGATGGTGTGAAAGAGACAGTGGGGAGCAAGGATGACACACCCCACTTCCTGACCCTGAGGTGTGCTGGATGCAAAATCATAAACTGTCATCAGGTGAGAGGGCTGCAAGGCAAAGGTGTCCTCAAGGGACAGCTGCTCTTCCTTAATGCAGGCATGGAGTGAAGGCTCTGAGGGAAGGAGGTGGGTACAGGGGAGTTTCCTGATTTGTAAGTGGAGGGCCCAGGGTGGGGGTGGGCTCAGTAGTCAGTGGGAAAGTCAGAATCAAGAAGAGGCCCACAACTCCATGGGGCTGGTGATGTCCAGAAAGGGGCTAAAGAGTGGGCATGGCAGGATGGAAGCCCGCCTGTGCAGCCTGGTGGGCTGCTCTGAGGAGGAGGGGCTCTGGACCTTCAGGCCAGAAGACTCAGACCTCCAGGCCTGGAGGAGGATGGTCACAGTGACTGCAGGTGCAGCTCCCCTGCCCAGCGTTGGTGGCAGTGATGTCAGCCTTAGGGTGGTGGTGGTGGGTCCTCCAGCTGCATTAGGGGTTTGGCTGAATGTGTGGGGATGAGAGCCAGGTGTAACAGGGGCACACAACTTGCGGTGGGGTATCTCCTGTGGCCTCTCCACTGCTAGTGTTTGGAGTGGACTGCCGTTCATGATCAATCATTAAACAGACCAAAGCTGCCAGTGCTCTGCTCTTGTCCTACACCTGGGAAAGGCTGGCAGGCCTGAGGGGAGGCAGAGGCCAGTGACATGCCCCAGTTGACATGTGAGTACCAATGGTTGTGTCCTCAGCAGCCATCACAGTGCTTAGATGCCTGCCTGAAGAGTATCCTGCTCCACAGACACCTCCACAGCCTCCCATGGTTGCAGGGTCACAGAATGCAGGTTTGCTATAGTTTTCACATAAATGGCACATTCTAAGACATCTTTTGATTCCCCCAGCAGGGAGGAGGAGCTGTGGAAAACTGCCAGGTTGCAGTGACCCAGGAGGCAGAAGTGCCACCAGGAACACACTGCAGCCTGCCTCCTCCTCCAGGCACAGGGCTCTGCACACTTCCACCATAGGTGGGGACCCCTGATCTCCCTAAGTGCACAAGGGGTCCCAGAAGGCAGTGCCCATCCATTAGTGATGCTGATGTAACTCAATGTCCCCACCCCCATGCCTGGCCTCCTCAAGGCTCTGGAAATGCAGAGTGCATGAGTTGTGGGGAGGGAGCCCTACACTGATCTCAGGGAAAGGAGGCCCAGCTGTTTCTGGTTCTGCACTAACCTCTGGGGACTTGGGGAAGTCATTTTCCCCTCTCTTATCTTCATTGCTCTAATCTATAAATTGTAAGAGTTGACCAAAACTGAATGGCCTCAGATGCCCTGTCAAACTTTGACATTCTGATTTCTAGGTTTCCAGACAAGCAGTTCTCAAACTTGAGAATGTGTCAGACTCCTGTGAAAGACTTGTTAAAACACAGATTGCTGGGCCCACACCCAGAGTTTCTGATTCACTGAGTCTAGGATGTTGCTCTAGATTCTGCCTGTCTTACCAGTTCCCAGGTGAGGCTGATATGGGACTACATTTTGAGAACTTACAGGGTCAGATATATGATCCCAATAAAGAATGCCACCCCACCCTCAAACACATACACATCAAAGGTAACATCAGAAGTGAGGGCCTGTGCTATAAATCCACATTCCCAGATCAGCCACCAACCCTCAACCCCCACCTGTCACCCCCCACATTCCCCTTTGGCACGGAACCGAAACCCTTAGTGGATGGACCAGTGAAGGAGGAGCCTGTGACTCCCTGCCTTGGGGTGTGAGACTGAAGGCCAGGCATGAAGCCCTCACTTTTTATCCCATTCACATCTAAAATTCAGCCAGGATTCTACAACAGCACAGAGCAGAGCTACACACCCAAGGAAGTCCTCTGTCCCCAGGTGACTCCCAGGGTAAGGAGGAAGATAGGAAGGGAATGTCAGAGACATCTCAAGGCAAAGCCCAGAGTAAAAGCAAACAAGAAACCAATGTCCACAATAGAGGAAAACAATGAGAAGAATAATTAATTCTGCTTTTGTATTTATACCCAGTCTCCAAATTAATTGCTTATTTGTTTAATCTACTTTGACCAGAAGTGTTACTGCACCAAAAATATTTAATGAGTCAGGTCTTCTAATGTAAAATTCAAGCATATTTGGGCAATGAAATGAGTTTTCATCTACAGTGGGAGATCCAGCTATCTAAGCAGGACCTTTTCAGCAAAGTTACCTCCTAGAATAGAAATGTCAGAGGGAACACAGTTCATCTGTGTTGCAAATTGTTCTTCTTTGGTCATGAGTACTAGTGGGCTGGAAGTCTTTAGTTGACATTTAAATACAAACTTTGGTTTTTTGATATGGGAAGTGTTTCATATATTTAAAAAAAAGATGGCCAGCCAGCCCAATCCTTCATTCACAACCCCATCACTCATAGCTTCTAGGATCTCACAGAAGTCCCTCGAGGGGACTTCTGGAGACTGCTCAGCATTGTTTGGGTCTCTCTATAAACTTTTCAGAGTCTGGGTTGGGGAGATAGAAAATGGACTGGCTTCAAGGCCCTAGCAGCTCTGATTCACCCAGAGCAGCTCTGCATTGTTCTGTTTCACACTTTATACTTCAGGGAGAACTTTGTTTGGAGAAAGGATTTCATAGCTTTAAAAAATAGAAAACTGCCAATATTAGGGTAACGTTACAGCTGAACAATCCCAGTGAGATGGGGAGGGACCCAGCCTGCTAGGTGTCTTCATTTACACCACAGAGAAGAACTTCTATCTCTAATCCCTTGGGACTACCATATTCAGGCCTATTCTATGTTCTTTGTGAGATGCAGTCTCAACCCTGCTGACTCAACCCTGCCGAGTCACAACCCTGGCTCCCTTTTCCACCTCATGCTCCTTCAAAGGCCAATATTCATGTTTGTTAGAACTAAGGGATTTTCTGACTCCTTTTACCTCTGAGGTCTTTAGAGAAGAGCCCGCAATCATTGCAGTAAGAGTAAATTTTTGTTGAACATTTATTATGTGCTAGCACAGTGTGAAGAGGCTAAAAACATGGTCCTTGCCTAAAGACTTTATTGCACTGATGGAGAGCAGAGGTGAGCACCTCGGAAGGTAGATCACAGTGCACTGTGTCCCAAAGTGGAGATCACACCCCAAGGGGCTTTGGGTTGGGAGGCAGGAAAGGGCACTCTGGTGGGCATGGTCAGGCAAGGATAAGCAGTGTGGGGCAGTGTGAGGCTCCCCCTGTGCCTTCAAAGGCCGGCAAGGTCAAGAAAAGAGATGCCCACAGGGAATGGAATTAGGGCTTTTTCTAGTGGTGAGCCATTGAAGGTTTTTAGCATTGGAGTAACAAAGGTAAAATTGAGTTTAGAAAGATTAATATGGCTACAGAGTAGTTTGAAGTGAAGAAGTTAGAGGTGGACAAGAGAGTTAGGATGGTAAGTACATGAGGCACAATGAGATACAGGTGACGAGACCTGTGGAGAGGCAGTGGCAGGGCCATGGGAGCATCGGGGGCTCCTGGGCCTGAGCCACACATTAGATGGGAAGGCTATGCTTGTTCACTGTCCAGAGTCACTCGGTCTCCTTATCCTTAGGGACAAGATACCCTATCACTTACTTTCTAGGTTGCTTCAGGTTATCTCAAAATGTTCAAGGGAAACCAGCTCTCTTCTGGAGCGTTTATCACTCCAGCCTCTGGGGAACCCAGCTCTTTGCTAGCTTCCCCTTTCTCCAAGCCCATTTGTATCTATCACATCCACCATGGCTTGGTCGACATATTTATATATCCTCTCAAAGATATTTATCAGATAAATACCTGAGGCTGTCTCTGGATCCCACTTTTTACATTTACCTTGGGGAATGATGCCCAGTGATTGATTTGCATATGTGAACAGCAGTGGACCCAGAAGGATAGTTTGGGGTGGTTGCCAAGTCCCCAGCCTGGCAGGTGGGATCTGGTTGAAAGGAGCAAGAGACCACACAGAGAACATCTTCAAAACATTTGGGAAATTAATAACATAAGAATTAATATTCCTATTTTACAGTTGAAGGACCTGAGGCCCAAAGAAGACAAGGCCTTGGGTTAACCTTATCCCAAGATCACATAATAAGCAAATGGCAGAGCCAGAATAGGCACACACATCTCTCTGCAGCACCTGGAGGGCCCTGACAACAGCCCTTCTTTATTTCTGCTAACTCCTGCTGCTCTGAGCTGGGCCCTAGGCTCCTTACTATTCCTTACCTTACCCGTTTTCTTCACAGCTATGGTCTGTGCTATAGATCACAGGTAGTTAGTCCAAGGATGATTTGGCTGGGAAACGCTGTTCTAGAGAGAATAGAAGAGGTTAGTATTACCATATGATCCAGCAGTTCCAATCCTAGGTTGATTCCCAAGAGAAATGCAAACATATGTCCACACAGAAACTTGTGTATGAATGTTTATAGAAGCATTATTCTTCAACTTGTGTATGAACGTTTATAGAGGCATTATTCTTCAACCCAAATATTCCTCGACTGAGGAGCATTTCTCCCAGACAAAGCAATGCCCTATGAGGGTAAAAGTGGTTACCAAGCCTTAGGTTCACACTGTGCAGGCTGGGGCAGCAGCATCACTCTGGGGGGTCACTGGGAGGGCACCCTCCAACACACACACTGTATGGAAGGGCCAAGGAAAACTACTCTACCCTGTCCACCCATGAGTTATTGTGTTGGGGAGGCAGATGGCCTCCTCTTTGTATGGGTCTCCTTGGGAATTTTAGATGTGAAAGTACCTCTCACTGGAAACAGCATTTGCCGTCTAGAAGAGTTGCTAGAGCATTTGCCCAAGCTAAGGCAGAGGCAGCTCAGCTGTGACCTACATCTTCCTAGAGCTGGCAAGAGATGTCCTCAAACAAGGCTGTCCCCGTCACAATTTCCACCCACACACACAACACTGTTTTCCCTTTTAGATAAGATTTGCTGAACTCTGAAATCTGAGTTTCATAATTTTATAACCTCTTTAAACATTTTACTCCAATAGATCAACTGAAGTCTGAGTGTATGTACGTTAATTTTAACACAGTAAACTGTTATATCATTTGTTAGGTCCCAAAACTGATTATGGTTAAAACTGTTGAAAGAAGTATTTTGGCACAAAAATCAACTAAAAGATTGTGAAGTATTTTTAATAAGCATTGTAATGTATTAAAACTTAGTAATTGTCCTAGAAAAAAAGCATCAAGTAAATCTTGTATTTTTGGAATCTGAGATGCTTAATTGTTGGAGGAGGATGCCCCTATCAGATAAGGAAAACAAAATGAGTAAGAAGAAACCTTTGAAGATAACTGAGTCGGTAACTAAATTAAAGTGTCAAGGAATGTCATAAACATAAAATGCTTGGCCCACGTGAACCTGTGATATGACAGTAAAACTCCTGCACATCAGAACTCTAGGATCCAGAGTCTGGGTTATTAACTTTTGAGATAGAGTCATGCCACCATCTCAGACCCAGCCTGAGTCTCCTGGGACTTCACAGTTCCCTTTGGGACCGTTTGTACAAATGGAGGGCTGTCTGGTGGTCTGCCAGGCTGCATCTTCGATACTACTGGCAGTGACCAGTGGTCAGTGACTAGTTTGGGCCAACATTTGTTCCACGTCATCTGTGAGCTCTTTCACAACTTGCAGCTAGGGCCATCCTGTCCCTGTAATTTATTCACATCTCCTTTGTCAATTCAGGCAAGAACATTCTGTGCTCTTCCTCTGCTGTATGTGATATACTATCTTGGATCTGTCTGCTTTAAAAGCAATTTGAGAGTAAGTTTTCCCCAAAGTCTTTGGTGGCAAAAACAGAGACAAAGGACTCACTCACTCAGCCTGCCTTTGTTTTTCTCCATCCCAGAGCCCCTTGACCAGTGATGTTTTAATTCTCTTTCTGCTTCTGACACATTTACAAGGCCTTTTATTGTTGGCTATAACTCTCTTCTTCGACACTCTCATTCTGATTCTGTTTGAACCCTAGTTGATTTTTCCTTGGAGTCTGATGACACTCTTCTTTGCTCTTTGCTCTCCTATTTGGGTGCCTGTACTCTGTTGGGTCAGCCTCTTCATTTGCTAAGAAAGGGTGCAGGGCACCTTTGATTCCATTTGGATTTACCGGGCACTGCCTCTTTAGACCTCACACATCTTTCTTGAAACTTCATCAGGTTCTTTCCAAGTAACCCCAAACTAAGTCTTTCTGCTTACGTTTTCTGAAGAAGGGTCCATATTTGTTTCTTTGCTAAATTTGAATAATCTTGTGAACTCTTTATTTTCATTTCTTTCTCTCAGTAGAATGTGTAATTTATTCAAAACCTTTATGTGTGTTTGCCAAAAAGAGACTCTTTCAGATGTTCAAGCAAACTATCCCTTCATCTGAGGAATATAGAGAAAAGACAATTAGCCAGGACTTACTGTGAAAACCATTGTATATGGGGGCAAAAGGGGATACTTCTTTGAATTAATCTTCTCATCCCTCTTTAATCTTTAGCTTTAGTTTTGCTAGAAGAAGTTGGTGTTTGAGTGAATACCAGAGCTCATTCTTATTATTTTCTGTTTTGTCCGAAAGTTTCATAGCACATAAAACAACAGATCAAGAGGTGACATTTGCCCTTGGAGAGGGAAAAACCAAATTCATCACTGCAGGTGACTGTTGATGGCAGAGCACTGAACATAAGCTGCCCGTGATTTTCAGGGAGGATAAGAAATGCTTTCTTGCTTTCTCCCATGTGCTAAATCCCATCGTAATAAAATGTAAACCATTTAGAATGACCTGTGTGAGAATACACAGTCTTCCACAGGGCCTGTAACCCTCATGTCATTGCCATGAATCTGAGAAATACAGGCAGGGATGGCCATCACCCTCTGGCAGCTCTTCCCAGACCCGAGTGCCGCTGACTGCTGGGGAGTCCATACCATGTGTAGTGACAGGAGCGTTTCTCTCCATGGATTTCACTGTCAGTTGCCTCTGGATCACTCTGCCCTGTGATTGCCTCTTTACCATCTGACCCCAACTAGACTCCTGCACAGAAGTGCAGGGCTGTGACTTTCTTACTTGTTCTTCTGTCCCCAGTGCTTAGAACAGGACTGGCACAGTGTTTGGCAAATATCTTGAGTTTTTAATGATGGCTTTCCAGAGAGTAGAGGCAAGGAGAAGAACCAAGCCCGGCAAAATCCTCAGGCCATTAGCATTGATCTTTCCATTTTTTAAATACATGATGTTTCAGCTCTCAAGACAGAGGGACTCTGAAGTCCTGTATGAAACTGACGTGATTCACAACATGTAAATTGTGCCTCCGCAGAGGTCTGCAAGGGCAGCCTGAGAGTCACAGCGTGCAGTGGAAGGAAAGAACTGTCAGGAGCTATTTGTTCACCCTGTCTTTGTGGACCCACTGGGATCCTCAAATGATCTGGACTGATTCCAGAAAACTGCCTCGCCTTCCCTGAACTGTCTTTATCCTCCCCCATGACTCTGTCCCGTGATTGCAAGGTGTTGGGAAAGATGATCACAGGCCATTCACATATTTAACCATCAAGCCTTGTTGCTAAGTCCAGGACTCAGCTCTTACTTTCATTTTACCTGACTTAGCAACAGCATTTAACGTATTCTGTCCTCCTGGGAGCACCTTATTTCCACTTGGTTTCTAGGCGATCACACTCTCCTGGTTTTTCTTCTGCTTCATTGGTGGCTTTTCCTTCTCAGGCCTCTTTAGTGTTTTCTCCTCATCTTCTGAATCTTGAATTTTTTCTATCTATTGATTCTCTTGGTGATCTCTGCAAGTTCCACTTATTTCAATATCTGTGAAATATTGGTGACTCCACATTGGTCTCCAACATGGACCTTATGCACCTATCTGGTACTCAGCATCTGCTCTGGGACACCTTGGACATCTCAAATCTAACAGGTCTGAAGTGGAGCACCTGGGCTCTCCTCTCAAACTGCTTCTAGAAATGTCTCCCTGTTCTCAGTTGATGGCAGCCCCATTCTTCCAGATGTTTAGGCCAAAACCCTTGTAGTCACTTGACTCTTCTGTTTCTTCCACATCCCATATTCATGGAAATATTCTAAATAGATTCAGAATCTGCCTACTGTGCTGCTCAGGCCAGGTCTTAGCAGCCATTGTTTCCCAGCTATATTACTACAGCAGTGCTGTGATTGGCTTCCTGCTTTTACATGGCCCCTGCATTCTATTTGGAGCACAGCAGAGAGTGATAATAGTATCATATAAGTCAGATTACATCACCGTGCCTTGTTGACAGTCCTCCTATGGCCCTCCAGCTTGCTCAGGGTAGAAGCCAAACTCCTTCTAGTGTCCCTCAGGGTCCTGCCCCCTGTGGACTCCTCTCTTCTGGGTCCCACTGACTCCCTGATGCCCCCAGATCAGCCCCTTTGTCCTGGCTGCTCCAGATACCCACTCAGCTCCCTCCCTTCCCTCCTTCAACCCTGTGCTCCTGCATCTGCTTCTCAGGCAGCCTTCCCTGATCACACACCTCTCACCTCTGGCATCCTGTGTCCCTTTCCCCTTTCCATTTTTTCATGTACTTAATATATTTTAACACAGCTTATGATTCATTTATTAGCTCTAGTCTCTGCTGAATCCCCCCACTAGAAAGTAAGCTCTATGAGGGCTAGAAATTTTATTTTGTTCACTATGGTGCCTCTAGAACCTAAAAAGTGACTGGTACTTGACAGATGCTCAATAAATATGTTTAATTAATTAATTAACCTGGGTTATAGATACTACTAAGTTGCAGGCAAGAAAAAATACACTTGACAGCTTAATCAAGATAAATTATTTCCACTTACTAAACCAATAGGCCAAATTTAACACCGTAAAGGTTGAGATACATGTACATTCTCATAGTCAAAGCCAAAAGCCAACTCTACAGACAAAAGATGAGGAGCATACCATGGGGAAACCTAAAGGTTATATATAACTGCCATTTCAGGACTGAACAGCAGGGACATGTTTTTGATCCAAAGGCTATCGGTCATATTAATAGATATATAATACACAGATCATGATAGATATTAGTTTTATTCTAATCTTTGCTGCTCAAATAGTGGAAAGAGAATTGGATTCACTTCCAAGCCCCAAGCCTAAGGAGAATTTAGGGAACATGGTCTCATTTGGAAAAGAGCCATCTTGGGTGGCATGTAATGGTCATGGGAGAAATATTTGACTATTTTTTTTTCAGCAGGAATAGCTCAAGGAAGATCTAACTAGTTTCCTTAGATATTTGACAAGACATTTTGTGGGAGGGGGAACATCCTTTCTTACTTCAGTTGGTAGAAAGGAAAACAGTGGGAAGAAGATAACTTTCAAATAAAGATCGGAAGATATGTAAATTGGTGAGACTTACCTAAGTATAGAACAGCAGCTCCTGGAGGCAAGAAGTCTCCCCTCTCTGGGGGTACAGCAGGAGCTTGGCAGCAAATTCCCAACAGGGAAGTTGTAGGGGGAATCAAAACTACATTAATTCAGACCCTCCATGAAGCAGACACAAAGATGGGATTAGATGTATGAAAGATTTACTGGGGAAATGAGATGGGAGTCAGAGGAGGCTGGGAAAGCCATCAGACCATAAGAAAGGTCTGATCTCTGTAAAGGAGAGAGGGAAGGAAGGAGGATTGGGTAGGGTAGGAAGAGCTTTAGCTTGCTGTGGGGGTTATAAGGTAGTGTTGGAAAGGCCACTGGGGAGTCTCTGATTGGAAGTTGCCCATCAGAGTAGTCCCATATATCGCAGGAATGGGTCTGCCATGGCATCCCTGCTGCTCTCATTCATTGGCTGGGAGCAGCCTGTGGGAATCAGGGCCTCTGTGTGAATATGGTGATGGACTGCAGAGTGCAGGAACTGGAGCTGTTAGTTAATTACTCTTCAAGGAGTAGGAACTCTGAGAGGTGCATTTCACAGCCACCACAAGGTCTCTAATGGGAACAGGGCATACCTGCCTTCAAGGTCCCAGAGGACACTCTGGCTCTGAGTCCTTATCACACTTCTAACTCTTTATGGCTTTCCTGGACTAGCAGCATCTTCAGAACAAGTGCTCTGCATCCTCTCCCTGAGGGGCTGCATGTAGTAGGGACTCACTGAGGGTCCAATGAGTAGTGGAGAAAGCAGCAGCCACCTTGTGACCCCGTAGTTGTGCAGTGTAAATTCCAGGTCTTTGAGGGCAATCTGTTAACTTGAATTGAGGATAGTAAATGTCACTCAGCCACGGTCCCCAGAGAAACCATTGTAAAGTGGAGTTTGAGTGAGGAAAAGACCTTCATCACTGCAGAAGTGCCAGGACTAAACGGAACAGCCCCTGAGCAGAGCACAGATTGAAGCCTCATCCATTACCCACCTCTTCCCCTAGAAAGACAGCCCTCATTTATTATTTCCAGACTGTTTTCATTTTGCTTACACCATGTGAAAAATGTTGAATTGGGAAATAAATAATATTATTTCCAAACAGAGATTTCTGAATCAACTTTACAGATTTTGGAATTATCTTGTTCCCAAATGTTTGATTTGTTTATCATTTCTTCATTTATACTTGTGAACTCCTTATTGGAAATTCCCTCATTTGGAAAACTCTGACCATACCTCTGTTGTTGGTCTGTGTTCATGTCTTTTTGAGAGATACCTCCTCTCTTCCTTTTAAAGTATAATAAAATCTAACTTGCAGTATCAGGAATAGATGTTTGCTAGAATGCTCCTTTCTGTTGTAGAGTAATTCTATACCAACTGGTTCTACTCTCTCATTATCATCTCTTGCCCCAGGTTCTCATCTCTGCAATAGCTCAGCCCACAACTGCAAGACTGAGGTTCCTTCAACACCTTCTTCTCAAAAACATTACAGTGTTCCTCCTTTCCTTCAGTCTTTTCCTTTGATTCCTCCAACTGTCTCTTGTTTTGGTCAAGCCTTGCCACCTCTGAAAGTCCCATGTCCATTCCAGCTCCTGTGCACACATGCTTTCCTTTCCTAAATGCTACCTTCTCTCTCCTCTGTTATCCAATCTCCATTGATTCTGCAAAACCCACAGGAAGTTCTGCAGGTCCAGCTCAGCTGATGATAAAGAAGGAGCAGAGTTCAAGCCGAATGCCATTTTTCTCCCTACGTACCTCTGGAAGATGGCCCTTCCCCTATAATTGAGTGTCTGTTCAGCTACCCTGTTTCTTTCTCTCTCCACAGCCCCCTCCACCGTTCCCATCATGCACCAAGTCAGTGCCACTATGAGGAGCATCACCTTGTCATGGCCACAGCCGGAGCAGCCCAATGGCATCATCCTGGACTATGAGATCCGGTACTATGAGAAGGTGAGCCAGCTCTACCTGCAAGCTTGCAAGACCCAAGGCCAGCCACTGTTCCATGGATGGTTGCTAGCTGAAGGCACAAAGGAGATAGGCTGCTGAGGTGGGGAGGATTCTGGTGACAGAGGCCAGAAGGTCCCTGGGAGAGTTCTCCAGGTCTGCCCTGACAAAGCCTTGTTCAAAGCCCAGGCACTTTCTGTGCCAACTAAGGAGAGAAACTTCCAGTCCACCATCCTGCAATCTGGATAGTTCACTGGCTGGGAAGGACCAGTCCCATTTTTCCAGTCACATGTTTGATATACTAATGCAGATGCCACAAAACTGCCAGGGGTCCCCGAACCTTCAGAGGAGTGTGTGGTTTGGTAGATCAGTGTTTTTCAAAGTGTTTGTGTACCTCCAAAATAAATTTATTTATAAATTATATGCATGTACTACTGCACTAATATATTTGTGGAGGATAAAAAAACATGTAAAGTGAACATTCAAAAGGATGAGATAAAAATTAACAGAAATATAAATTTATATATTATTTTCCTTGACTACTCTTGAGCATCTGCTTCTGAGGATGACAGTGGGGCATGGGGCTGCCAAGAAAAGGGAAATGGTGCCTGGTGGAGCTGGTCCCTGGCCTCCCTCTTACCAGGGCAAAATGCAGCATTTGCAAAAATCTTAGGAAAATACAGTGCCTTCCGTTTTAACCCAACACATTATTTGTAAAACCACATTATTCATTCACTTATTTGTTCAGTAAGTATTGTCAACTATTTGACAGGCACTATTCTAGGATATATTAGTGATCAAGGAGACAAAGATTCCTGCCTTTGAGGAGCTTACTTTCCAACAGAGGGAAACAGGCAATAAACAGTGAACATAACACATAAGAAAATCATATAGTGTGTTAGAAAATCAACAGCATAGAGGAAAAAAGAGAAAAAATAGCAAGGTAAATGGGATCAGGAGGGTTAGGCTTGGGAAAGAGCAGGTTGCATAATTAAGTAGAGGGGTAGAGATAGGCCTCTTGGAGAAGGTAAGATCTGAGTAAACCTGAAGAAAGTAAGATCGTTGTGAAGCAGTTATCTGGAGGAGGAAAGGGCAACAGCCTATGCAAAGGTCCTGAGGCATGATCATGACTGGTGATTCAACAAGCAGGAAGGAAACCAGCATGACTGGAGTGATGCAAGCAAATGGGGAAGTAATAGACAGATGAGAGAGATTACCAGAGGAGGTCATCATGTTGGGCCTTAAAGACTGGGCCGGGTGCAGTGGCTCACACCTGCAATCCTAGCACGTTGGGAGGCTGAGGCAGGCAGATCAGTGGCGCTCAGGAGTTCAAGACTAGCCTGACCAACATAATGAAACCCCATCTCTACTAAAAATACAAAAAATTAGCCAGGAGTGGTGGCAGGCTACTCGGGAGGCTGAGGCTAGAGAATCACTTGAACCCAGGAGGTGGAGGTTGCAGTGAGCCTAGATCACACCACTGCACTCCAGTGTGGGTGACAGAGCAAGACTTTGTCAAAAAAAAAAAAAAAAAAAAAAAGACTGGAGCTTTTCCACTGAGTGAGATATGGAGCTATAGCAGGTTGAGGAGCGGAGGAGGGACAAGATCTAACTTACATTTTGGATGGATCATTTAAGCTGTTCCACTGAAAACAGAGCCTAGTAGATCTACAATTATTAACGAGGATGATGGTGTAATCAGGGTAAAAGCAGAGGGCTGTTGAAATGTAGTTGATTTCCAGATCAGCTAAAGGCAGAGCCAACAGGATTTCCAGCAAGTTGGATTTCGGGCATGGGAAGGTTTTAGCCTGAACCACTAGAACGATGTAGCCGGCACTGACTGAGAAGGTGATCACTGTGGGTAGAGCATATCTGATGTGAGGAAAGGAACAGAAGTTCAGTTCAGTGTCTAAAATGCTTGTAAAATGGCCAAGCAGAGATGTGAGATAGGCAGCAAGAGATTCACATCTGGAGTTCAAGGGAGGGGACCGGGTGAAGATATCCACCTGGGAGTTGTCAGTATGTAGATGATAAGAAAGTCCTGAGCCTGGGTGAGGTCTTGCAGTGGGTCAATGGAAATAAGGAGAGGAACAGAAACAGAGACCTATGGGCCTGCAACAGGGAGGCCATGCTGAATAGTGGGACATGACTGCACTGGCAGCAGAAGCCCTCGTTTCCAGTGCCCTGTGCAGCTAACCAGCCATGGAGCTGTGGTCCAATTACTTAACCACTCTAGGTCACAGTTTTACATTTATAGAATGGTAGCAGTTTACCTCCCTGAAAGCGGAGGTCTAGATGGATCACCAATCCCAGTCTGTAAGGAGGTATGCCCTTCAGCCATTAGAGCTGAACTTGCAAGCAAGGTGGAGGATTAAGCGGCATTCTATTCTACTTAGAGAATATTGAGTTTTATAAGGAGTTGATTCAGATACTTCAGTGAATTGGAAATAATTTAAACCAGCTGAATTCATAAGCATCTGTTATATCTGATCCATTTTGGATTTAGGGCTCTTACTTGCTAGATATTTTTTGTCAGTTAATGAAGTAAATGTTGACTTTTTAACATATTTTGGAACAATGTGTTTAGACTAACTGACCACATGGTCTCATTTTGTCATCAGAGTTGGCCTAACAAGGGTCCACCCAGTCCCCCTTCCCACACATATAAGCTTGTAGCTCTATTGAAATAACACCTCATCTCAGAAAAACAATAATAATTTCTCCCCAGCGTGCACCTATTGTGTGCCAGGGGTTTTATAAACATTATCTACTTTCTTCCTCACATGCCAGTGTGGTAAATGTTAGTATCATTGCTATGGGTAAAGAAGTTTTTAAAAGGAAAACAAAGAAGTTAATAAAACAAAAACCTTGTCCAGAGTCCCACAGCTGGGAAGCGAGCCTGGGTCCTTTGCCCTGCAGCAGGTGGTGGTGCTGGGAAGGGAAAGAATATGTTAGAGACCATATACTCCTCCTCTTCATCTGCCGTGCTCAGAGCAGTCACTTCAGTGGGTAGCCAGGGCAGGGGTCAAGGGCTTAATGACAGGCCGAGCACTGAAGCCACGAGGCTCATGCCTGTATACCTTGGCTCCTTCCTCCCAAACCAGCCCAAGCTCCTCTACTACCTTTCCCTTTACAGCTTTCCCTTGAAAACTGTAATTAACCTCAACTTTTTATGCTGTAAAAGCAGCTTATTCTCCCATTCAGGCTACCTCCCTGCTTCTTAGTAATTTGTACTAATTATTAACAGACACACATACACAGCAGCCCAATGCCTGCAGCAGCTTCCACACCTCAGTGAAGCATATTATTGTCCCCACTCCAGAGGAGAGAATGCTTTCCTTGGAAACAGAGAAGGTTCTTTGGGCAAATATTGGTTACCATTTGGTATACGACTGTGGAATGCTCCTTCACTTACGAAGTGCTTGACTACAAAGTCCATTACATTGCTTTGACTATTCCTAAGACTACCAAAGAAAAAGATGTTAGCCCATGAGGGCCTTTTGAAACAATGATGATAATTCATCGTATGTTGAGTATCTATTATGTGCCAGATATACACAGATATATTAGCTCTGATCCTTAAAGGAAAAAAAGTGTATACTTGAAAATATATATAACCAACTTATAGATGATGGAGCTATGTCATAGAAACATTAAATGACTTACCCATAACAGCACAGGTCATTGCTAGGGAGTCACAGAACCAGAACTTTACACATTTTTATGATACTTCGGTGGTGGAAACTTCTGAGCTTGATAGGAGAGTGGATGCAAGCACCTCCGATGCTGAGGATCTCAAAATTAGTGTGGCTCCCAAAATAAGAGATTGTATCTTAATAAATCCAAATACTTGCAAACAGAATGATCTGCTTACCTGCTCCATGTGGCCTTGGAATCCTGGTCTTTAGAAGATGTAAACACAAATAGAATTCAGCACAGTAGATGTCTTGGATTTGGTCCAAAGAAGCAAACCCCATTATTTCTTCATCTTGTGCCATCTCCTCTTCCCCCAAGGAAGTCCCAGCCCCTCATCTAAACCAGGAGTCAGCAAGCTTTTCCTGTAAAGAACCAGAAAGTAATTAATTTAGGCTTACGGGCCATATGGTTTTTGCCCCAACTGCTATAGTCGACTCTGCCTTTGTAGCGGGAAAGTAGCCATAGGCAATATGCAAATTGATGGGCATGGCTGGGTTCCAGTGGAACTTTATCAAAACAGGTAGCTGGTCCATGAGGGCAGTTTTGTAACCCCTGAAAATCTTCCATGGGTCTCCTGCTCCACATAACCCTTGGTTTGCGCTTAGGACCCCTTTCAGTTTCACTCTATGAATAGAATTGATGAGGCTTTTGCTTCCTCCACCAGCTCATTAATAGAGAGCTCAGATGCCATCAAGCTGATGACACTCCTGGAGCCTTTCCCATGTTCATCTCCTTCCCCATTTTAATACACTTCCATTCATCATTCTCTCTTGTTTACTGTCGTGTAGCACTTTTCACTCCTGGTGTCAGCGCTTGTAGACAAACCATAGGAGGAGCATCTACATCTGCTCTCAGCTGTCTTAATGATTAAACGTTTATGGTTACTCGCTCTTCATAATAACTATATAGGCTAGGACTGGCTGGTTTAGGCCTTGGTAATTTCTACCTTTCAAATTTTAGGATCGTTTTCTCATAGAGACTCTTTCAGACCTTGGCAATATCTTGTGCTCAATCAATTTGTTCAAATAACTGGACCGAAGTTTACTGTTTATTTATTCATTTGGCATTGAGTTGTTGAGCGCCCAGGTGGTACAAGCATTGCGCTGCATATTGGGGTGGGGAAGGAGAAATGAGGGAAACATGGTTTCTGCCCTCAACAGCTGCATTCTCCATCCTGCATCCTCTGTCTCCCACATACTTATAATTAGTCATAAGCAACCAATAATAATAAAAAAAAGCAACTTTGTTCATGGCTCTTACTGATTTGCCTGAAATTGATTAATGATTTTGTGGGGAACAAGAACTAATATTCATTTTAATCACTGAACTTCTTCAAGAATGTTTGGACTATAAAGTGATTATGGAGTAATGTTTGGTCCTCACAATCCAAATACCAATGATGTATTAAAACAGTTTTTCAATAACAGCTATCCAGTCACTGCTTCATATTTATCAGCCAGTGCCTGATTTCAGCAGATTCTATTAAAACCAGAGAATTCAGGCAGCTGCTTGGATTTTGTAGCAATGGGATTTTATTCTTATTTGCAAGGTGACTTGGTGATTTTCACAGTTTCAGATCTCAGATCTCCACTGTGTCAAAGTAGAAATGATCAAAGTTCTGGATGACATCCCTTCTATAGTGGACAGCCTTTCTTCTGAATCCCTGAGTGGGGGTGGGGAGGATCCCCTTGTGTTTAAATAGATCAAATAGTGGGTGGGCAGCTCCTCTGCAGGCAATCTCTCCCAGGGCCCAGTAGACATCCCCTTCATTAGAGTGAGAATGGGCCTCTTTGTAACTTTCAACTGTGTGTTTGAGCTGACCTGGGACCTGTGGTCCCTCACAACTGCTTCTGAATCATTTATGGGCATTTCTATGCCACCCACACTTCAGATATGCCAATTACTTGCAGTCTCCTGAACTCCTCTAGGCCGTGCTTTTGCATGTTTAATTCTGTTCTCACTCTCCACATTCATCCATGTGGCTAATTTATTTCATCTTTTGTGACTCAACTCAGGTCACCCTTTCCCTCAGTCACTCTGCATCTCCTCTGAAGTCTGGGCTGGATGGTCCCCTGCTGTGCCCCCACAATCCCCTGAACTGCTCTCTGCCAACTCACTCAATCAACACTGCTGTCATCTTCTATTTATTTACCAGTCCACCCACAGATGTTACATCCCCAGAGGAAAGGAACCATGCCTTTGTACCTGCAGCCCATGTATAGCACCCAGAGATAGTAGTGTGTCATAAATGTAACTGGCTGGCCAAACGAAGGAATGAGTAAATAAATACACATCAGGTCATCTTTGACTTCACAAAGTAGGCTTTTATATATTTTAAACAATGGGAATTTCTTATCACTGTACTGTATTCTTTACATATATTTACATAAAATATATTCTTTATATGGGAATTTCTTATCACTGTACTGTATCCTAGCTCAGCTCTGTTTCTTCTGTCATTTTACCAAGAATACAGTTTACAATTTGTAAAGCATGCTTCTTGAACCATTGTGCCTAGAACTCATCTCAGTACCCCAGATCTGCACAGGGGACACAGGGACTTGGATCATTCCCTCCTAGTGATCCAGGCTCTTCATTTTCACTAAAGTCCCCATTTTTTTCTAGGATTCATGGTGCAGACAAAGACAGGCCCAGGCTTCAAGCTTCTGTTCATGCATACCTGCAGATAACCCAGGATCTTTGCAAAGAAAAGATATGCTCCTGTGAAAATGATTAGAGGCCATGTTGGTATACAAGAAGGTGCTGGGGTGAGGTGTGATTCGGAATGACAGTGTGTAGACAGTCCACAGCCCAGACTGGTGAAAGAAGCCTTCCAAGAGAAGAGGCCTTGGGAAACATAGGCTTAAGCAATCTGGAGGGAGTAGAGGAGCCCTGGAGAGAGGCATTTTAGACAAAGAAAAGAGCCTAAGCAAATGTCTGCTGGCAAAGATGTGGTCCCCGGATTTAGGGGAATGTGAGAGATTGGAATTGACTTCATTATGAAGGACCTGTGAATCTATATTTAAGAGTTTTGCCTTTGTATGATGATAGTTTTTAAGAAAAGAAGTGTGGCGTTGGGTGGGGTGGATGGGGAACATCAAGAAAGAAAGGAGGCTGCAAAAGTCCAGGCACAAATCATGTGTTTAATAAGATAAGTAGCAAGGAGAAAAAGTCACCTTTTAAGGGCACTCACGATGAGAAAAAGAGTCATGCTTCTGGAAAACAGAAGCAACTCTCTGCACATCAGAGGACCCAAGTGTGCAGATGACAGGGACTGTAGAGGTCAGCACAGAAAGTGCTGGAGAGAGTGACAGACAGGAGAATGGGGCTCATCCAGAGTAGGTGGGGGGGATGAGGACACAGGGGCTGCTCTGCAGGGAGAAGGCACATGCCCGCTCTGAATGCTGGCGGAAAGTAGCTGGGGGATGCACTCTCAGACACAGGGCAAGGTGAGGGCAGAAGTAGGTGTGGAGGGCAGTCCAGAATGGCCTCTACCTCTCCAGCAGAGTGGACACAAAGCCTTTTGCCTGAGCACTTGAAGGAACTGAAGGGGAGTGATGTAGAACAGGCACTTTGGAGAGTGTCTAGGGAGATCTGAGTCAGGAGAGAAAACAGAACAACTCAGCAGAAGCAAGACAAAGAGAGGCAGGCAGGGGGCAGATGGATGTTGCCTAGTTTGAGTCTGCTGAGGTCAGAGACTTGAGGGGATTTTGCAAAGCTGGATGTGCTATGTTATTTCACCTCTGAACCCTTGGGGAGGAGGACTAGAGAATGACAATAAGCTTCCTCGCCAGTCCCTGAGCACTCAGTCATTTCCCTGGGCCCCTTTTTTCAGAGTGTGGCCACCTCATAGTCCAGACCTGACCCTACATTCCCTTGGCCCAGATCAGACTTCTTGTCCCCATCCAGAGGGATGGCCTGGAGCTGATGACAACTGCTAGCAGATATGCAGGACCAAGAAATGATGGGGCCTGAATACTCCAGGGTGGAGTGGGCTGGGGGTGTAGCCTTCAGGAATGGGATAGTGACCCTTTCCCTTGCTTTCTTTTAGGAACACAATGAGTTCAACTCCTCCATGGCCAGGAGTCAGACCAACACAGCAAGGATTGATGGGCTGCGGCCTGGCATGGTATATGTGGTACAGGTGCGTGCCCGCACTGTTGCTGGCTACGGCAAGTTCAGTGGCAAGATGTGCTTCCAGACTCTGACTGACGGTAAGGGTCGGGGAGGGCAGTGGCATAATCACAGGGCAGGCAGTGTGGGAGAAAAAGTAGCCCCAAAGATGCTGCACTAGCCAAAAATGCTGATCTCCAACTGGATTCCAGTGGAATTCCCTTCAAACGGTTTGCCTCCCAGTAGGGCCATGTAGATTTTCCTGATGTCTGGCTCATTTCTCTCCCAACGCCTGGTTGGATTTGCCTCTGAAGGGTCTCTTGCCATGTGTGATCTTGCATTTCAGCAGTGAGACTCATACCTGTCTCATGGAGCCAGTGTGCCCTCTTGCCTAGGTATCCAGGTCCAGATGCCTCTGTTTCACCCTCACGCCCACTTCACTCCTCTGTGCTTATGGTCTGAAAGCTGAGCTCATGGCCTAGTTTCATGAGCCAAGGTCTTCAGGGAGGAAATGGAGAGACAAAATGTGGGATGTGGCAGTCTCATGCACCTGGGATCTCAGAAATTTGAAGCAACTTCACATGTGACCCCCAGTATGTCCTGCTCGGATGTCTCCAGAGAGAATAGCCAAGGTGTCCTCAAGGCCAGAAAGTCTATCACCATAAATATACTTCTACCTTTGGGTTTTATTAGTTCCCTATTATCACTATCTGCCCCACTCCTCTGAGACCACCCCCAGCAATAGTTCTGAAAAATCTGATTTCCCAGTAGCCTCAGCATTGTGCTCAAGTGATCTATCTGACTGTGCCTACCACTTTCTCTCTCTTAGCTAGCCATTTACCATAGTTTATGTAATTATTTGTGTATCTGCCTACCTACCTATATATCTATATTTATTATTCACTTATGAGCTGTTTCCTGATAGTTTTCCAAATGTCAGTCTATTCCTGACTCCCCAAATTGAAAGCTTTCCATTTTTCCTTCATTAATTAAATTATCCATAAAACAGTCTGTCCTTATATAGCATTTTATTTTAGGCCAATGCTCTCAGTCTGGGTGTTTGATAGGGCTTGAGATTTTATCTTGATGCACATTGTATTTTTTAACAATTTTGAAATTAATTGGAAACTTTTAAAATCAGTTGGGTTCTTATACAAATCAGGATGTTGATGTTCTTGTGAAAAAATTGTAAGAGAAGCCAATACTTGTGGGCACTCTGGAGTGAGGACCTTGCCTTAAAGCTGAGAGGCAGCTGTCTGCATATGGTACCCACCACTTCCAATATCTCTAACCTGGATACTTTGATGTGAACCGTCTGGCCCCTGTAGGACTGGAGTTTGCAATCTATTGTGAGTTTATTTGAGGTGGACTTTCTCTCATATTTTGAGGATGGTGAGATGGGGTAGAGAGGTGAGCCAGTTAATTCAGGTTGATAATGCTACTGGTATGAAAAGAACACAGACTGTCTTCTTTTTCCTTAAGGGCTCTGTCCTCCACTTTGCACCTCACTTACTGTCTAGATTTATAGGCACTCTGGCATCAGGACGTACACAGGATTAAAAGCCCAAAACTCAAAATGCTCCGAGTGCTGGTCTCTTGGCAATTCTGCTAGACAAATCAAGAAGTAACAAATTTCTCCCAAGAAGGCTGTTTCTTTTACATTTGGCAGTTAAGTTTTGCAAACCCAAGAGGGGCTGGTTGTAAGAGAGTTCTGGTAAGTGGCCAAATTTGGGAGTATTTGTCTTACGACTGAGGTTCACACATGGGTACGGATTATGTTCACTGGGGCAGCAGGCCTGTCTGCAGAGCGAAGGTAGTCAGAAGGTTGATCGATGATAGGGTCATTGGGGCAGGGAGGACCTGTGGAATCCTGCCCAGAGTCAATGGCCACACTTTGGGCTGGTAACCTCCACATAGGGCAGACCCACTATGGCCCTGGGCTGCTCTTAGCTACACTGTTCTGATTTTTGACGTAGCTGCCTAATTTTTAAAAAATCATTCAAGTTTCATATTACATTATGAAGTTTTTAATTTATAAAGACATTGTTAAGGATGCTTCATTGGGGTTCCCTGTGTATTTTTCTATCGCCAACTTTATGTTTTAAATACATATATTACAGAAAGTCTCAGCTGAGGGCAACTGAAAATTTTCCTTCAGTCTTTAAAATTGACTTCCGTCTTTAAAATTCTAGAGAATGGGAGGCTTCAAGAACCAATATCCTTGTTCTTAGAAATCTTTCTCCTCCAACATGGTTGAAGGACAGTTCTCAAACATTGGGGAACATTAGAATCACCTGGACTGTTTGTTAAATATGCAGATACCCTGCTCTTCACCCAGAGGATCTGATTCAGTAGATCTGAGGAGGGGTCTGGAAACAGTCATGTTTAACAGTCGGGCTCAGGTAATTCTGATAGCTCATGGGAAACCTCACTTTAAGAAGTATTGTCAGTGGGCATGGTGGCTCACACCTCTAATCCCAGCACTTTGGGAGGCCGAGACAGGTGGATCACTTGAGGTTAGGAGTTCAAGACCAGCCTGGCCAACATGGTAAAACCCCATCTCTACTAAAAATACAAAAAGTAGCCGGGTGTGGTGGCATGTGCCTGTAATCCCAGCTACTCGGGAGGCTGAGACATTAGAATTGCTTGAACTCGGGAGGCGGAGGTTACAGTGAGCCAAGATTGTGCCACTGCACTCCACCCTGGGTGACAGAGCAAGACTGTCTCAAAAAAAAAAAAAAAAAAAAAAAGAAGTATTGTCATTAGGGTTGCTAGATAAAAAATAAGATGAACAGTTAAATTTGAATTTCAGACAAACAAAAATTATGTTTTAGTGTAAGTATCTCCCAAGCAATATTTGAGGCATACTTATACTAAAACCTTTTTCATTATTTATCAGAAATTCAAATGTGATTGGCAGTCCTACATTCGTATTTGCTATAGCTGGCAACTCTAATTGTAATAGAACATAAATAGCTTGACTTCTCTATGCCTAGGTCCTGAACATTAGGTAATAGTTCTTTAACACCAGTGAAAGCATAACCAGGACAATACCAATACTAGCCAGCTGGCCCAAATTATTTGTATAGATTAAAGAAAAGAGATTTGGTATTTAGGACACCTATGATAGAGCAGACAGGGTGAAATGTGCTTCATATGATTTGATTTTTTTCAACAGACAGGAAGTGTGAGGGTCAGAAGGACTAAATCGTGTGTCCAGTATCACAAAGCTTGCACATGGTAACGCCAGGGTTTAGATGAGTTCTGTCTGCCTCTATGACCCGTAGGCTTCCCATTCCACTGCATAATTCAGCATGGTTCTAACATTTGGCAGAAGCCTTGATCATTTTCTTCTTGAGCGGGAACTCAGAGTGCTGGGCCATTCATTTCTCAGGCATTTCTTTGTCCTCCACAGTGCCTGGAGGTAGTGCTGGCTGACTGCGGATACTCTTTAAGTATCTGCTCAATGAATCTATTGACTCTGTGCCATTTCATAACTTCATGCTTTAGAAGATATTTCAGCAGTGGTTTTCATTTAGATAAGTCCCCTTCATTGGAATGTCCTTAACATGGCTGACAGTTCTTCGAGAGACCTTCCAATTGAGGGAATGTAGATTGGAAATCATCTCTGCTCCAGGAATGTCATCAGCTATAGTTCCCAGATTCTGTCACGGCTGTTTTGTTTTCATTGTCCTTTGTTTTTGGTTGTTTTTGTTTATTTATAACTTAAAAATTGCTGTTTGTTTTGGTTAGACTTACAACTCTGACACATAGAAACTATCCTCTACATATATGTATATTTAGATCATGTTTTTGGTATTGTGCACTGAGTATCAGCTGTATGCAAAAGGCACATGGGGAGGATTCTAATGCCTCTTTCTCACCTAGATGATTACAAGTCAGAGCTGAGGGAGCAGCTGCCCCTGATTGCTGGCTCGGCAGCGGCCGGGGTCGTGTTCGTTGTGTCCTTGGTGGCCATCTCTATCGTCTGTAGCAGGTAGGTCCTCCACTCTCACTTGCTCTCCTTGGACCCAGGAAGCCCCTCTCCATGTGCCGTTTCCCAGGCTGCGTGGATCAGATAGGGTGTGACCATTCACGACCACAATCATCACTCCATCTCAATCCAAGAGCAGCCTAGAATTCTTTAGATATTTATTTAGCTGGGAAAAAATTCATATGAGAGCTGGGCAAGGCTATGAGTAAACAGCATCCATCCTCAAACCTCATTTTAACGAAGACTTTTAGCCCCCTCTTACACACAATGGCTTTTCAGAGTGACAGTTGCAAAATTGCATTTGACTCACTGGAGCATCCAGCCTGTGCATAACCCATCCTCCAGTTAAGAGAGCTCAGGCTCTCAGCAGCCAGCAAGAGGGAGGCAGGCTGGCAGGAGAGAAGATGAGGAGGAAAGGGAAACTCTGAGTTCTGCAGAAAAGCTGGCCCCGAAAGCCTTGTGATTTTTTAATACTGCTGCTACTGCCTTCAGTGGTTAGCCCAGATTCTGTCACGCAAAGCCCTGTAGTTGGCTCCCTCCCAAGCAGTTCTGCAATGTAGCTTAAGTGCTGATGGACATCCTCTTCACCTCTGCCCCCATCAGCACTGCCCTCTGAATGGGGTCCCACAGTCCCGCCAGGCTTCTGCAAGACCTTGGCTGGAAAGCAGAACCATCTGCCCACAGGAGTGAGTGGTGGTCAACAAGAGCTCTAACTGCAGCAGGAGGGCTGAAGTGAGAGTTGCCCAGTCCCTAATCCTGGGAGATGCCCCGGGTGAGCCCCTATCTGGCCTGGGGCCTAGATGGAGGTACCTGGAACAGACTGGTGGGTGTGCCCTGTGGCTGAGAGAGCCCCTCTTTTTATCCACAGGAAACGGGCTTATAGCAAAGAGGCTGTGTACAGCGATAAGCTCCAGCATTACAGCACAGGCCGAGGTAAGTAGAAAGCAGAGACCCGGTGTCTGACCCCCACAGGCCACTGAGTCAAGTGGGCTAGTGCTCAGAGCTCTCTTTATAGCCAGACTGGCTGGTCCCAGTGGCAAGTTCTCTCTCAGCCCCCAGTGCCTTGGCCACCTTTCTGCAGGTCCCCAGGGGCAACAGGCTACCCTCCCATCTGCCGTCTACCTGTCATGGGTACTCATTGGATGCCTGGTGGGTAGATTATTGTCTGCACTGATAAGCCCATATAGGACACAAAATGCAGGGAAAAGATTGGGTTTAGCAAGTCAATGAATCCTCAAATCAGACTCAGTGGGAAAAGATGGAGTTCTCTATTAACATCTTCTGCCTTATCTTATCCAATTGAGCAGCTGGGGAATTTGTTAACCAAATTCACAGATAAGCCATAGAACATGAAGGTAGGGAATTAAAAAGATAGCAGAGCCCAAGAGGCCAAAGTGCTGGGATATCTCCCAAGTGTTTTCCTTTAAGCAGTACCTTTAAAAGTTTTTCTCACTCATTATCCTCTCTCTTTTATAAACCTATATTTATAATATTTTTATAACTAAAATTTCTTTTCACCAAGGTGCAACATAAAGTTCCCTGTCACACTCATTTTCTCATCTGTATAATGACAACATTGCAGGATCTGAGAAAGGTCTCTCTAGGTCATTTGGGCCACCTTCCTGCCTCCAGAAAGCAGAATTCTCAGATCCTTACAGCAGACACATTCTGTTTCTAAATAATTCCTTTTGAATTCGACAGATGCCCTCAGAAATCTGTCCCAGCACTGTGTGCTATGCTCTGTCAAGGCTTCTTCTGTGAGCCTCATCTCACCTCAACCCCCTTGTTGCAAAGTAAGGCTGGTGCTTCCTGTTTTCTCAGCAATTAGCATGGAAAACAGACCTCCCAGGTACCTACACACCAAACCTGTCTCCACAGGGGGGTTCTTCTGGGGGTGAACATGGACTCCCAGGCCAAAGTTCTCATGGACCAGACTGCTTCTTCTCTAAGGTTACCCAAGGCGGGAAAGTGATGACAGGATGTTCACAGCAGCAGCTGCACCATGAAGGAGCTTGTGTTCTAATGCAGCCAATGCCGACTCGGGCTGTACAAAGGGCACTTCATAGATGTGGCTTCCAATCTAAGATCAAGACCCTGCCAAGGGTTTGCAGAGGCCCAAGCCCCTGGCAGCTGGGCTGCTGCCCAGGGCACTTATTGCTGGAGGGAGTTGTGGGTTCTGCACTGGCTCGAGCACTGCTGCTTTCCCACGGTGCCCCAGGGGAGCCCCTACCATCAGCAGCCCAAGTGTGGGGGCCCTCTAGGCCACAGGCACAGCTCCTGCTATATTCAGAGTCCTGCTTATTCCTCTTTCTTTCTCTCCCTGGGCCACCCTGTTACTCCATTGTCACTGATTTCAGAGGGATCAACCCTGCTGTGTTCTCTTTCCTTTCCTATGGCCGGACTGTGTGCCTTGCTGCATAATCTACAGGATGCTTCTATTTATGTTGGCCTGTGCATTAGCCCTTCCAGGCAGGGCCTTACCTTCCCCAACTGGAAAACAGGGACTTTGCTTGTACCTGTGATTCTCAAGTGATGGTGCACTCACCAGGGTGCCTCCGTATTTCCTCAAGGGCGACCTTCGTCTCCCTGCTTCCCTGCCTCTGCCTCAGGATCCTGACATTGCCTCCCTGACTCTTGCTCAGGGCTGGCTCTTTTTCATCATGAGCCACTGTAAGGTCCATTTCAGATCTGGCATCCTGTGAATGCTGTGGATGAAACATTTAGAGGTGGTCATGTCAGTCTGAAAGTGGAGCCAGGACCATAAGGATAAAAAATTAGGTTCAAAAGGAGGAATCTCACTTCGAAGTCAAGAGATATCCAAAGATGCCTTAGGATGACTTAGGTGAGAGCTCCCTTTCCAAAAGCGTGCAAGCCAAGCCTTGGCTTCACTCCTTGGCTGGGGTATAGAGGTTCTCCAAACATTGGGTGGGGTGAAACTTTGTGCCCTTTCGGCTACTGCAACCTGAGATCTGGCTGTTCTCCTGCTCTCGAGGAGTAGCTATGCCAGGCCATCACATGGTGCCCATGTGCACAAAAGCATGCTTCCAAAATGCTCACAGCTACCTTTTGGGGGACTCTGTTACCTCTCAGGCCAACAGAGGAAGATTTTACTGGTTCCTGAGATCCATAGAAAAACCAATCCTCAGTCTGCAGTAATAGTGGCCTTGCTGGAACAAGGGAGGACAGCTGAAAGAACATTGTTGGCCAGCTACATAGTCGCCATTCCTGGGACTCAGGATGGATGCAGGGTTTTTTGTGGGTCTGGGTTCACTCCCTTGGCTTCCTTGGAAGTCTGTCCTCTTTTTAATTCGGTTTGCCTTTTATAAATCTTGTCATTTCCCTCTATTCATAACTATTCTCTTTTGATCCAACCTTGGGCACCTGGCTCCTCTTTGCACCCAAGTTCTCTAAACTCAGTCTCATGCATTGAATTGCATTTGTGCGTTTACTCCTGTGAATATCCATTTCCCTGACTAAAGCTATTACTGTTGGAGAATCATGGTCAAAGGAATGTAGAGCTGGCGGATGGCTCAGCACACATACAACAGAAGGGGAAACTGAAGGCTCTGATGGAGGGAGGGCCTGGCCAAAGAGGGGGTAGGGGTAGAAGTAAGGGGTTAGGGAACTCCCTACATTGGGAGTTTTATTCTGGCAGCTCTCTTAAACTCATTGAGTCTTCACAACCACTCTAAGAGAAAGGAACTAATCTAGGAGGGTTAAGTGACTTATCTAGGGCACATGACTAAGTAGCAGAGGCAGACTACACACCCTCTAAGCCGGCTGCAGAGCCCATGCTCTTTCCACAGCCTGATTATGAGGAGCAGCTCCAGGACTAATCCCAGCTGTCTAAGTTGGTGTTTTGTGGCTCCCCACTCTGAATCCCACTGCAGGAGGCAGAAAGATTGATAATGTCTGATCCGAATGTGTGCACATAACTATATCTGGACCATCCACAGGCATGAACTTCTGGGGGTTGCAGACAGCAATTGGAGCTCTGAGATCTTCCTGACCAGGGAGTAACAGAAAACCAGCAGCTCCCCAGCTTGTTCATTAATGCCTGAGAGAGCCCCTGCCTTTCTTGCCTGCAGGCAAGGCACAGGACACTACAGAGAGGCTGGCAGCCCCTCCCCTCCCAGACCTTCCTTTCAAACTGATGCAAAGGCTGAAGAAGAAATGACAGAAATGTTTGCAAACAGAATACCTTCTCTAGCTAGTTGAGACGTGGCAGATCTAGTAAATCTGATAACATAATGTGGCTTCTAGGGCACTGGTTTAATGTTCCTCCTCAGAACCTGGAGCACAGTGAATAGGAATATAGAGAATTTGGATTTGGGTGGAAAGAGACTAGCTGGAAAGCAGGTTGGAAGAGAAGATGTGCTGGGTGTGGTGCCAGATGCTCTTCATCTGAGCCTATCATGCATGTTCAAGGGTGGGAGGGTGGGGATGTGGCTTTCCGAGTCCTGGAAGAGGCAGAGAAACAGTTTGTTCTCATGGTTTTTGTGGGCCCGTTCTCAGTAGGTGCTGGCTGACTAACAGTTGCCTGGATGAGATGATTTAGGTGGTCCAGGTGGCCACCTCGATGATCTAGGTGGGCAAGTATAAGTTTGAGAATCTATCTTGAAAAAAGTTCCAGTTGATTCTACATTTGGGAAACGTAGAATCTAAAAGGTGTTTACAAAGATTAGGTTACTACCTACTTTGTAGAGGTTGACACCTCCCTGATTTCTGAGTTGGCTGGAATGTGTAGGGGTAGGGAGAGTGGAAGATAAGAGCTTGTTAAGGGGTTTAGGGTCAAGGGCTTTCAGAAAGTGGCCCTGACAGACTCACATCCGTGTGCAGGCAACTGCAGATAACATTACAGCACTACTGTTGGTGAACTTTGGGAAAAGCACAAACAAATGGGGTATGTGCCCAAAGACTTTAGATTGGCAAACACCCTAGTTTTCACATAGGGTAAGAGGGCAGAGCACAGAGATTACAGAACAGGAGTCTGAACTTGATCCCTGCCAAACACTTGGAGAGATGATTAAGCAGATGAGTTCTGGGCATTCACATTTGAATTCAGTGATCACTGGGAACCCCCAAAGTTTCATTAAGAAAAAAAAATATGAGGACCTCGTCTAATTTACCAGGGTTATACCTTTAGTAAATTCAAGAGGAATTGCAGATGGAGTGAATTTTTATTTTGAAAAAAATATTTTATGGTCTCCTAAGGGAAAGCATTTTTAAGTGGATACTGAGCTTGTCTTCCTACCAAAAGAAAGTAGGTTAGTGACTCTGTCAGCCAGGAAGGAAGTCCCTGGTGTTATTTTAGTCCTTGTCCTATTCAATCTCTTGTTTGTTTGATTGTTTTTTAAATTCATGACTCAGGTGCAAGCATAGGGAAGCTTATCGAGTGTGTAGGTAACATTTGGAGAGCATAACTAACACCACAGAAGATGAATCAAAATTCAGAACTATCCAACAGCTTTGAATGCTAATTTGAAATCTGCAAGACAAAATGTTAGCAGGATAAATCTGGAATCTCATGTTTAGGTTAAAACAAAAATAAAGCAGTGCAAATAGGAGACCTAACTTGCTGTTTATTTGTGTGAAAAAAATGAGTTAGTTGACCACATTCTTAGTATCAGTGATACATAGCTGACAAAAATCCAAGCAATGTTATTGATGCAGTATAATACTGCTAATAACCACCAGTATTGCACACTTACTCTGTTAAACACTTTACATAAATTAACTAGTTTCATCCCCCTAACAGCCCCATGAGGTACATTTTGCATATGAAGAAACAAAGCCTCAGAGAGAACAAGTAACCTGTTCAGAGTCTTGGAATTAGTGATTTGCAAAACAAGGTTTAAAACTCAGATCTGTCTGACTCTGTGGTCTCGATAAGGGTTCAGATCAGAAAAGGTGATATATAAACAGTGTCTTGATAAGGGTTCAGATCAGAAAAGGTGATATATAAACAGTGTCTTCTGTGTGGTAAGAACACATCTAGAGTGATGTTAGTTCTGGGATCCCATTTCGAGAAGGACATTGTCTGCAAAGTAGCTGTCCAGAAGAGAGCAGCTTGCTTGTGGAGCAGTGGCAAGTTCTGATCTGCTACCAAAGAGACTTGGAAATGCCAGTGTTCAGTGCTGCAGACACCCAGGCAGGAACCTGGAAGTCATCATCCAGCATAATGCCATTATGGCAAAAGAAAGATGTTGTTGGCTTCATGAGATTAAATGGCACCATCAAGTGCAATATCAAAGTAGGCCAGATTTATTCATTGTAAGTGCACTGCTTCCTCACTAGAGCTGTCCAGCAAAGAGACAGTCTGCCTTGCAGGGAGGTGTGAGTTCTCTGTTCCTATTCAAGCAGAGACTAGATAGCTGTCAGTAAAGGATGCTAGAGAGATTTCTGCTTTAGACAGGATATTGGACAAAATTACACCCAGAAGCATGTCTAGTTCCAAGATTCCACACCCAGTTTCTGGATTCTGGGTGGTGTCTGTATTTCAGAACTGCAAGGGACACAGCATCCAGCCCAGAAGAAATCACCTCAGGAACCAAAGTGCAGGTCAGGTGTGTCCCTGGAGGAGGGAGACTGGCAATTTCGGCTCCCTCTTCTGGAGGGTAACCAGAGCATTAGTCAATGAGGAGAGTAAACGAAGTCTTATTGGGAGAGGAGGAAAGTCTCCTTGGTACAAAAGGTGGCTGAGTTTACAGCGGGGGCTTATTAAATGTCAAATAAATTTTATGAGCTAGATTCACCCATGTGTCTGCTGCTGGCTGTAAGCCAGAGACTCAAGAAACCGTGTTAACTCTTTTGGTCCTGAGATCATCAGCTCCTGCCCTTTGCTTCCCAACAGCTCCTCAGTGATCCAGAATCATTGGGCCTTGCTGGGAAGGACCAGCCTGTCCCCGTCATTGATACCCACAAAGCAGAGAGATGTTAAGCTTTTTTTCTGAAATAGTTTCTTTTTTTTTTTTTTTTTGAGACGGAGTCTCGCTCTGTCGCCCAGGCTGGAGTGCAGTGGCGGGATCTCAGCTCACTGCAAGCTCCGCCTCCCGGGTTCACGCCATTCTCCTGCCTCAGCCTCCCAAGTAGCTGGGACTACAGGCGCGCGCCACTACGCCCGGCTAATTTTTTGTATTTTTAGTAGAGACGGGGTTTCACCGTTTTAGCCGGGATGGTCTCGATCTCCTGACCTCGTGATCCGCCCGCCTCGGCCTCCCAAAGTGCTGGGATTACAGGCGTGAGCCACCGCGCCCGGCCTGAAATAGTTTCTTTAAGAGGAAGCAGCTATGGTCTACTTTCCTTCTTTGGGAGACAGATGTTCAGTAATAACTGGTTTTTGGGGCAGATCCCAAAAATGTGGTAAAACCCCCAAACACAAAGTGTCAGGAAGGTCCTCCTCCCACCCACTGCTTTTCCAGCCTGCATTGTCCTCCCTGAGGTTCCTGTCCTGGGTTCTTCCTCAAGCACTGGCTGGGCACCCATGACCCCTGCTCTCATGGAAAAAGACAACCACCCAGTGTCCTGGTCTTAGCCCTCAGAGGTCGGTGGGGCAGACTATTTCTAGTGCTCGTCAGCCTTCGCTAGTTGGTTTACTCCAAGAAACTGCCCAGTCTTCAGCCTTCCTGCTACCACCCGTGTGCCTCCCAAACCCACAACTCCAGCTCCACTCTTCTGACTCTGTCTTCAGTCCGAGTTTTCTGACCAGCTTCTAAGCACCTGCATATTTCATTTGTACATCCAACGTCTAAAACCACATGTGCCAGCCCCTCTTACAATAGGATTTCTTTCCAAAAGCCCTTCACCTGGTTAATAGTGCCATGTGATTCTAGAGGTCTTGGCATTGACTTGGATTCATCTTGTCCCTCCCTAATTCCCCACATCTGACTGCTCATCAACTGCAACCACATCTTCCTTTGAAATTTGTCTTGTCTCTTCTGCTGTTCTTGTTGCAGTACTCCGGTTGAAAACTGTTATCTTACACCTGAATTTGTATTACATAACAACCTCATAGCTATTTTTCCAACCTCCAGCCCCTTCCCCACAGCACTGCATGCAAATGCTGCAGCTTGCCAGCAAGATGAGCCCCCCGATGCCCCACTTTCAGTACATCTGTCCCCTGCTGATGGAACCATTGTCAGCTCTGTGTGTCTCATGACATCAATCCTAATGCCTCTGTTTGGTAACCAAGGCCTTCCCATGCTTCTGACTATCACTGATTCCCTCCACATTCAAGCTGGTATCACTCTCCCCACTCATGCACTGCCAGGCCTCAGTTAGCTGTGGCTCACGACACTCCAGGCTCCTCTTTTTCCAGTGCAATACGATGTGCACTTGTCCTTTCAGGCTCAAGCTGAGTTCTGATGTTTTCAGGATTCTGACCCTGAAGACTGGCACCCATAGCCTCTGCCTTTTCTGGTCTCTGCAGCACTTGCAACCCATTTCCAGATGTGGGCTCCTGATCCAAGACTATCCAGCACTGTTCTCCAGTTATTTCATATCTTAATTGCCTAAAGAAACTTGTGAACTTTGTTTTGCCGATAGTTTCCACAGTTCTTAGCACAGTGCTGGTTTGGAGTCCTGATTAGTGTTGAGGAAAAGGGTTGATCAACATACTGAGGCAGAAGATTGGATGAAGTCCCTGTATGTAAAGATCTCCAAACACATAAAACCCCTTGTGCTTAAATATCTGGACCAATTTTAGGGGAGTCACAAAAATGACATCGTCTGCCTTGAATCCAGAATGAAGAACAAAAAGCCACACTTTCTCATTGGTCTGTTCAAACCTGCTGGGACACAAAAATATTAATGACTAAATACAGCCTAATGCACTACCTCTGAAACCATACTGTGGAATTCTAGGCATCCTCCACCAGCTGGGAAGTGCCAGGTTTGTACTGGCACCCCTGGAGCCATGTGGGTATTCGTGATCTCCACTAAGATGTCCACGGTATTGATTTTGTACTTCCTGAATGCACAGGAGGCCTGGATAGAAGCATTCACTCCTCTCCCTCCAGCTTTCAATCCCCAAATATCACCTACTGTTTAAAATGACCCTTTCCAGCCCTCTTCTGCTCTTCCCTGAGACCCTGGCTCTTATAAAGGGTCTCCCCGACTTTTCAGATACACTCTACATGTCTACAACATCCCCAGAGACATGTCCCAGCCTTTTCACTTTTGAGAGCATCCTGATCTACTGATGGAAGGTCTCTGACAATGCTCAGAAGTTTCTTCTGCTTCAAGAACTACTCCATTCCATGCAACAAGGTTCTGGACAGTGGCTAAATCATTTCTCCCCAAACCTAATATATTTAAAGGCTTGGTTCATGTTTAAGATTTTATAATTCTCCTGAGACTATGGTCCTTTAAGGCTGTAGTTAATCTCAACTATAGCATAAGTGAACTTTGAGGTCAAAGAACACACATGACTGCAAAGTAGATCTTTAATCAAAATTAATAAATTAATAGAACATAAAATTAAAGATTTTTCTCTCTTTTGAGGTACTAATAAACAGCAGTTTAAATCCATACATAACATTTTTGTGCCAAAGGTATGTAACCTATGATGACAATAATTGGAAACTATAAAATATAAATATGTTAACAATATTTATATTAGGAATAATGATAATATAAAGCATTGTACGGATTACTATAAAATGCTTTACATTATAGGTATATATTACATCTGATATTATTATTACTGCCACTAATAATATTTCCCCAACACTCACAAATCTGAGAACGTTTTCTGAGCCCTGTCTCCAAATGTTTGGCTGTGCCTGACTCTGTAGCTGACTTGAATTCCTTGTTCACTGTCTGATGATTCATTGCACTAAACACCATTTTCCTGATAATTAAAAACTGCTCACTGGCAAGTGGGAGCAGGAACATGCTGATGTAGGATTTATGCAGAAACACAAAATGAGCCAAAAGACAAATGACCTGTTCTGCCTAGCTAAAGGCTTTTTTTTCCCCTCATCATCTTCTAAGATTTGGAAAGGCTAGCTATACTGCAGGAGGGAGGTCTAGGAAGATGCGTCATTCTGAGATGAGGCGGATACAGGGGAGCCCTTACGTGCTTGGTTGAGAGTGCTCAACCAAGTCACTCTCCTGATTTAGAACACAGACTGCCGCCCCACACAGAGGAGCAACACCAAGGCCACCTTCCCAGCCCACCCTATCAGACCTTAGGGGAAAGTCATTGAGTTTGAGCCATTTGTTAGACCAATGATTCACTTTTTCAGTTTCCCTTCTTCAATGTGACAATGCTTTCCTCAATTTCAGGGGAAACGAGTACTGAGTCTAATTGTTGCATAGATGCAGCCATTAAGATGTTCTAAATTGACGTTGCATCACTACTCCAGGCAGCCTTCTTGGCTTCTGGGGAAAGGTCTCAGTGACACCAATGCCCATGGCCCCAGAACAGCAGCTGTGACATCACATATATGTGTGCACACACACACACATACTTCTTAATTCTACAAGCTAGCAAAGCAGCACACCTCTCTTCGTCAGTAAAGTGCACCCATCTTCACAGTGCAGACTTTGTTCCGTTTATGTGCACTTATTTGCGCATTACTGGCCCAAAAGAATCCTGGCACCATTAAGAGATAAGCCCTTTCCCTTCTGGGAATAGCTCCTTCCTTGAACTGATTGGGGCCAATATCTGTAAAACTCATTAACTCAGAATCCTTTCCCATTCATCCTTATGTATGTCTTTACTTGCAAACCATTCATTACCGCATATTCTAGATTGTTTAATTAATTTCCATGGAAGAGTTCCTGTAGGACAGCTTAGCATACATCGTTCAAAAGCCTTTGATCTAAAATAACAAGGTAGTTATTTTCGAAGTAACTAATATAACCCTAAGCGGCTTACAACCCCCACTGCCCACCCTCCGCTTGCTTCCTCTTCCTACCTCCCCAAACACTTCCTAGAACAATTTACTGATGATATAACAAGTCTATCAGTCAGTGAGTCATCACTGTACATCAGGCACTGTGCTAGGTATGTCGTCAGCAATATGTTCTTTAATCTCACAGCCACTTTGGGAGGGAGATGTTACCGCCCTCATAGGCAGAGGAGAAAACCATGCTAAGAGGTGTGTGCCGACTTGTCACATTACACGGGGCTAGTAAAAGGTTTGGGGGCCCTGACCTCACCTGTGGGTCCCAGCATCTGGGCTGTTTACGTCCTCTCACCACAGCACAGAATTTGGGAGAAGTCATAGCTTGTTAACGCTGACCTGCTGTCCCTTTTGCATTCTGAGTGCATCTGTTGCTGCCAGTCGCACATCAGCTGGCTTCCACCTGTGGCATCAGTGTTTCTTTGCCTGACTGCTTTCCCTGGCCCTGGAGCCTCCCCTGCCCACCCGTACAACAGGCCAAGCAGCCCCTGACCAATTGTGTGGAAATATCACAGCTCCCTTGACCCCAGAGTGGGACAACTCTGAAGCATGTGCTAACCTAGACATTGCTTAGATGTGAATCTCAGGGGAATTAGGCCTGCTCAATGACCCACAGTGGTCAGTGGCTTGAGAATGCGCCTCTTATAGGCTGCCTTCCTTTCCCTATCTTACTTCCCTTCTCATCTCAGGTACTTCTTGGGATCACCACCCAGATAAGCCACTTACTTTCAAAAATCTTGCCTCTAGGGCTGCTTCTGGGGGAACCCAAGGTAAGACAGGGTGGCCTGGAGATGCTGACCTGGGTTCTCTATATGCTTCCAATCTGGTTTGACTGTTCTTACTCTTCACTTGTTCTTTATAACAAGTCAAAAAGGACTGGCACCCCCATCTCCATTTTTCTCTTTGTCCACTGTTATTAAAGCAGAAGTCTCTTCCTACACACGCACATCCCTGATATCCATCCTGGGGACTAGAATATTCTACATAAAGGTGAGGATCTCTCAATTTCCTTTGTCCAAATTTCAGTCTATATATTCTCAAGTCAGTGTCCTCCCAAAGCTTTCAAGGAGACTTCTAGAATGGTGTGAACAACCCTAAAACAAGTGACTGGGAATAACTCATCTTTCAGAAAAAAACTGTTCTGGGCAGGGCACCTGGCCCTCCTTATCTTAAAAAATAATCCCCTCAGGCCAGGCGTGGTGACTCACACCTGTAATCCCAGCACTTTGGGAGGCCGGGGAGGGGGGGTGGATCATGAGGTCGGGAGTTCAAGACCAGCCTGGCCAAGATGGTGGAACCCCATTTGTACTGGAAATACAAAAATTAGCTAGGCGTGGTGGTGCATGCCTATAATCCCAGCTACTCAGGAGGCTGCGGCAGAAGAATCGCTTGAACCCAGGAGGTGAAGGTTGCAGTGAGCCGAGATCACACCACACCACTGCACTCCAGCCTGGGCAACAGAGCAAGACTGTCTCAAAAAAAAAAAAAAAAAAAAATTCTCCTCAATGGTTTGCTGTATCTTCTGTCTTCCTTTGGATTACACTCTAGTCTAATTTCCAGTCCTTGCCTGAATTGGTGACCAAGCAACACCAGTTTAGGAGAGCTATAGAGCCATCAGAAGTTTTTTGGATGGAAAATGTCAAAACTAGAGCTGGGGGTCACCAGGGAACAAGCTGTAGTGGCAAGGGGTGGGGAACATGAAGAGGGGGGAGGTGCTAAAATGGAGCTCATGAAACCTGAGGCCTAACCTCAGCCTTGGGCCCTAGTCACTGCACCTGGAGCAGTGTGGCTTTTTTAGGCCTGCCTTCCCCTGCTGACCTGACTGTTTCTTGAATGAGACAGCAGTACCTGGCAGAGAAAGCCCCTACTCTTCCCAAGGCTGTGATATCAGACCTTGTCATTTGACCTTCGAAGCCCCAGCCTTTCCACCACCCACCACCATGTAAACAATTCCTGTACTTTGCTTAATGACGTATCAAACATGTTGAAAAATTACATTGTGAATGAATGCATTGGTTTCTTGGGTTCCATTTCCTTTTTTTTTGTTCCCTCTCCTCTACTTTTTGAATGTATTTTTTCTGCAGTGACAATTCTCTACTTTGTCCCCATGCACACCTATTTATCTTGCCACCGTATATATCAGTGACAAGGTCTATATTCCTTTATGTATTTCTCATTCACCATTTTATTTGTTTTTCATACTTCAGTGTGTCCGAAGGCATGAAGAGTCAATCACCATTTTTCTTTCATACCACCTCATTTTTTCTATGTAGACTTTGCTCTTTTCTCTATTAGTATTTTCTAAGCTTTTCTCTTCACATTTTCTCTTCTGGTGTACCGTCTTGGCACTTCCATCTCCAGATTTTTCTAACAGCAATTTCTCTCTTTGTAAAAAAATCCATCCTCTTCCCTCTTACAGCCCTGCACCACAGCCGTCAGTTATAACCTTAACAGTGGCCTCCACTCAGGAAAGTTGTCAAGTTGATAAATATTGATATCTACCCTACCATTTTACCACCACTTTTCTGCTAATGCATTTGGTTGGCATCAGTCAGCTTCCTTGCCTTCTGTGAGCACCCGGTGTGGGAACTGGTCCCGATCTGTCACTTATAAGTAATCTGTTCCACATTTCACCAAGAGCTCAAAAAAAGAAGAAAATATGGAGGAGAAGTAGAGGACAGAGAATCAGTCTAGAATGACCCAGAAGGAAGGGAGATGAGGAGGCCCAGCAAGAGGAGGAGAGGCAGAGAAAAGTTGCAGCCTGGTGTGTAGGAGAGCTCCTCCCAGGAATGCCCTTAGTGCTGGGGACATCAGCAGTGCTGAATGACAACCATGTCCTCTTTGGGATGTTAACCCTGCTTATCTCCTCCAACAAGGCTCCCCAGGGATGAAGATCTACATTGACCCCTTCACTTACGAGGATCCCAACGAAGCTGTCCGGGAGTTTGCCAAGGAGATTGATGTATCTTTTGTGAAAATTGAAGAGGTCATCGGAGCAGGTATGGCTCTTCCCTGTCTTGTTTCTGTTCTCCTGGTGTCCAAACATCTTCTTTCCACCACCCTAGATGGTCTCTTTCAGTATGAAAAGCCCCATTAGGAGGAGAGCTTCTATCTTCTTTCTCCTCAGAAGATGAGTCTGAACTATCTACATGTGTATCTAGGACAGAGAGAAAACATCACTTGGGATCTTTGGGGACCTTGACCATGGTGGCCAAGCTTGTCTGTTGTTGCAGAAAAGTCAGCTGCAGTTTTATAGATTCAGAAATAACTCTGGAAATGGACCACCAAATGCAGATAAGGTACTTAGTTGAGAAGGCTTTGAAAGAAATCTACATTTGTAGTATTCCACTTACTAACAATGATATCTCAATGGGTTAAAGTCAAGATATCTTGCCATACTGTAAGTTCTCCATTTCCTATGTACATGAATTTGAAGACAGACCATGATGAATAGAAGAGAGACCACTGTTTCCAGAAGAAAGTCAACCTATCACCTTCTTTTTTTTGTTTGTTTTCTTTGTTTGTTTGTTTTACAAAAAATCTATGGTACAGCTGGTAACAACACAAGACGAATTTCACTCTCAAGAAATGTGTGTGCCCTCATCCATCTTCCTGCACTGGAATAGAAACCCAGCCCAGTGTAAAACTCACTGCCTGAGATGCTCTCAGGAAATCATACCTAAGACTGATCTAGAATTTTCATCTTCCTTTAATGGGTTAGTAGCTGAGTCAATTTGGCAATGGACCTAGACTTATTAATGTAAATGAGATAAAACATCTCAAAAATCACTAAAAGAAATCTCATTCCTGCGTCTTATGAACCTTTTTAAAAGATGTGTTAAATTTGTTTTATTTTCTTCTGCAACATTCTTCGTCTTTTCTTCCTCTTCAATTCTTGTTAGCCATTGTCCAAGCTCTCTTCACTAATATGCTGTCATCTTTTTTAGGTTCCTAGATCTAGAAGTGCTTTATTCATATCATTATTGGGAAAGCCATGGAATTGCCTCTCTCAATAATATTTTAACTCAATAAAATATGTTTAGTCAAAGTCTTACAGCTACTTCATATATTATCTTTAGGGGGAATGTCACCATCTTTCTGTTCACTGCTCTCTTAATGCACTCAGGGGTCAAAAAGCCATCTGTGAAATTGGAAGTCACATTTGAGAGTCTGTCCCATTAGGCCGCCATCTTCCTGCTCTGGTTTCCCTCTTGAATAGCTTCGTCCTCACACTTCTTTCAGCATAAGTGTGGTGGGTGCTGGGAAATGACACACCACCTGCTCCCGCCAACCCCTCAGGAGTTTCAGCTGGGTCACCAGACTCAGATCCACTTGAGTTTATGCATATTTCCCATTGACTTTTACATTAAGAATGTTGCTGAACCACGACTTTCACTTCTGTGCAGATAATTTTCTCTTCCCCTTTAGATGCTGACATATTTAAGGATCATGCCTTGGAAGGCTGGGTACCAGATAAATTGGATAACTCTTAAGGGCTCAGATTTCTCCAGTAAACATCAAAGAGTGTTGGGGAGGCGGGCTTTCAGTCCTGTACTCTGTTTGCTCGTGTTATTAATTGTTGTTATGGCTTGTGGTAATGGTGCTAGTGACTTTAATGTTGTTATTTATGTCATGTGCTTAGAGCGATGTGTTCTGGACTGTATTTCATCCCAGAGAGCACACATCAGCCCCACCCCCACCTGCTTTTGTCAGAGGAGGAGTAAAGAGCTTTCTCACTTTATGACCCTACTGGATAGTTACAATTTGGGGTGAGTTCACCAGCTGCTGGATGCCTGTAAAAGGACAATTGATAGTTCTGCCCCATCCTTCACCTCCATTTGTGTGTAGCATTTGCCAGTGCTGCCATGTTGTGCATTCTGCTCAGAGAAGGTTCAGTCTTCTCCATGACTCATGTGATATTGGGGAGAAATGATGCATTTAGTAGTTTCTATGATGCCCAGTAGCATGACATAAAGACCTCTGCCCAGTTACTCTGCCCAGTTACCATTCTGTAGCAGAGACCCATCTCCTTGTAATTCAGAATATCCCAGAGCGAATCCTTGTGGATGTTAACTTACTATGCATAACTTCATGCAATTTTAACAGAAGACACTCCTGCAGGGAACCAATTTTTCTCCAGGTCCTTTTCTCCTCTACCATCACTCTCATTTCCCTCATACCCTGCCCCACTGAGGCTGACTCTTCAGTGCTAAAAGAGCTGGTGTGAAGGTCAAATTGTTTTAAAAGTAAGGAATTTGTTAAGGTAAGATTTATGCCATGTAACTGGCAATGTTTCTCTTAGCCACTTGAAATACTTGAAGCAGGGGGAAAACTTGGGTTGCAACATGGCAACAAAACATGAAAAGAAGAGTCGGAAGTCCTTTATTCTTCCTTTATTTTTTTCTCTCTCCCTCCCTACTTCCTCTCTCCCTCCTCTTCTTCCCTCAGGCTTTTACTGAATACTTCTTATATGCTGGATGTGGAGTTCCAGAGGCGAATAAACAGACTCAGAGGTCTGACAGATTTAGTGGGAAAAACTCAGGCCAGTAACAGTTAATTATTCCACACCATCCACACAGGCATGTATTATGCAAAGAGCAGCATCCAGCTTGCTGTTCTTGGAGGGGCTGAGCATATCAGGAAGGCTCTGCAAAGAATGACCTTTGGCCTGAGCCTTCAAGGATAAACACTAGTAGAAAAAGTAAGTTTTTATGAGGCGTATGAGAGAATGAGATAGTGACAGAAGAGGAAAACTAAATGATTTAAGAAGGATAATGAACATGACCTTCCAGCAGTGGACATGCTATGCTGGACAGCCTGCAGTAGCTTGCAAGAGCCAATTATGCACATCTGTTTCTAGCCCCATGTTTAGTGACACCATGTTGGTAGCTTGACATCAGCCATAGTAGAAGTATTTACATCATGGGAATGGGCAAATGCTACAAATCCTGAGCCTGCCCTCTGTTTGTTCTTTCGTTTCTTTTCTCTTTTCTTTTCTTTTGCTTTCTTTTCTTTTCTTTTCTTTTCTTTTCTTTTCTTTTCTTTTCTTTCTTTCTTTCTTTCTTTCTTTCTTTCTTTCTTTCTTTCTTTCTTTCTCTTTCTCTCTCTCTCTTCCTTTCTTTCTTCTTGACATCAATCATAGTGGGAGTATTTACACTATGGGAACTGGAAAATGCTACAAATCATGAGCCCCTTCTTTCCTTCCTCCCTTCCTTCCTCCCTCCCTCCCTTCCTCCCTCCCTCCCTTCCTCCCTCCCTCCCTTTCTTCCTTCCTTCCTTCCTTCCTTCCTTCCTTCCTTCCTTCCTTCCTGGAGAGCTGGTAGTTGAACACTTATAAGCACACCCCCACCCTCCAGACTATGTAAAGTTATTTCAAAGAGGTTGCAGAAGAACTACCCTGCACCAGCTAAATATAGAGCCAGAGGAGAAGGCTATGTTTGTTGCAGGAGGGATTAAGTTTACAGTTCAGAAAGATCTTTATTCATTAAACATTGTTTCTGTGCATGTGACTGGGGGTGATGCTGGAAAAATATACTCAATGCCTAACAAGTCCTGCCATGCAGGGGTTATTGTCTAAAGCACACACATTCAATGCCACTCAGTGAGAGGAAGGCAGTGATTGAGAGCTCAGATGAGGGCCCGGAGAATGTGTAGCCCTGGAGATGGGAGAGAAGGCTTGATGGCAGGAGAGGACTCAGGGAAGAGGGAACAAAGTGGCCTCTGAGGTTGTGAAGGCTTTGGATGGACTGACATTGTGTGTCACATCCTGAGAACAAGGGGAAAGAAAGTTGCTGGAGAGGGATTGCCTGTGGGTAAGTACTGAACACTAAATCTGGAGAATCAGGCCAAGATCTAGAGATCCAGAGGCTGCTATATGAATTTTATCCCATAGAAAATAGGTTTCATAGCAGGGTGGGTGAAAGGACCAAGGTTCTAGCAAGCTGAATCCTATAAATGCTGTGCTTGGATTGGACTGGAAGAGGGGGATGGGAAACAATCGCTAAAACCTTGGAGGTGGGAAGACAAGTTATGAGGTTTTGTTTAGATGTTACAGAGAGGCTTTGAGATGGTTGATGCTAGGATCAAGGCTGCATTTAAGTGACTAAGCTTATCCAAACTGGGGTATACCCAAATGAATGTGATGAATGGAGTGACTAGTGAGCTTGGTGCCTGGAGGTGATGGGGAGTCATAGCATGGAGGCTGTGATCAGAAATGAGGGGCATCAGGTTAAGGGAGAGTAAGGCTGCCTGGCACCCAGGTTGTGGGGAGTGGCAGTTGTGCATGTGAGTGAAGACCCACGGAGGGAAAGTTCAGAAATTGTGAGGCTGAAAAGTTGCATCAGCTGCCAAAGTTTCTCCTAAAGTTGTTGCAAATGTTGATCAAAGAAATAAAAATATAATAATTGTGAGCCAGGTGTGATGCCACCCAAGAAGACAATAATAAATCATTAATTATTAAGTAATTATTTGTTTAATGTTCGTCTTTCCTCACAAGGCTCAAAGTTCTATGGGAGCAAGGGAATGTATGTGTTTTGTTGGTCTGGTACCTGGCCTAGTGCATGGCACTTAAATGCTCAATTAAATATTTGTTGTATATGGCGAATGAAAGTAGGTCCTTGGAGGGAGAACATGGCAGTTAAAAATCTGGAGAACTAGGTAGTGTTTGGGAGAATGAAGAGAGACTGGACAGGTGGCATGAGATCATGAGTCATTTGATGCTCTGAAAGTGGCCCAGTAGAGTGAAGGAAAGCTGACTCTTCCTCTTCTCACTGTAGATAATGAGAGTAATTGAAGTATCTTCACAGAGGGCAGCAGGTTACCTTGGTATCTTCAGAGAGTACCAGTTTATTGTTACCATGAGTCTGACTAATAGGCATCATGTCATAGGTCAACTCCAATGCATTGGTTAATTCTGGTCAGTTTGATCAGTAGACTTGCCCAGAACATGAATCAGGGCTCTACAGCTTGAATGGCACTCCTGGGTGCAGTGTGAAACCTGTATAACTGTATGCAACAGCCTAAGCATGACTGTCAGTGTATGACTACATAGGTAAAGGTGTCACTAGAAGTTGTTGGCAGAAGAAGACATGCCATTTGTATTTTCATGAATAAATATGTCTCCTCTGACTCTAGCAGCTAGTGATTCAACATTTCCAGGAATGGATGATCATCTGGAAGAAGGAAGCTTGCAGTGAAAGGGCTGTGTGAGAATAGTTGGGATGAGGGAATGTGTGATATGTGTGGATGGGGATGGAGTCATCTGTGAGGCCAACAAAGGCCCGGGTTTCCTTGGGGATGATTTGGCAGAAAGGTCACTTGCAAGTTTGACAGTCCTGGGGTCATTCAGAGTGCAGATGGACAGCATGAGGGTAGCTCCACATTGAATAGAAGTTACGGCAAGAAGCATTTCTAGGAGAAGAAATCATAGACATGTCTCCAGGAACATAGTCAAAGTAGCTAGCATCTCTTGAACACTCACCGTGTGTCTGACAATACTCTACATCTTTCACAAGCATCGTCTTATTTAAGTCTCTTATTGCTCTGTGAGTTAGAGCATATATATCTGTATGCATGTATATTTTCTTGTAACTGGTAAGGAAATCAACATTCAGAGGATAGCTTGCCGAAGGCTGTGCTGCCAGTTAAGTTTATGATAGAGCTAGAATTTAAACCCAGCTAGAGCTGATCCAGATCTGGAGAATGTAACCCTCACATGAATGTAACCCTAGGGCTGTTGCGTATAGTTACAGAGTGGCCAGCTGCCACTCTTGTTGCTATGGAAAAGAGCAGCTCAGTATACAGAGGCATTGCTTCCGATGGCATTTTGGAATACCCATTGCTTCTCTCTAGCAGTTTTGAATACTCAAGCCTCGTTGTTGGGAATTATGATACCATCCTAGAATTCATTATTACTCTATTGTGATGCTACAAAGACTGTCCCACATGCCCTGGAGAGAGCATGGTCCTCATAGAATACCCTGGTCCTGTCTTCTGGTTTTCTTCTTCTAAGTGTGATCAGTTATCAGCGTTAAGAAGGACAACAAGGACTGAGATATTTAGCATCTTTAATTATAAGTGCTTGCTTATGAAAATAAGCTAATTACATATAAAATGTAGATGTATGTATGTGTGTGAAGATATATACACTCATATGTGATATATAGGTATGCAGTTGTTTAACAACTATAAAAAGCTACAAGAAAAGAGAAAACCATTTTCCCTCACTCTCTGGATATTAGGTATTGTGAATACCGTGGCTGTCAAGCAGGTTCCATCTCATGTGCCAACTCAGTGGCCTGGTAATGAGTATCTGAGGAACTCTGATGAAAGGGTGAAGATGGTTGTGATCAACTAATAATGTCTATCCTCTGTGCAGGGTCAGGAAGTGGTGGAGTGTGTACCATGGTTCTGCTCTCCCTGGTTTAGCCGTAACTCATTTATCTTGCACAAGCTAGTGTGTTAAAACTTGCTTGAAATCATGCTTTAAAACCTAGTTTAAATGTATTCTTTAAAAATTCCATTTCTGGTGTAAGCTTGAATTAGTAACTAGAAGCTCTGCTTTCCTTTTTTTCCCCCCAAGGCAGTTTTTGACTTCAAAATGCTGCTTTTTTAAAAAAAGTGCAATTGTGTGTAGATTTGAGCTGTGCATAACCAGAAGCTACTGCTTGAAATACCTGCTGGCAGGTGAATGTTTCGTTTTCAAAAATTGAGAATTCTTTTCTTCTGATTTTACATACAATAGTTGAGGCATTTAATGCTGCTGAAGCACTTTTTCTCTCTTCCTCATTTTGTCAAGGAAGGTAGGAAAGAGGAATTGGCAAGGAGCTGAAACTTGCAGGGAATAATTTCAGCAGCTATCTGGGATGAAATGCATAGGAATTGGTTAAATTACCCTCAGCTGACAGCCTTGAGGGCCAGGTTCTCAAATAGATGAAGCAGGCATTAGAATCACCTGGAGGCTGCTAAAACCCAGGTCACAGGCCCCACCTACTGAGCTTCTGATGCTGTGGGTCTAGGTGGGTTTTGGGAAAGTGCATTTTCTAACAAGTTCCTAGGTGATACTGATGCTACTGGTCAAGAACCACAGTTCGAGAACCACTGCTGAGCACATTGGCCACTAGACTGACCTACACCTGGATCTGGGTCCTAACCAAATAGATGTCTGGCTATAGGAGAGGACCCAATGTCAGACACAAAGATGTGTGCCAATCAAAGTCCAGTGGGACCAAAATTAGGCTGGCCACATTTACTGTCAGTAAAGAATCTGTGTGAAAAGAATCAACCACAACCACTCCCCAGCACAGTCGTTTCCTTTAAGCGTCTGTCTTAAATATAACGTTAATTCTTGAATTGCTGGAAATATTTTCTAGGTATTATGAATTTTTATTAAAAATGAAAACGTTATGGCCATGATTTGGAGCTCAAGTAAAACGAAGCTCTTTAGAGTTCAGATGATGGCGAATCGAAGTACCACAGACATCAAGTCCTGGCCCTAATTACAGGAAAATTATCAAAATGCAAAAATAGTTTCTTGTAGATACTATATTAAACTGAAGTCAAAGATCACAGGCGACAGCAATTTCTTAGATTGTAAGTGACACAGGGTCTTGATTTCCTGTTTGTTATTAATAATAGCAATACGCCCATCGACTCCTGCCTCTCTATAAGGCTGTAGGTTGTGGTGTGCTCAAGGGCCAGAAACCCAGACTTTAGCATCCTAGGCTTACCTGAAGACACCCTCCATGCTCAGGCACCTGGCAGGGAAACTTCACCATGTCCCCTGGCAAAAAGCTCTGATGTGTCTTAGATCAGTCACCATAAGTCTCAAAAGGCTGCAGAAACCTACTTTTCCTCTCTTTTCTCTTCCAGTGAGACTCCCCTACTCTGCACTCCCCCTCCCAACTACCTACTTCTGTTTTGTCTTTTTAAAACAGGCCTGGCATGGTGGCTCATGCCTGTAATCTCAGCACTTTGGGATTCTGAGGCAGGCAGATCACCTGAGGTCAGGAGTTCGAGACCAGCCTGGCCAACATGGAGAAACCCTGTCTCTACTAAAAATAAAAAAATTAGATAAAAGTGGTGGCACAAGCCTGTAATCCCAGCTACTTGGGAGGCTGAGGCAGGAGAATCTCTTGAACGTGGGAAGTGGAGGTAGCAGTGAACCGAGATCACATCACTGTACTACAGCCTGGGCAACAGAGCGAGACTGTCTAAAAAAATAAATAAATAAAGGCCAGGAGTGATGGTTCACACCTGTAATCCCAGCATTTTGGGAGCCCAAGGTGGGCAGATCACGAGGTCAGGAGTTCAAGACCAGCCTGGCCAACATAATGAACCACTGTCTCTACTAAAAATACAAAAATTAGCCGGGCGTTGTGGTGGGCGCCAGTAATCCCAGCTACTTGGGAGGCTGAGGCAGGAGAATTGCTTGAACCCGAAAGGCCGAGATTGCAGTGAGTCGAGATCACGCCACTGCAATCCAGCCTGGGCGACATAGCAAGACTCTGTCTCAAAAAAAAATAGAATAATAAATAAATAACCACCCACAAGTGTTTCGAACAGTTTGTAGTTTACAAAGCACTTTCTCCTAGACTTCTCTCAACACACTGTTGGTAAGGCAAGACAATTGGTCACTTCTTTTTATTATATAACAAGGAGAAAGCTAAGTTCTGGAGAAATGAAGGGCCCGCCAACATCCAATGTCTCAGGTGTTGTTTGCGTGTAGACATGGAGCTTCTTCCTCCACTCACTACCAATTTTCCTCCCAACTGTACTCAGGGGCCTACTTAATTACAGGGGCGAACATAATCTCCTGGTGAGGATTAGATATTAAGTGGCATTCTTTGCAGTTGGTGCTTTGAAAACCTCCTGGCTTGGAGAATATGAAGACACTTCTTTGCCAGACAGGAAAGGAATTCTTTTACAGAATTTCCATTCTTTAAGTCACTGCAGAGCAGATTTCTGAGAGCAGTGACACCATGACCACGAAGGTAACCAACCACAAAGTCCACCATGCCCTACCCAAAGAAGGCATGTTTATATTTTATAATTTTTAAAAACTGTATGATGAGTTTTTAGACTTGAAGACCAGTCACAAAGATTAAAAATTAAATAACGTTTCCCAATTAGGAAAGTAGTTTGATTCATACTGTCCTATACATCTTCATTGATTTCTTCCTTCCTTCTTTTCTTCTTTCTCTCCTCTCACATCTATAAAGTCCATACTATGTGCCAGGACCTGTGCTGTATGAGGCAGGCTATATGTGTGCTTTGCTTTCAAAAGTATTCAGAAGTACAGAGAGAAATTTCAGGAATGCCATGGCTTTTGGCAGTTCACTAATTCATTTGAAAAGAGCTTGGATGGTTTAAGCCTATGGTTTTCAGCCTGAGCGGCATGTCAGTATCACCGGGCAGCCAGGCCTGGCTTCATGGACCTGTGACTGGTGCATTTTCACAGGGCCGGATGTTCAGAAGGACATGCACTTGGTTTAATGCTCTGCTGTTACAGTATTGAAATGCTCAATAGTTTTTGAACAAGGAGTCCTGCACTTTTACTTTGCACCGTGCTCTGCAAATTATGTAACCAATCCTTTGGGCAGCTTTTAAATATGTCAATGTGCAGGCTGTATCCAAACCAATTCATCAGAATCTCTGAAGTGAGGCCCAGGCCTCTGGACTCTGTAAGTCTCTTCAGGTGATTCCATTGGGCAGCCAACTTTGAGAACCACTGAGGTAGAACAGAAGTTCTCAACTGGAGTCTTTTTGTGTGTTGTGGGGGACATCAAATTCACCTGGAGCACTTTTCCAAACTCCACACACTGATAGGTAGAAACTGATAAATACACTGATTTCCAAATATTCTGATGCCACCCAACTCCCAGGCAGGAGGCTTATGTGAAAGACATCTGCCTGTTAAACAGTATCACTTCTTTTGTTCTCACATGGATATTGAGTTGCTATGACAGTCACTATATATGACTTGTTGGGACCTGCACATTTGGGGCATGATGGTCCCTGAACTATAACTTCATATCTATGTAGCTTTATTCCCCATGTCCCTGCCAACTGAAACATAGCTATCTAGAGGCAGTATGGCAGGAAAAGATGGGTATGGACCACAGCCCTGGCTGTAACTCCCAGCTGTGTGATTGGGACATGTTTTCCTTGTGCCTCAGTTTCCTTATTATTTAAATGGCCATAGTAATACCTACCTCACAGGAGTGTTGTGAAGATTGAATAAGTCACACAAAGTGCCTAGCACAGTTCCTGGCACATAGTAGGTGGTTAATAAATACACATTTGTGTGCTGTCTCCTCCACAAAGAAATATTAACACACCTTTACCCTCAACTATCAACTCTGGCTTTTTTCTAAAAGAAAATAGAGCCCATTATTATGACAACAAGGAAGAAATACTAACCAATATTCTTCCATTAGTATACTTACCAAATATGTAATTTGTGTTCATTCAGCTCATAGTTATATATATATAGCATATATATGCTACGTATCTACATGCATACATATATGCTACATATATACATGCATACATATATCTAGACATATATACATACATCCACATATACACACACATATGTGACAGGTCTGTATTGTCTAGTACTTTTCTTTAAATTTTACTCATTTTAATTACTAAATAAGTTAAGCTATTGTAGTGTTTGTCTATAGAAGATGATGCTGCAGTAAATATATTTTTAACATACAAATTCAAATAGTGGTACTTCTATTTCTGGATAAAGCAGAGATAAGAATCTTCAGCAGTTTGTAACCCAAGAGTGAGCAAGGCAAAAGCCAAACATATAATAATAAATATGATACAACAACTTTTACTGGCATGTCTGCTATGTGCCAAGCACCACAGTGGAGTGGATGTGCAAGCTACAAACAGGAATGAGACTTGGTCTGACCTCCAGCAGTTCACCAAAAGAGTATATGATTCAATGTGAAAAGCAGTGTTGCAGCCAGGTGCAGTGGTGCACACCTGTGGTCCCATCTACTCAGGAGGCTGAGGCAAGATGATCGCTTAGCCCAGGAGCTCGAGTATAGCATGAGCAACATAGTGAGACCCTGTCTCAAAAAACAAAACAAAAAAAAAGGAGTGGAAGGGAGGAAGGAAGGAAGGGAGGGAGGGACAGAGGGAGAAAAAGGGAGGAAGGATGGAAGGAAGGAAAAAGAACAGCCCCCCCAAAACACATAGTGTTGTAAATGATATTTATCTGAGTATTAGGTCCATGTTGAAATCTTCCTAATGGTGCTTAACCAGCCTCTACTCCAGCCCCAGGTTCTATCAAGTTCTGTTGACTCTGGAGAAGTTTTGCATAACAGTCCTTTCACACAGCTTCCTTCCAATCTTTTTTGCAGCAAGAAAACAAAAGGAACTCCCAAATGAATCACAGGAGCAATGTTAACTTGTCTTTCTAATATGGCAAGTAATTTATCTGATTGCTCAGTTTGCTCCATCATTTTCTTCCAGAAGTGGAAAGTGAGAGAGAAAGTTTTCTCAGCAGAAAGCCATGTTTCTTCTGCTGCACTTACAAGTAGACACTGAACTGCTTCACATGAAAGAATTGGAAGTAACCAAGCCAAATTAAATTATAAAATAACTTTTGAAAGCATGTTAAACAGGATTCAACAGATTTTTTTTTTTTTTTAGGCAGCTATGAAATAATGTCACCATAATTGTTTCTACTCTTGGTGACTTTACTGTGAAAATGTTTCAACGCTGTGGCATGCATGGAGGTGTGCAGCTCATGCCTGTTTGGAGAAATAACTTGCTATTCAGCTGCCAAAAGTGCAGTTAGCTGACAGCCTCCAGCTGCAGCACCTTCAGGGTCGGCCCCGGCTTTCCTGCAGAGGCCCAGCTCTTCCCAGCAGCCCCCAGCCAATGACTGAGCATGGCAGGGATGTGAGGGCTGGGCTGCTTTTGCAATGGGAACTCTGCTCTGGCTCTCCCTTTGGGTTAGCTGGGATTTCATCAGGTCTGCATGGTGATCTTGGGCTGTCTCCGCCCAATCCTGCTTCCTCTCACTTTTGTCTTTCACAAGTGAACCTCTTCCCTTCCTAACTCCTCAGTGTCTGTTTTCTGGGGCACCCAATAAACACAAATGCTCTCCCAGCAGTGTAGGAACATAAACAGTATACATCTCATTCAGAGGGCCAAAGTACCTGAACATGTCTCCTATCCCCTGAATGTTCTTGCACCAGTATCTGCTAAAAATGAATCATGATCCTGCCAAAGTGAAACTGACCATTTCATTTCAATTATTCAGCTGGCACACAATGGAAAAATTAAGTGTGGGGAAAAACAAACTCACATATATTCTGAAATTCCACTTTAGTTACCCAAACTATTTCTAAGTACCAAGGTAAGGAATGTACTTTAGTAATCCTTTTGTGTTTGCCATGAACTGGTTACAGCCAAAACAATATAGTTACAATGAGAGAAGACTGTTTTAATTTCCGCCACTTTAATCACAATTCCACTTGGGGCACCATTGTTCTCCATTAGATGACTTCCCTCTTGAGTCCACAGACTGAGAAGGAAGAGGATATTAATGGCATTTTTGCTGTTGCAGGGGAGTTTGGAGAAGTGTACAAGGGGCGTTTGAAACTGCCAGGCAAGAGGGAAATCTACGTGGCCATCAAGACCCTGAAGGCAGGGTACTCGGAGAAGCAGCGTCGGGACTTTCTGAGTGAGGCGAGCATCATGGGCCAGTTCGACCATCCTAACATCATTCGCCTGGAGGGTGTGGTCACCAAGAGTCGGCCTGTCATGATCATCACAGAGTTCATGGAGAATGGTGCATTGGATTCTTTCCTCAGGGTAAGAGCAACTCAGGGGTTTGATGATGCACTTGGATGCAGGTGAATGATGGCTGGGGAGAGGGGTTCCATGAGCACAACCTACCAATCAGGAATCGCCTGATCCAGTGTGAATGGGCATTGGAGATGTTAGCAGAGATTTGTTGCTAAAAGAAGAGAACAAAACAGGGCTTGTGGGATCCTCAGGAGGAGGATGGCATGGAGTAGGGCGTTGACAAATGCTTATTGGATGAATAAAATGAATAGAGAGGGACAAAGAATGGCCATTGGCATCTGCATGAATCACAGAGATTGAAGAGACTTTTGGCTGCTGCACAGCCCTGTGTGATTCATGCAGACATCCGCGGCCATCTCTGCCTTTCATCAGCACAGCCACCCTCCCAGACTGCTCTCTGCATTTACAGGTTCAGAAGTAAAACAGGTTGCCATTTTCTGATGCCTGGGCCACCTGCCCTCTGAGGAGGCACTTCTGAGTAGGGAAGGGGAAGACTGCATCACAAGCATCCACGGGTATTTCTGTGATTGGCGAAGATTCCCAACCAACTTGCAGCAGAAGTGGGGAGTTGCTGAAGGCCTTTGGCTGGGAGACCTGTAAAAGATCATTGTCAGAATATGCCCAAAGTAGAGCCAGGCCCACAATGAAACCATTTTCATTTCTGTAGGGTATCACTGAGCACCTAGAGGAAGGGTGAATGAGAATGGCCATGATGCTGATATCTGGGGAGTGGAAGCTGATAGCTTCAGCCAGGAAGCAGAAGCTGAGAGCAGAGGGTCCAGTGGGCAGCATCAAAGAATGGGCAGAGCCTTCTGAGCAAGGACTTCAGAGTGATACCCAGTAGCTGGCTACACACATTACCAAAGCAACCAAACAATAGCTGTGGCTACAGATTAAAGGGTCAGTCATTGAAACATTGCTGGGATCACTGCTCTGGCCAGGCCCTATTCTGGATGCTGTGCCTATAGAGATAAAGGAAACCTTGCTCTAATGCTACGTAACAAATCATCCCCAAGACCTCAGTGGCTTAGCACAACAACAATTTATTTTGCTCATGAATCTGCAATTTGGGCCAGGTTTGGGAGGGACACCTCTGATCCATGTGGAGTCAGTTGCAGTAGCTCAAGGGCTGAGGCTTAGAATTGTCTGAAGCCTCTTTCATTCATATATTAGGTGGTCAGTGCCATCTTTCTAGGTGGCCTGCTTGGACTTCCTTAGAGCAAGCTGGGTCTCAAGAAAAAGCATCCCAAGAGAGGAATGAGGAATCTGTATTACTTTTGTGACCCAGCCTAGGAAGGCACATAGTGTCACTTCCAACGTAGTGACAGGCCCAGATACAAGGGGAGAAAACAGGCCCCACATTTTGATGAAGGGACATCAACTCAATGTCTTCTTAAACATGATAGATGGGAGATCTTGTTGTGTTCATCTTAGACAGTATAACCTGCCATCAATGTAGTCCCTACTCCTGCTAGTACCCAAAGCTTCTAGTAATCATTTGCCTATCTTATACTTTTTTTCCCCATAAGTTAAGTACAGATGTAGTAAGTGAAGAAGTTCTTAAATCTTCCTGGAGAATCTAGGGAAGGCTTCAAAGAGGAGGAAGAATTTATCTGAGATTAGAGAATGAGGAATTTGCCAGACAAGCGAGAAGCAGGTAGGTAGGCTGATGGAACAGCGAAACAGTGTATATGAAGGCCGAAGTAAATGTGGACCTATTTGGTAATTTATCAGCTGCTGCATGGTAGCTCCAGCACTCAGAAACAGAGCTTAGGGGCTGTAGTGTGGAAGGGTAGCTGGGGGACTTGTCTAGAAGCACACTACTGAAGCTACCTTTGTACAACAGGAACATGCTTTTTGCCCAGTCTGGGTCACTAGGAAGTAGTGGCTTTTGTTTTTCTGAGGGTGCAGGGGTGGAGAACAACTGATGTAGATTACTGAGCCCATGTACTTTCCCTAGGACAGCCTCCTTGAGGGTATGGGGTTATGCTTTGTATTTGGAAACTCCAATACCTAACACAGTGCACACCTGGTAAATGCTAGTTGACTAAAAGATTATTTCTCAAACAAAAATGCTAGGGAGTGGCACGAGAGCTCTAGTCATCCTGTGTGTACATTATCTCTCACTGTCCTTGCTGCCACACCTGTCATGTCAGTGCAATCATTGTCTATGCTTTCCTGGGGACATTCATTTATTATCAGAGATCTCATGAAGACAGTTGAATAAACAAAGTTGAATGAAGTTGAGTTGAATAAACAAAGTTGAATAAACTTGAATAAAAGGCAATGTGAGAAGGAAAAGCATTTTCTGGAACCACTGTCAAGACCCTTTTGGGAGTCATTTATTTCCTACCAGTCACCTGATTGTACTTCAGAGAGAGTCACTGCTTGATTTGGGGACTGTGATCACACTCCCCCGCTGGAGTGTGCAGGGGAACAGGGAGATTCATTCTCATGAGCCTGCGGAAAATCAAAACCCCACACTGCTGCTCTTCCTAGGGCCTGTTTTCTTTTTATTTATTTATTTATTTATTTATTTAAGTTTTAGGGTACATGTGCACATTGTGCAGGTTAGATACATATGTATACATGTGCCATGCTGGTGCACTGCACCCACTAACTCGTCATCTAGCATTAGGTATATCTCCCAATGCTATCCCTCCCCCATCTCCCCACCCCACCACAGTCCCCAGAGTGTGATATTCCCCTTCCTGTGTCCATGTGATCTCATTGTTCAATTCCCACCTATGAGTGAGAATATGCGGTGTTTGGTTTTTTGTTCTCCCGATAGTTTACTGAGAATGATGATTTCCAATTTCATCCATGTCCCTACAAAGGACATGAACTCATCATTTTTTATGGCTGCATAGTATTCCGTGGTGTATATGTGCCACATTTTCTTAATCCAGTCTATCATTGTTGGACATTTGGGTTGGTTCCAAGTCTTTGCTATTGTGAATAGTGCCACAATAAACATACGTGTGCGTGTGTCTTTATAGCAGCATGATTTATAGTCCTTTGGGTATATACCCAGTAATGGGATGGCTGGGTCAAATGGTATTTCCAGTTCTAGATCCCTGAGGAATCGCCACACTGACTTCCACAATGGTTGAACTAGTTTACAGTCCCACCAACAGTGTAAAAGTGTTCCTATTTCTCCACATCCTCTCCAGCACCTGTTGTTTCCTGACTTTTTAATGATTGCCATTCTAACTGGTGTGAGATGGTATCTCATAGTGGTTTTGATTTGCATTTCTCTGATGGCCAGTGATGATGAGCATTTTTTCATGTGTTTTTTGGCTGCATAAATGTCTTCTTTTGAGAAGTGTCTGTTCATGTCCTTCATCCACTTTTTGATGGGGTTGTTTGTTTTTTTCTTGTAAATTTGTTTGAGTTCATTGTAGATTCTGGATATTAGCCCTTTGTCAGATGAGTAGGTTGCGAAAATTTTCTCCCATTTTGTAGGTTGCCTAGGGCCTGTTTTCATTTGGGGCTCAGGTCACGGAGGCATGTTGGACACCAGCATTTCTCATGTTGATGAGCTGAGCTTGCAGGGGAAGAAAACCTGGGGGCATGAGAGGAGCACGGGAAAACAGAGGAGCAGGCATGGTAAGAAAGGAGTGGTGGGAGCAGGCAGTGCCAGGAGGAGAGGGGGAAATGAAGCGTTTCTGACTCCTCACACTGCATGGAGGCAGGTAATCTATAAATCTAATTTCAGCCTTACTACCGAACCCTGGAGCATAGCAACATTAATTGACATATCTGCTGCTTGATAAAATCGAAAAATAGGTCATCAGTTCAGTTCTACAGGGTCCATCTTCTGGGAAGTAGGATAATTTTAGGATCACTACTCAGAGAAGAAAGGAAAAGGATTAGTCTTCAATTTCTGGAACTGTTTCCTCCCCTCCAACTTCTCCTTTCCCACTGGTCATAGCGTCTTTGGAGAGTGGCTACGGTTCTAGCCCTGAATCAGCATCTGAGAGATACCATTATGCTTCAACCACACATTCAGTAGATGGTTCATTATTATCAATTTTCTAAAAATTATTGTGCCATGGATTATATAGCATACAAATCCATAATTAAATTTTTCCTTCTTGATACTCAAATTCAAGGGATTCAACCTGGTGGCTCTTCCGTAATATTAGAAACAATTCGGCTGGGCGCGGTGGCTCACGCCTGTAATCCCAGCTCTCAGGGAGGAAAGAGGCTGGAGGATAGCTTGAGCCCAGGAGTTTGAGACCTGCCTGGGCCATATAGCGAGACCCCGTTCTCCAGAAAAAGGAAAAAAAAAAAAAAGACAAAAAAAATAATAATAAGCGAAACAATTCCTGAAGCTGTGACCAGTATCCCATGGTTTAGTTAACATGGTTCTTGACATGCGCCATAAGGCCTTCTTGCCTAAAGCTTGGCTTTGTGGTTGCTGCTGGTTCTTTCACAGATAATCATAACTGGAAGACTCTTGAAAGTCGCTGAGTAATGTCAAACGGGGACATTTCTCATCAGAGAAGCTCATTCATGGGCTGCAGCTAGAAGATAGCAACCCAGAAGTCAGGAAGAGAACACCAGATTGGAAGTCCTGAGACCAAGGTTCTGCTTTGGCTTCTGCTGTGAGTCACCCTGTGGCCTGGAGCAAACCTGTTAACTCAATTTTCCAATTTATAAACTAAAGGCATTGAGCTAGATGAGCTTGAAAGGTCCCTTTCAGTTAGAAAAAATCTATGATTCATTTTGTTCAAACAAATCAAATAAGAGTTTCATTTCCTGAAGTGGATTCGTCAATGAAAGTTGAAATACCTAAATCCTTCCTGTCTAATATAAGGGCCAGCAAGTGGCTTCGGTGCATTTGCAGAAAAGCAATTTCAGCAGAAAGCACTTCATGAAGGGAGGAAAGTTTAAATCACCTCACCTAGACCTGTATTTCTTCTCTGTACTATGTTTTTACTATGTGCTCAGCATGGAGCCAGGTTCTTTCCCAAAGTCACCAAGAAATAAGTTAGTTTTTTTTTTTCTTATCTTGTTCATCTTTGAATGCTGCTGTTCATATCTCTGGAAGTTCTTTTTGGAGAATTATGCCAATCAACTGAGCATGTAACAGTTAAACATGCCAGAAAAATCTTAATATGTTTTTATCTTTAAATTTCACCAAGGTTACGAATTCAGCAGACATGACCCTACATATCTTGATATGTGGTTCTCTTGAAGATTCTAAAGAAAATGTATTGCCCATTGCAGAGTCAGCATATTCCAATGGCAAAAGCACAGGATAGGAGTTAGAAGACCCAGATAAGAGTAGCATCACTAATCCATCATGGTTCTTCTCCCTGCAAAGCTTATGCACAGCCTTTTTCTCCACACAGCGTTTGAGGCCACCATTACCAGTTGATCGGAGATGGGTTGTCAGTGGAGAAGTGATTTACCATTCTGAACTTTGATTACTGTTATAACTCAAACCCACACCGTGATTTAAGGCTGATCACATACATTTTCTGGACCTCCTTTATCTTGTCTGTGAAAACAATATAATATTGCCTGTCTTGCCTACTGCACAGGACTGGTTTTAAGGATCTAAACATATTCTGTAAGTATTATGTGCCATTCAAAAGTCAAGTGATGGATGCTACCAACATTTGTGACTAATTGAGCCAAAGTTTAGGCCTGCATCATTAGGTCCCAACCATCTCCTACAATTACAGGTGCCTATCTGTTACCTGCTGAGCTCAGCATGTGCTGAGTAGTGGGCTCCCCAAGGACAATGATCCCAGGATGTTTCACACACACACCCAGGAAGCCATGAAAACCCAGAGTTCTGGTCCCAGGTGTCCTCAGTCTCTCTCACCACACTCATCTGAGGTACAGGGGAACTGACTTGTGAGCCGTTACTTAGGCTCTGCTGATGTTAGCAGGGATCATTGCTACCGTCTTAGGATACACAAGGCACTGAGCTAGGGCCTTTCATATGTGTTATCTCATTTAGTCTCACCAGAACCCTATGAAGAACGGACACTATGTTCTTATTTTACAGATGTGGAAATAACTGCTCTGGAGGTTAAATAACTTGCCCAAGCCCACACAACCACTAAGCTGCAGAGCCTGGATCCAAATCAGGTCTGCTGGCTCCAAAGCCTGGACCTTTCCTCATTTCTTGGTCTTTTTTGACCCCAGAAACTATAAAATTTATAATCTAAATTTTAAAACAAATCAGATAATAAAGAAGTTCTAAGAAGACTTAAATGACTTAAAGCAAAAATGTAGACACATTGCTGCATGCACTTTCAACATTACTGTTCTCAAAGTTGTTTAAGCCACCCCAGTGCTCTCCCCAAATGCCATCTTTTTTAGGGAGACATTCTGTATGTGTAGACACTGTTGCCTATACTTACAGAGAGGAAATAATAGACTGAATTGAAAAAATACAATCCATGTGACTTGTGGCTGAGATACACCTCTGTAATATATAGAAATTGCATGACAACTTTCTGAAGAAGCAAATCCCCAGAGACCTACTTGGAGAAAATGCTTCGTGCTAGCAACAGCCTGCCTAACTTCTTGAGAAGGTGTTGATTGAAGTGTATTAGTGAGAAGGAAGATCTGCATCACTCACTGCACATCCAGCTCACAGATGGGCAACGTGCTGAAAACCAGTCAGAGTTTCCAAAAAGTAGCTCTAAACTTTCTTTTTGAGTTGCTTAGAAGAATCTATTATGGAGAAAGCATACATTCAATCTCCTGGGCAGGTTTGGAGGTGGTTAAAGTTAGAGTTAGAAATAGCCTGGAACTTGAAGTGTGTCAAACACAATATGTTTGGGGGCCCTTCTACTGGCAGACATCTTTAGGAGGGAGAAAGTCAATTTGCTCTATTCCTTCAATTGATCAAGGAGCATAACCCCCAGAACATGGATCCAGGCTTGCAATCTTGCATGAGGAACAGAGTTTCCAACAATTCATGCAATCATTGTTAGACTTTTTGATTGTTGTTGTTGTTGCTCCTAAGTAGAGTATTTTTATAACAGGTCTTTTATTTTTCCTTGCTTATTTTTGCATAGAAAATGCTTTTGCAGGAGCATATGCATGTGAGTGCATTGTGTAACATCTCGCATACAGTAGATGCTCAATGATGGGAGCTCCTCTCATTGTCTATGCTTTCTGCATTTCACATAAGGACTCTGGGATGCAGGTGGTGGTTGCCTTGCAGAGTGCCTATGTTTAGCAGTAAACATAGACTAGACCCCAGGTGTCCTGCTTCCATCTCTCCTCCAGTCAGAGCATTCTAATGACTAGGCTGTGCTCTACTTATAGAACATAATTCTCAGCCCTTTGGGGAGCATTTGGGGCTAGATTAGATGGGAAAATATGTTCTTGGCAGTATAGCTTAGGGTCTACTGATTTAACTGGTGTGTGCAAAGTCAAGACCCAGGAGCCTTGGGGAGATAGGAGGAAGACACTGTTTTATTCACTGAAGAGTCTGTTGTCTAACCAGAGGGAGGGCATCCACCCAAGAAACTCTGAGCCCACAAATGATAGGAGAGAGGACAGCACTGCAGGTTGCCATGAAGAGGAGCAGCAACAGCTCCCATTCACTAGGAGAGTTCCCTGTGCCAGACGCTGTGCATGAGGTTCCCCTGACCCACTGTCCCTATGAGGTAGGTGTGGTTATACCAGTCTAAGGGCTGAAAGCCCTGGGATTACCCAGAGAAGGTGCTTTACATGCTTGATTTTGGAAAGAGGAAAAGATGTATTCATCATTCATTCAACTTGTGTTTATTGAGATTTTCTATCTACCTTAAAGTTTACAGCACTGATAATACTATGGTGACCAAAAAGGACAGAGTTCTTGTCCTCCAAGAGTATAAAATCAAGCAGCAGAGACAGACAGACAGAAAGACACACACACACACGATTAAAACTTGTGATATGTGCTAAGAAGACTAAGAGTATGCACTAAACATTTGTCATGAGAAAGTGCTAATCATATTTTGGGGGGGAGTTAAAGGGATGTCCTCTCTAAGAAAGTGACATTTAAGCGGAGAACTGAAGGGCAAGTAGATGTCGATTGTTGGAGGGAAAACAGAGGGAATAGCACATGTTGAGGGCCCTAAGGCAGGAAGAGTTTGTCTTGGAAAAGAAGAAAGGGTGCCAGTCACTGTGGCTTTAGTACATTAGTGATGGGTATGGTGGCCTAAGGTAAGGCAGTAGCTGATCCCAGGCGGTCTCATGGACTGTGCTAAGGAGTTTGGAGATTTTCCTTAATGCAATGGGAGGCTATTAGATATTTTTAAGCCAGGGACTGACATGGCCTGATTTATGTCTTAAAAAGATGGCTCTGGCTGGAGAGAATGGATTGGGGGGCGGGCAAGGAGGCTGTTGTAGGTGATGGATGATGGCGACTTGGTTGGACTGGCGGCAGTGGAGATGGAAAGAAGTGAATGGGTTTGAGATGTAATTTGGAGACAAAATTGACAGGGCTTGGCAAGGAGAAGAGAACAAAACATTCAAGGAGAAGAATGGGGGATGGGAGTGGGAAGAGAGGAGGACACAGTGAGTGGCTTGGCCTGGAGCAGACAGAAGCTGACAAGCAGCAGGGCCACAACATCTCTCCCTCTGCTTAACCATTGAAGCCCGTCTTGATCCCAATGCCCTCTATGTCTTATTACAGCAAAATGACGGGCAGTTCACCGTGATCCAGCTTGTGGGTATGCTCAGGGGCATCGCTGCTGGCATGAAGTACCTGGCTGAGATGAATTATGTGCATCGGGACCTGGCTGCTAGGAACATTCTGGTCAACAGTAACCTGGTGTGCAAGGTGTCCGACTTTGGCCTCTCCCGCTACCTCCAGGATGACACCTCAGATCCCACCTACACCAGCTCCTTGGTGAGTCCTTCTTGGCATTCTCAAGTAGAAGCATGGCATGAGTTAAAGGGGACTCTACATGGCTGGGAACTGTGACAGGGCACACTGGGAGGGAATGGAACCTGAACTGAGCTCTCCACTGAAAGACCAAGATGCCAGGAGGACCATCCAGCTGGGAGAAGCCATAGCAGCTGGTTGTTCAAGCAAGAAAGCAAGCATTTGGGCTTGGACTGTGAGGAAGGGTCAGTGTCTATTATGAAGCTATAGTGTTCCTTGGGAAGAGGAAATTTTGGAACAGATGATTTGAGGGAATCCAAGCAGGTAGACACTGGTACCAGAGGCATCTGTCAGCAGAGAGCAGACCCCAGGCATGCATGAGGCCTTCAGTCTGCAGCTGGGTTGGGAACTGTGTCACTAGGTAGACTCTTGATCCCCTTCTCTCTTCTCTCTATATTGCTTCCAAATAGCTCTAAGTACCGTCAACACGATGAGTACTCTTAAACTTGTATTTCCTGCTCAGCCTCCCCCTCTACATTCTGAGCAGCTCTAATTATCTATATCCAACTGCCTAGTTCACACAATTTCATTTAGAACTTTAACAAGCCGAAAATAGAGCTTGGGATTTACTCTCCAATATCCTCTCCCTAGTCCCTCCATCTCAGTAGTTGGCACCACTTAACTAAAGAATGAAACCTAGGAATGATGTTTGATTTCTTTCTGTGTCCATTTATTTTCAATCCCTCAGCGGCCCCCATAGGGTACCAAAAAATCTATCCCTCTTTCCATCTCTACTGCCCCCACCCTATTCCAAAGCACCATTCCCTTTCACCTGGATTGTTACAGTGGCTTCCTAACTGGTGTCCCTTTCCTTTTGTCTCCTTACATCCATTTCAACAGCACCCAAAGTGACTGATCTACCTACTAACCTGTCTATCTGTCTATCCTCTTTAAACCTGCAAAAGTAATGCATAATTATTACAAAAATCAAAACAATGCAGAGAAGTAAAAGGAAACGCCAATTAGAATGGCAATCATTAAAAAGTCAGGAAACAACAGATGCTGGTGAGGCTGTGGAGAAATAGGAATGCTTTTACACTGCTGCTGGGAGTGTAAATTAGTTCAACCATTGTGGAAGACAGTGTGGTGATTCCTCACATATCTAGAACCAGAAATACCATTTGACCGAGCAATCCTTTACTGGGTATATACCCAAAGGATTAAAAATCATTCTACTATAAAGACACATGCACATGTATGTTTTTTGCAGCACTATTCTCAATAGCAAAGACTTGGAACCAACCCAAATGCCCATCAATGATAGACTGGATAAAGAAAATGGCACATATACACCATGGAATACTATGCAGCCATATAAAAGAATGAGTTCGTGTCCTTTGCAGGGACATGCATGAAGCTGGAAACCATCATTCTTAGAAAACTAACACAGGAACGGAAAACCAAACACTACATGTTCTCACTCATAAGTGGGAGTCGAACAATGAGAACACATGGACACAGGGAGACATCACACATGGACACATGTGACACATGTGAACATCACACACTGGGGTTTGTCAGCAGATGAGGAGCAAGGGGAGGGAGAGCATTAGGACAAATTCCTAATGCATTCAGGGCTTAAAACCTAGATGATGGGTTAATGGGTGCAACAAACCACCAGGGCACATGTATACCTATGAAACAAACCTGCATATTCTGTGTGTGTATCCCAGAACTTAAAGTAAAATTTAAAAAAAAGAATAAAAAATAAACTAAAATTCCCCTGAGGCAGGGATTGGTAAACTTTTTCTCAAACGGCCATCTAGTAAATATTCTAGGCTTTGCCGGCTAAGAGGCAAAATGAAAGATACCATGTAGATAATTATATAACCATTTAGAATGTAACTAACCCCTTAAAAAGTTATAAATATCATTCTTAGCTCATGAACTATCAAAAAAGGGACCAGCCAGGTTTAGCTTTCAGACCATAGTTTACCTGCACCTGCCCTGACGCATTAATTTTCAACAATTAGGTGTGCCTTCTTTGACATTTTTCTTTTTGGTCAAAAATTTGAAAATTTTTATTCTACAAAATTTGGATCATATTATGCCTATTCCTCTGTGATCTGGGGTGTCTTTTGGGCATCATTGCCGCCAAGATTACTTTTATGAAAGTTAGCAAACATTCACACTCTACCAGGAGTGTATGGTGCCGGGCTTCAGCATCCTCACCAGGCCTGGAGGTGATCCACCCTCACAAAGGGTTGCTGCTTCAACAATGAAAAATGATGCCTCATTTTTAAATTTCACATATGTCTACTTTTTTAATTTTTAATTTTAATTTTTTGATTTTTAGTTTTTGTAGGTACAGAGCAAGTGTATATATTTATAGGGTACATGAGATGTTTTGATACGGGCATGCAATGCATAATAATCACATCGTGGAAAATGGGGTATTCATTCTCTCAAGTATATATCCTTTGTGTTACATACAATCCAATTATACCCTTTTAGTTATCTTAATTAATTAAGTTTTTTATTTTTTTTTATTTTTTGAGACAGAGTTTCACTCTTGTCATCCAGGCTGGAGTGCAATGGCATGATCTCGGCTCACTGCAACCTCTGCCTCCAGAGTTTAAGCGATTCTCCTGTCTCAGCCTCCCAAGTAGCTGGGATTACAGGCACCCACCACCATGCCTAGCTAACTTTTTTGTATTTTCAGTAGAGATGGGTTTTCGCCATGTTGGCCAGGCTGGTCTCGAACTCTTGACCTCAGTTGATCTGGCCACCTTGGTCTCCCAAAGTGCTGGGATTACAGGCATGAGCCACTGCATCTGGCCTATTTATTCATTTTTTTGAGACAGAGTCTTTGTCACACAGGCTGGAGGGCAGTGGTGCGATCTCGGCTCATTGCAGCTTCCGCCTCCTGGGTTCAAGCGATCCTCCTGCCTCAGCCTCCTGAGTAGCTGGGACTACAGATGTGCGCCACTATGCCCTGCTAATTTTTTTTTTTTTTAAGTAGAGAAGGGGTTTTGCCATGTTAGCCAGGCTGGTCTCGAACTCCTGGCCTCAAGTGATTTGCCCGCCTCGGCCTCCCAAAGTGTTGGGATTATAGGCATGAGCCACCATGCCCAGCCTCTTTCAGTTTAAAATGTATAATTGAATTATTGTTGACTATAGTTACCCTGTTTTGCTATCAAATACTAGGTTTTATTCTTTTTTTTTTTTTTTTTTTTTTTTTTGGTATTTAACCATACCCCCTACCACCACCCCCTACCACCACCCTTCCCAACCTCTGGTAACCATCCTTCTACTCTCTATCTCCATGAGTTCAATTGTTTTAATTTTTAGATCCCACAAATAAGTGAGAACATTTAATGTTTATCTTTCTGTACCTGGCTTATTTCACTTAGCATAATGACCTTCAATTGCATCCGTGTTGCTGCAAATGACAGGATCTCATTATTTTTTATGGCTGAATAGTACTCCATTGTGTATAAGTACCATCATTTTGTTTTAATTTACATTTTCAACTGACTGCTAGTGACATTGATATCTTTTCACATGGTGCAGGGATTTGTGTTTTCTATTGTTTGTACGTGTCCTTATCTATTTTTCTATCGGGTTGTTTGTTGATTTCTGAGAAACTTATAGAAAGTCTTTTTATATTACAGACATTACTCCTTTGCCTGCCATGTGTGATACAATTTATCTTTTCCCCCATCTGTTATTCCTTTATACTGTTTATGATACCCTCTGGCTTATAAAGTGGTTAACATTCATGTAATAGCTATGTCTTCTTGGGTTACCTGGTTTATTTTAAAAGTTATGTTCACTCCAAGGCTATAAAATATTTCCTGGTTTCCTGGGCTATTTTATTGGGAAGGGGGTTTGTTTTATATTTGAATATTTAGTACCTGTGAAATGTATTTATTTTTCCCACATTTTATTTTGAAAAATTTCAAGCACACAGAGAACTTGATAGAATTTGGCAGAGAACAGTCATATGCCTACCACCTAGATTCTGGAATTAATATCTTGGTACATTTGCTTTATCATGTAACTATCCGTCTATCCATCCCTCTGCCCATCCATCACACCATCTATTGTTTTGATGTATTTCCAAGTGATTTGCAGACATCATTACATATCACCCCTAGCCATTTTAGCATACATGTCTCTAACATGTATTTGTTTATGGTTCTTTTTTAAGGTAAAGTGTGCATAGAGTAAAACTCACAAGTCTCAAGTGTACATTTATAGAGTTTTTAAAAATGCGTGCAACTGTGTAACCCAAACTTTCATCAAGATACAGAACATTGCCATCAAACCAGGAATCCCCCTAACCTCATCCCTCCCCATTGCATCCTCACCCACATCCATACCCAGAGGCAACCACTGTTCTAATTTTTTTGACCATCAATTGGTTTTATAACTTCATATAAGTGGAATCATACAGCATGTGCTTTTTTGCATCTGGTTGCTTTCACTTGCATTATATTTAAGAGAACCGTTCATGTTGTGTGTGAAGCAGGAGTTTGTTCCTTTTATTGCTGAGTAATATTCCATGGTTTATTTGTCCATTCACTTGTTGATAGACACCAGGAATATTCCGGAATTCATTTTTGACTATGTATTGGGAAGTATATTCTCACACTGTTTTGTTCAGGTGAACAATTATGCCAGCACTACTTATTAAATATATTATTCATTTTTTATTGAATCATATGTCATCCTTGACATATTAAGTTCATTATATGAAACTATGTTTTGATTCTCAATTCTGCTCTTTTAATCTATTTATTCTTATGCTCAACCGTGTTGTCCTGATTATAATAATGTTAGCAAAAGTTTTCCTGTCTGTATTCTGATTATAGTAATTTTATTAAAAGTCTTACTGTAGGTTGGGCATGGTGGCCTGTGCCTGTAATCCCAGCACTTTGGGAGGCCGAGGTGGGTGGATCACCTGAGGTCACGAGTTCGAGACCAGCCTGACCAACGTGGTGACACCCCGCCTCTACTAAATCCAAAAAATTAGCTAGGTTTGGTGACTCATGCCTGTAATCCCAGCTACTTGGGAGGCTAAGGCAGGAGAATTGCTTAAACCTGGGAGGCAGATGTTGCAGAGAGCCAAGATTGCGCCATTGCACTCCAGCCTGGGCAACAAGAGGGGAGCCCCATCTCAAAAAAAAAGTGTCTTACTGTCTGGGTAAAGCAAGTTATCCTTCATTATCCTTCTTTTAAGAAAAAAAAAAGCTTCCTTGACTGTTCTCAAATATCTTTTCTTTCAAGTGCAATTTAAAATCTTCCTGTCCAGTTTCAAAACATGCACATATACATGTATACTCACATGTGGATTTTGACTGAAATTCTACTCTGTCTTTAGGAAGATTAACATTTCAATGATCCTAAGTCACCTAAATAATGATGTCAGCCAAATATACAATTTACATATACACGACATTAAAAGTTTCTTTGGTAAAAGATTTCCCACGTTATTTTTCTGTACACATTATTTGGATTACTTGCTGTGATAAGTGTCTTTGTAGATGATAGAGCTTATATGTTTCTAGGCCTAAGAGTTCTCAGGATTCTACACAGTGATATGGCCACCTGTCTCACTATATTTTACTATCATTTCTCCACACTTTGCCTTTTATTCAAAATAGAAAAAATTATTTTTGATTATTAAGCAAATATTTTTTCTAAAAATACAAACAATTTATTCAAGTGACAAATATTTATTGAGTATCTACTATGTGTCAACATTAGGCCACAAGCTGGGGACATAATCATGATCAAAAGGAGACATTGTTACTGCTCTCAGTTAAGTGAGGACTGGGGACATTAATCAAACACATGCCCAAATGAGTGCATAATTACCAGCTGAAATAAGGGCCGCTATGTTTTGCGAGAGCATGCATAAAACAATAAATAACAAAATTGCCTAACTGTGTCTAGGAGGGCTTGCAGAGGAAGAGATGGTGCTACAGCAGAGACTTAAAGAACAGTCACTGTTTTAGTCAGCCTGGGCTCCCATAGCAAGCTACCACACCCTGGATGGCTTAAACAGCGGTCATTTATTTCTTGTCATCTGTAGGCTTGGGAGTCCAAGATCAAGGTGCTAACTAGGGATGGTTGGATTCTTATTGAGGGCTCTATTCCTGGTTATGTCCTCAGATGCCTTTTGTTGGCATGTGCACAGAAAGAGAGATCTTGCCTCTTCCTCTTTTGAAAGCACATCAATCCCATCTTGGGGACTCCACCTTCATGACATAAACTAACTGCAGTCACCTCCCAGAGGCTCCACCTTCAAATATCACCCAATTGGGGATTATTAGGACTTAAACATATGAATTTGGGGGACACATAAACATTCAATCTACAGCATTCTGCCCCAACTAAATGTGGCAGGTCGGACTTCAGAGGCAGAGAGGCAGCATATACAAAGGCCCTGTGGCAAGAGGGAAGATGGAGTGGAACTGAGAAGGGACCCCTGTTTAGGGCATTTGGAGATTTAGGGAGGAAGCATCCAAGGAGGCCTGTAGCAGTCCATCATGTAGGATCTTCCCCAAACGCTGTGATAGGAGTTGCAGCCTTAGAGCAATGGGAAACCTTTCATGACGTGTGTGTGTGTGTGTGTGTGTGTGTGTGTGTGTGTGTGTGTGTGTGTGTTGTGCACACAGAGAGATGCACACGTGTGGCCCGAAAGTGATGGATTTGAATTTTAGAAAAATAGCCTGGCTTTTCCTTAGCCTTTTCCTTCCAATATCTTTCCTTGCCTTCTTTAGAAATAACTTTCTTGGATTTCTTCCTGTTTTCTTTCACCAAAAAGCCATTAAGCAGACTCAACCAGGGTAGATGTTCTAAACAAGGGAGGCAAGCCCTAGCAGAGATCAGGACCCATGTGTGAATGGGCTGCTGGCTCAGCAAGATTGAGAGACAAGCTATATACAGGGAGATTTAAAAATAAATTTGAAATAATGGAAACTGTGGGAACAGAGGTATAAATATGGAAAGCATAAAAGCTAGAATGAATTGTATGCTGTGGAATCAAAATTGGAGGTATTAGTGTGAACCGGTGGTTTTAAATATATAGAAATGGAGAAATAAATATAGGCTGAGAGTGGCTTTGAAGCAGTAACATCTACATAGCAAGGAGTACAGCTGGCTCTCAGATCTTGGATTCCATATACTCCCCTAAAAGCAACCAGGACTCATTAGAGACATGGCCCCTTCCAAGGCCTGGAGAGGGAAAATGTGAGATGAGACCAACACATCTTTTTTTTGTGCCAGAAAATGAGAAAGTACTCAAAGAATAATGGGAACATACAACAAAAACAACATCCAGCTTGAAGGGCCTCCAAATCTGGATAATTTGAGCCTCACAATATATAATAATAGTAACAAGTTATAATCTACTGAATAAGATGGGGGCTATTGAGTCCACACTAATATGCATATAAATGAACAAATAGAAACAAGAGAAAGCTCTTCCCTGTAGAGGAAAGAATGATGATGTTAGAAACTCACTATTTGGCAACCATCAGATTAATAGCTAATTCAGATAAGAAACATAAATGGATGCTTAAACTTAAGGTGAACATCAGGAGAGAAACAGGATTTTACATATCTTCAAAGTTTCTCCCCCCAAAATATTTATTTATTACAAAGAGGGAGAAAGTAACTTTACAGAGAAGTTTGGCAAATGCCATCTGAATCAAGTGATTAAAGTCAACATCAGCAATAATAGGACAGGTAAATATTCTGTGCAACTTAGAGGATGCAATGAAAAGAACATAATACTTGCAATACTCTGTTCAAAATTTATAACTTGGGTCTCATCATGAGAAAACATCAGACTACCTAAAACTGAGGTACATTCTATTGAATGTGTGGCCTATGCGCTTCAAAAAATGTTAGGGTCGTGAAAGTCAAGGAGACAGAGAAACTGCTCCAGATTGAGGGGCATGATACTGGGTATACCATGTGATCCTTAACAGGACATCTCTAGGACAATTGTTGGGCTGGAATAGGGTGCCTAAGGGAAGAGTGTACAGGCATTCATTGTAGTATTCTTGCAACTTTTATAGATATTTGAAGTTGTCTCAAAATAAAATATATATATTTTTAAATTTACCTTGACTGCAGCATGGAGGATGGGTGGGAGAGGCACTAGTAGAGACAGGAAGATGCATCAGGAGGCTACGGGGCAATGGGCCTGGGATGCAGCAAATGAATCCCAGAAGTTCTAGTGGGGTGATGCAGAAGGACTTGACAGCAGATGCCACTTACAGGTGAAAGTGACAGATGGCGGAGGATGACTCCAAGTATCCAGCCTGTGCCTCTGGATGGGTGATGGCTCCATTCTCTGAGAGTGAGGATGCTGGAGAGAAATTGGTTGAAGGAGTAGAAGAGTTGGGAATAGATTGTGGGTTTGGTTCAGAATAGTTATTCTCAAATTCTCAATTCTCAAATTCTCAAATGTTGTTGAGTATCAGATTTACCTGGAGAGTTAATACAGAGCACAGAGGCACAGACTCATTGAAGTAGAATAGTCTGGACCTTTTCATTGTTACTAAAATTTTCCATATGATTTTGATACTTAGAAAATTCTGAGAGACACTTGTTTAAACATTTTGACTTTTATATGTCTATAGGATATCACAGTAGAGCTGCTGAATAGGGAGCTGAATATGTGGGTTTGGGGCATAGAGGAGAAGTCCAAATGAAGATGCACATTTAGGAGTCATCGTTGGCATACAAACAGAAACAAAACAGTGCGTGCAAATGTACTTCATTTGGGAAAGGATAGAATGGGAAAAGAGCCTGGTTCTGGACATGAAGGAGCCCAGTTTGCCAATACAGATGTACATAAGATAGGAACAGTAGCTGTCCAATTGTCCCTTCCTCCTGACAGTCAATTAAGAAATAAGAATTTGCCATAAACCCAACCTCCTCACTTTTGGATGAGGAATCCACAGCCCAGAGTGGTCAAGTGAGTTACTCAAGCCACACAGCGTGCTATTGCAGCGGCAGCTTTGGCCCTTCCATCTCGTTCTCCAGACTCTGAGTCCAATGCTCAGGACACTGTGATTCCCTCTCTGGCCCCACAGTGTGCCAGACTCCCTGCTCAACTTTGGTCATTTGTGATGTTCTAGAAAGCCTGTTTCTCTGGCTTTACTTTTCCCTCTTTTCCTCTCAAAGGCCCAGCAAAGGATTCTCTGTAGAGTCCAAATCAGCCGTCATCTTTGCCACTGGCTCTACTGGCCCTTGGATGAGGCACAGAGACGCGGTGGTATTGCATCCCTCTCCACCCCATGTACAGGCAGAGATGGGCAGACACTTAACTTTTACTTATTCTTGATTTTCAGCTTTACTTCTTTGCATTTACTTTTTTCATAGTTACTCTAGAACTAACATAATAATATGTAACATATGCATATATAATATATACGTCTTAATTTTTCCTAGTCTACTTTGAGTTCATATTGTACCACTTTACATAAAATGTAGAGACCACATAATCATATCATATAGATCCATTTAACCATCCACTCCCACTGCTCTTTATGTTATCATTGTTATATATGTTCCATCTACATACATTTATAGTCCCAAAGACAATGTTACAATTTTTGCTTTAAACAGCCATGTGTATTTTAAAGAAATCAAGAGGAAAATGTTTTACATTGCCTCAAAATAGTTATCATTTCTCTTGTTCTTCCTTTATTCCTGAAGATCCAGGTTTCCCTCTGGCATCATTCCTTCAGTCTGAAGAACTACCTTTAACATTTTTTGTAGTGCAGGTCTCTGGCAATGCATTTCTTAGTTTTCTTTATCAGAGAAATGTCTATATTTTGCATTTATTACTGAAATATATTTTTGCTAGATATACACTTCTGGTTTATAGTTTGGGTTTTCTTTCATCACTTTAACATTGTTGTTTCATTGTCTTGTGGTTGCCATGGCTTCTGATGAGAAATCCCACAGTTACTTGAATCATTGTTCTCCTACATATATATAAGTATGCACACACACATATATATTCATATTCGTATACGCATTGTGTCATATTTCTCTGGCTGCTTCCAAGATTTTCTCATTATCTTTAGTTTTTACCTTGGCTATGATATGCCTGAGCATACTTTTTTCCCCAAATTTATCCTGTTTGAGGTTCCCTATGCTTTATAAGATCTGTAAATGTCTGTCTTTCAGTGTATTTGCAAAGTTTTCAGCCATATTCTTCAAATATCATTTTTGTTCTTTTTTCCTCCTTCTGGTAGGGCTGCAGTTATCTAGAGGGAGAAGTTTTGAAAATGTTCCACAGGTTCCTGAGGCTCTGTTCATTATTTTCCCTGATTTTTTCTTCTCTTTTTCAGGTCTACTTTCAAACTCATTGATTTTATCATTTGCCATCTTTGTTTTGTTTCTGAGCCCTTCCGGTGACTTTTTTCTAATAATTGTATGTTTTAGAGCTATATTTTCTAATTAATCCTTTTTTATAGTTTTCAGAATCTCAGCTGATATTTTATCTTTTTATCATTCATAAGCATATTTTTCTTTACCTCATTGACCATAGCTACCATAGCAGCTTTAAAATCTTTGATAATGTTAACATCTGGGTGGTCCTGGGATTAGCATCTTATTTGTTTTTTCCCATGAAAATGGGAGACATTTCTCTGGCTCTTTATACATCTAGAAGTTTGGGATTATAAACATGAACGTTATGATGTGGTGATTGGATTCTGCTACACTGAACCAGAGTGTTGGTATTTTTGGTTTAGCAGGAAATTAACTTGGTTAGACTCAATCTGTAAACTCTGTCATGTTTGCAGTGGGCAACAGCTCTTTATGGTTTTCAATCCGTCTTATACATGCGTGTTTCGGGGGTCAGCTAGAAAATTGGGAAAACTTTATACACAGAATTTGGTATTACCTTTCCCTTGTTATCTTGTTTCTAGGGATTCTCCCTCAACTCTCCAGCAGCCCTAATTGTGCTGAATTCGTTCCCTTGGTTCCTCCAGTCAGAAAGACAGTGGGGTTTTCTATTGGGGTTTGAGCCACTGAGCAGACTATGGCTGCCCTTAGGGAAAAACTACAGAAGATAAAACCTTGTGCTGTTCAGTTTCCAGAAACTTCAGTTCATTTTTCCTGTATTTTCTTTTTCCTTCTCTTGTGTTTTTCTTCCTTTGTTGTTTGCTAGAGTCCATTTGTTAGAAACATACTGGACACCAAAAGTGGAACATTCAGCTTATCCCCCTAATCAGCAGTTCTATAAGACAGTACTTAAGACCTCTCTACTCCATCTTAATTCCCCTATTTTATGCAGTTCTTTCAAGATCTTTTTAACATCACCATCTTCTAATACATCTGGTTTTACTTTGTAAGTGAAGACCTCGTTAATAGCTATTAAAGTTTTCTAGTTTTTCCTACCAGGTCCTCAAACTTCATCTCTCACTCTGCCTTAATTCTCCACCTTGTTTTCCCCCAGGTGTTCCTTCTGTTTTAGATCGCTATTTCTAGCCCCAGGAGCATTTCCTTCCCAAGAAGCTCCTGAAATAATGAACAGATCGAATTTTCTCCTTTGCGCTTTCTTATGATTGGAATAAATCCACTAAACTAAGGAATAGTTCTGAACTGCTACTAATATTCCTGCTCTTTAAGAGAAACAGACAAATGAGCTAGGCTGGACTCTGAACACTTGCATGGTTTACGCAACTTTGTTTTTGGCAGGTATATTTCTGAATGTCGTTATGTGTGTTCAAATAAACATTCCCATGCTTCTGTTATAGACTAGTTCTTGATGTTTGACCTCACAGGTCACCTTCTCATTATTACTGGTTCTGTCTAATGTTACCAAGAGAAAAGAGGGCATGCACATACCAGGAAAGGTGTCACATCTTTGATTAACTTATTGCATTTGGAGCTCACGTACACACTCACAAACTTGATCTTTACCTTTTATCAGCTGACATTGGTGGGCAGAGCTCCAACAGGATCCCACAAATCTCTGGATAGCAGCTTTATGCTGGTTAAATCAAAAGCTCTATTTCAGCATGGCTTTCTTTCTCTTCTGATCAGTAGGAAGAGGCCCATCCAGTCCCTCTGTGAGCATAATTTTCCCTTCTTAGTATTCAGTCAAGTTCCTTCTGCTAAAGTAGTGTCAACTTTCCCATCCTTCAGAGCCCCCAGGCTGTCTCTCCAAGAAGCCTCCAGCTTTGCTCGAGCCTTCTGCACAGCCGTGCTCTCTGCAGGCCTCCCTGTATTATCATGAATTGCATTAAGTCTTCAAGGCGCCTCTGATCTCCCTCAGCCCCTTCCCCTTTGACTCCTCTTGCAGCTCCTTCCTCTTGTCTCAAACTCCCGGTTCCTCTCACACTCTGTGTTTCTGCCACTTCTGAGACTCCCTTTCTTCCAAGCCCGCCAGTTCCTCCTCCTCCTTACTTTCTCTCTTCTCATGTCAGCTGATGTTCTCTGCCCTGCTGCTGTTTCCTTCTGGGAACTGCAAACAGAACCATTCCTTGGCCATCTGCCCCCTCCTCTCAGGCCATTTGCCCCCTGTGCTCTTGTCCTTCCTGGATCATTGTCCCTTTGTCAGCTCTTCCTCACATGCTGCCCTGGTGGTTGCTGCCCCTCTTTCCCACATTAACTGCTTAGATCCACTTGGGGACAGCTCAGCTCTTCCATTTCCTCTAGAATCTGCTCCATCTGCATCAGACTCATTTCTGGTACTGCTCTAGGGCACCAGGCATGAAGGGTCCAGCCTCCCCTCATGGGACAAGGGACAGCCTTTCTACAAGGGTAATCTCTGTAAGCACCTGGTGCCATGGCCCATCCTGAACCTGCTGGAGGAAGCCAGGCCTGTCACTCATGTGCGCTCCAGAGGTCTTTGTTCTGTGACGAATTTCAGTCATCCCAGGTCATGGTGTAGGCAGCACCCTCATCTCACCACCACCAACCCCACACACACCCATTATCCATTATTCCCATGAATTATTGTCTCAGCTGCAGCCTCCATCCTCGCTGTGCTTCCAGGAGAGAGCATGCATTTCAGCCACAATCGCTTCCATGCTGAAATCTGTAGGGCCCTTCCTTTCACAAAATTCGGCCTTCATTCATGATATTGTACTGCCCAATTGATCCCTGTGTTCAGCAATGTCGCCTGAGAAAGGGGCAAAAAGACCATTTCTAGAACTTTCTTTCCCAGCATGGTGTGGTGAAATAGTTCTTTGGCATGGTACGAGGAATGCAGGGTTTGGATCACACTATGCTTTATGAACTTGGGCCTAGTTCTCTTCATCCATAAAATGGGGTTTGTATGATTTTGTTAGATTTGTAAAAACCCATCTGATAAACTGGTGAACATGCTAGGACAAGTTCCGTCCTGGTCACAGCTTATATGAGTGTTGTGGATGCTACCATAAGTGCTTCCCCATCTCTCAGAATCCCTATCCCATGGCAAGAGATGGCAGATGTACAGTTTTCTTTTTTTCTTTTTTCTTTTTTTTTTTTAAGACAGAGTTTTGCTCTTGTTGCCCAGGCTGGAGTGCAATGGTGCAATCTCGGCTCACCGCAACCTCCACCTCCTGGGTTCAAGTGATTCTCCTGCCTCAGCCTCCCGAGTAGCTGGGATTACAGGCATGCGCCTCCATACCCAGCTAATTTTGTATTTTTAGTAGAGACAGGGTTTCTCCATGTTGGTCAGGCTGGTCTCAAACTCCCGACCTCAGGTAATCCGCCTGCCTTAGCCTCCCAAGCTGCTGGGATTACAGGCATGAGCCACCACGCCCGGCCCAGATGTACATTTTAAAGCTAACTAGCGAAAAGGATCCTATAACTTTCTCACTTTCCAGTCACTCTATAACAGAAAACAATAAGGCAGACAGCCACCAGAAATCCAGAAAAGCTGATATTCGCGAAGGAAAATTGAGGACCTCGTGGCAGGATCACCATGGGAAAATTCTGAGGAAACCCTGTCAAGAGAGAACAGGGGAAAAGAAACTAAAATGACTGTGTCCATTGAAACCTGTGGTTCTCATGCTTCCCTGGGGACCAGAGTTTCCTGGAGGGCTTGTAAAGACACAGACTGCTAGGCCCCACCCAAGAGTTTCTGATTCATGGATCTGAGGTGGAGCCTTGGAATCTGCATGTCACGTGAGTTCCCAGATGATGCCGATCCTGCTAGTCCTGGAGGCCACTTGAAAAACCTCTTCATTGAAACCGTTTCAGGGAGCATGAATTTTATTTCACAAACTTGCATTGTAAGAAATGTCAATTACCGTATTTCTCAAAAATCCAAGTAAATCTGACACCAAATCCCCATCCTGTCAGGCTGGAAAAGAAAGTATATTTTCAGTCATCTTAGAACTTCTCCTTCTCCAAGCCCAGGGAAGCATGAAGGCCCCAGACCACACTTGGGCTCCAGCATCTTTTCACGGGGTGGCAACACCTGTGCTGTGACTCAACTTCCCAGATGCCCACCCAGCCATCACGTTGTCTGAGACCGAGGAGACAGCGAGGGCACAGGGCCAGTAGGTGCCGCCAGCACAAAGCTCCACACCAGCATCTACCTCTAGGTCCTGGGACCCTCATTCTGATGCTGCTACATCTGCCCCCATAACAACCCATTTCCCAGAGTCTGAACCCCTCCCCTCATCCATCAACTCTTTTGTGGAAAAGAAAAAGCAAAAACCTATCAAATCAGCCCTGGAGATCCTGAGGATTGGTATGAAGGAGTTGGAGACAGGTGGATAAAAATTACCCTCAGTCTTGAGCCGGGCACGGTGGCTCATGCCTGTAATACCAGCACTTTGGGAGGCCAAAGTGGGCAGATCTCTTGAGGTCAGGAGTTTGAGACCAGCCTGGCCAACATGATGAAACCTCATCTCTACTAAAAATAAAAAAATTAGCCAAGTGTACTGGCACTCGCCTGTAATCCCAGCTACTTGAGAGGCTGAGACATGAGAATTGCTTGAACCCAGGAGATAGAGGTTGCAGTGAGCCGAGATCATGCCACTGCACTCCAACCTGGGCCACAGAGTGACACTCTGTCTCAGGGAAAAAAAAAAAAAAAAAAAAAATCACCCTCAGTCCTGAGATTTTTCTACACCACTGAAACAAAAATATGCAAATTAACACCTCAATCATTTCCATTGTTATGCATCTATCAGTGAACCAGATGCCCTGTTAACTGGGGTGAATCTCAACAAAGAGGACTTTCTTGCATCACTTTGGTTGCAAAGCCCCATCTTTTCTAAGTAAATCACTGTTCAAGGAAAGAAGGCAGTTCGGTGTGCCTGATGGGGGTCACCTGTGTCTGGAATTAAAAGGTCTTTTCTCGGCAGGGAACTTGCTAGGGTGTCTTTCAAAGAGGGGATCCATAAGAGAAAAGGTCAAGAGGATGCCAAAACCTTAGCCTTAGGGGCCATTCCCTTCCTCCTGCCAGGCCCTAGACCTGACCTGCACAGGAGATGTGGGTGCCACAAACAGCCCGAGACCTTCTTGGCTTTGACACAGCCAAGATGAGTAGCAGACCTGCCACCACTGTCCCTGGTAGCAGCAGGGCACTGAGGGCAGTGCTGAGGATAGGCATCACCGTGTCCACACTGCCCAGACATTGCCGCTCCACCAGGGACCAGCAGTGCTATGCAGAGTCCTCATGGGTAGAAAATGGTTAGGGTTAGGGGAACTCTGTGATGAGGACAAAAAGACTGTGAACTTCCCCTAAAGCCTGCAATGAATAACTCCCATCAGTACCACACACACACACACACACACACACACACACACACACACACACGCACACGGGGAGAGAGAGAGAGAGAGATGTGTGTAGTGTAGTTATGCACATGTTGTTACGCAAAGCATAGTTAGAGATACACAGTGAAATTCAGAGCGATGTACACACAGAACTATACGCAATCACCCAGGGCTACCCAGAAACATACAAGTACAGGCACAAACATTCCGAGTAGGCACCAGGTAATAGCTGGACTTTTTTCTCTCATTACCCCTGAGCAGTGAGTTTGACTGCAACAGTACTCTGTTTCAGATTTTTTTAATAATGCACTTAGTACATTATAAAATGTGCAAAGAAAGCAGAAAATTATCTCCAAGATAATCCTTTCTGCAAGATTTTCAGGAAAAAGCTGTCTGCACTTTGCTGCACCACTGTAAGAAGTTGCTTCTCAGTCGGGTCGATCCATCTGCCTGATAGATTTTGGCTAAGGCTATGACCTTCATCTGTCAGAACGGGCAAGGTTTACTGGCTTTCTGTCCAGTGACCCCAGGTCCAGCTTTACTTCTCCCCATAGCTCCTGGCAGTATTTACATTTAAATCATAGTTTTCTTCTCTTCTGATTCATGGCCTGCCTCATGAGGCAGTTTTCAAATTATGATTTCTTACTCATCTTTCAATCATTGAGCTTGGGTAGCAGGGCTGTCTCTTGGGTGGGTAGGAAAGTGGAGAGGGATGAAGACAAGCAAAGACAAGACAGAGAGACCCTTTAATTGAAGCCAGGATAAAACTGAGTCCTGGTCCCCTGGAAATTCTGCTCTAACATTAATTAAGCTGAGAGTAAAATAATTCAAATGCCACTCTATCCCCTTTTCCACCACTCAAATAATTCTTCTTCAGGCAGATTTGGCTCCTCCTTGCTCTGATATCTCTCCCTGGGTCACTTTGTTACCAATGCTCAGTTAGGGATATCAGGCCCTGACTGAAATTCCCTTTTGAAAAAGACTCAGCATAATTATTCTTAGTAAGGCCTGTATATTATTAGCATGGGTGGGATCAGTATGGAATTTCAGAGCCTGAGCCAGCATGTACCCAGGGACTGGAACAAGGAGTGGGTCAGGTTTCTCAGAAAACACATCTCTCCATTCTGGGCCCCACAGGGGTGTGATATGCAAAGCCCTCTTCCTCAATATGCCTGTCATCATGTGGGAGGGGCCAGCCACCTGGGTGCAGGCCCATGCAGTGCCTCTACTGGCTGTTCTCCTAGCCAATACATATTTTTAAAGCAGCTAATATGTGCATAACACTGCAGTTAACAAAACAGGTAGTTCCTGAGCTCCTCAAGTTTCCTTCCTAGCAAAAAAAGACAGACATTAAACAACTAATTATGCAAGTAATTATATAATTGCAATTGTTAGGTGCTATGGCGGAGAAGCATATATCAAGCGTGTATCACAAGACCCTGAAGAAGGAACACCTGTGTTGAAGCCCAAGGACGAAAAGGGGTTAATTAGGGGAAGAGCATGGCCAGTGCCTCCCTCATGGGAATGATCCCAGAGCTGGACACAGACTCTGCTTGCTCAGCAAGGACAGAGTGTGGAGGAGAGGAGGGAGTTGGAGGAGCCTGAGCTCAAGCACAGGTGGGGGAAGAGTTGCCCTCCCACAGAAAAGGCCCAAGAGATACTGAAAGAAACTGAGGTAGACGTAAGCCTCATCAGAACAGAGGAGGCTAGAAAGTACTTGATGTGCTTACTGGATAGTGAACAGGAGGCCTACTTGGCTAGTGTTTGGAAAAGAGTGTGAAAGGTGTGTTAGCTCTGGAAGGGCCCTGGGATCAGTTGAATTGTATCCCTCCCAAAAAGATACATTGGAGTCCTTACCTCTGGCACCTGTGAATGTGACCTTATTTGGAAATAGGCTTTTGCAGATGTAATCAAGTTAAGAATGATGTCATAATGCATTAGGATTAAGTCTAAGTCCAATCACTGGAGTCATTAAAGAAGGGGGATTAGACAAAGACACACAAGGAGAAGATGGCCATGTGATGGCAGAGGCAGAGGTTGGGTGATGCCAAGGAATGTCAAGGTTTGCTGGCAAACACCAGAAACTAGAAGGAGCAAGTCAGGATTCTCCCCTGGAGGTTTCAGAGAGAGAATAGCCCTGCGAAAGCCTTGATTTCAGACTTGCAGCATAAGATTTTAGAAAAATGTAAAAAACAAAAAATCTTTATAACTCTTGGTTGTTATGTTCACTGAGTTGGCAATGTAATTTTGCAGAAGCATTGCCTTCCAAGAGCTGTGACCACAAGATGTTAAATAACAGGGACTCCTCCGGTTTCTAAAGCCCTGATCAGCCTTGATACTGTAGGAGTCTGCAAATCTGTCCAGTTCTGTAAGAGTCCTGTGCATTGTTACAGAAATTGATAAGGAAGGCGGGGATCTTGTCCCATGCACCCAGACTAATAGGGCTCCAGAATGTTGTAGTGTTTGCCTTATGGGCCCTACACAGAGCAGAATTCCCTCACAAAGAAGGCCTCTGGATCTAGCACATCTGTGTAGGCAAAATGTTTATCCAGGTAAGGGTAACTAGGCCCTTCAATTCAGCTCTCCAAGAGTACACAGGCAAGAGTTTTTTTCTAAAGACCCTGGTAGCTCAAAACCAGCACTATCAAGGCTAATCACATTATACTTCCTATGGGAATGCTGAATTCAACAATCTGAAGGTAGTCAAGAAACTCATCCAGTATAGGCTACAGATGTCTAGGGAAAAGAGAGAGTGAGTCCAAGTCAAAGCAAGGGGGAAAGAGAGCAGCTGAGTGAGGAAGGGAAAGACCAGGGCATGGCCAATCAAAGGCTGCTCTGCGGATGCTCACCCCGCAGGCATTCTAGCTGCAGGGGGAATATGCAGGAATGATTTCAGAAATGAAGATTTTATTTTAATCCTCCCACAAAAGCATTCAAGTAAGCTCTTTCTCTGTGAGAAAGCTAGAGAGTAAGAAACAGGAAAGGAAGGTTCTCAGCGAAAAGATCCATGTCGACTTCTAATATTGCTCACTTAGAGAATACATGCCATCTGGGCGTTTGATAAAAAGAAAAAAGGGCGTAGAGAAAAGCTCAAAGCCATGGATTCTGCTTGTGAGTGCAAGGTGCTCGCCTTTCCTCATGGCCAGCTCTTTCCTTTGTTGGAGGCCTTTTTTTTTTTTTTTTTCCTGGTCAGCAATGACTTTTTCAAAGTGACCTGTCAAGTCTTCCTTTCTTTATTCCCTGTGGCCAAGGAGCCAAGCAGTGGGCAAAGAGGAGAGAAGAGGAGAGGACCCAGGTG